>NC_000015.10:25701116-26004146 GCF_000001405.40 Homo sapiens | reverse complement strand
TAGGGAAAACTGTCTGTATGCCAGAGAACATAATGACAGTGTCACGCTTCTGAGCCACTATCCCTCCGCGACGGGGAATAGGAGACAGGTACTACCAGCTTGCTTATCCTGGGGTTAGAGCCTGTCTAGGTCTTTCTTGGGAGGTTCACTTTGGGATAAGTCACACTTTGGGTCATCACAATTTACATATCTCATTCTGATGAAACAGCCAAAATGAATATTGCACCATGTGTTTTAGGGAGTAAAGGATATGAAAGTTGTCATCTGCAACTTGAGTGGTGTGTTCAAAGGCAGGGGGAAGAAAAGTTGTTGACAATGGCCAACTGTAGCCCTATGTTATCAATGATTCAGTAATAAGAAGTCTGATTTATTGAGCATTTACTATGGTCTTTTTCTTTCTTTCTTTCTTTCTTTCTTTCTTTCTTTCTTTCTTTCTTTCTTTCTTTCTTCTTTCTTTCTTTCATCTTTCTTTCTCTCTTTTTTTTTCTTTTGACAGAGTTTTGCTCGCTCTTGTTGCCCAGGCTGGAGTGCAGTGGCACAGTCTCGGCTCACCACACCCTCCACCTCCAGGGTTCAAGCAATTATCCTGCCTCAGCCTCCCAAGCAGCTGGGATTACAGGCACGTGCCACCACGCCCAGCTAATTTTTTATTTTTTTAGTAGAGACGGGGTTTCTCCATGTTGATCAGGCTGGTCTCAAACTCCCGACCTCAGGTGATTTGCCTGCCTTGGCTTCCCAAAGGGCTGGGATTACTGGCGTGAGCCACCGTGCCCGGTGGCATTTGCTGTGTTTCTAGGCACAGTACGAAATGCTTTTCACAGATTTTCTCATTTTCAAAAACGTCCTCTAGGGAGTTGCTTCTAAATTAGGAAACTATTGCTCAGAGAGACACACTGACATGGCACAGATCACACGGTGTTAGAAGCAGGGGGCCAAAGCCCATGCTCTTAATGACTCCACGTGCCAAGACTCAGGAAGATGATTCTGCCATAGGTTAAACATATATACCAAGGTGGTGGAAATGGGAGTCCTGGAATAAACCCTCACGTTTTGGGCCAAGTGATTTTCAACAAGGTTGCCAAGACCTTCCAGTGAAGACAACAATGGGTAATCAAAAGAGGGATTGGCCAGAAAAGATGAAAGTGCAAAGATCAATAAAAAGTGATCCTGGTGGAAGTGAGATCTGAGTTGAAAGCGGAGTTACAAAAGAAATAGCTGACCTTGGGAACGTTGACACTGCTGTTATGCAACCAGGGAATTGAGTGAAGGAGAATTTATTGTCATGAATTAAGAAAGTGGCTGTGACAAAGAGGAGGAAGACACCCCAGAAGAAGTGACTCCAGCAAAAACTTTCCATATTATAGGAAGCCTTATTGAAAACAAAAGGAATAGAATGCAGGAGATGATCCCACAGAAAGGAGTATGACACGTCGCCAAGGGTTAGAAAAGATGCACACTCCCTACTGTAAGGGATGCGCTAAGAAGGCACACACTGCTCAAACTCTTCTTAGAAAGGTGTTTTCTTTTCTTTTTTTTTTTTTTACAATCAAGTAAAACACTTTAATTCTCAAAGTTTCTAATGTTTCAAATCACGATATGCTATATAAGTAGGAGTTTTACTAGTTTTTAATTTCCCTATGCATTTATAACCCACAATAAGAGAACTTTTAAATGTTTTCACAAATTTTGTTAAAGGTCCCGGAGCAATGCTTTTGATTATTAGGATCATTTTGCACAGTCTCAGTTTGCAAGGACATTTTTACAGACTTGCACTACAGGTCAGAGTAAGAACAGCCAATGTCCATTCAGCGTAAGATGGCTCGGCCATCTACACTTGCTTCACGGCCGTGACGGGGAGGTTGTGAAGATGAGTATGAGGAAACGCACAGACTTTGGCAGGCGTGTCATTTGTTCATGTAAAAGCAGCTTGCCCCCATGGGACCAGATTGAACTCAACTCCAAAGAGGAGATGTGAGAACATTCTTTTTCATTTTCTTTTTTTTTAAGTGCAGTGGTGCGATCTCGGCTCACTGCAACCTCCACCTCCCAGATTCAAGCGATTCTCCTGCCTCAGCCTCCTGAGTAGCTGGGACTACAGGTGCCCGCCACCATGCCCAGCTAATTTTTTGTATTTTTAATAGAGACAGGGTTTCACCATGTTAGCCAGGATGGTCTCGATCTCCTGACCTCGTGATCCGCCTGCCTCGGCCTCCCAAAGTGCTGGGATTACAGGCATGAGCCACCACACCTGGCCGATGTGAGAACATTGTAGTGTGCAATGAGGCCTTGCCATCTACACCAAAGGCAAGGGAACCTCCCTTTGACAAAGCTACCTCTGCACTGACTCTTGCATGGAAACATGGCTGTTGTGTTACTTGCACCATTTGGGTAACAGAGAAGTTTTTCAGCTACCTCCAGAGATAGGGCCTTTATCATAAGGAGAAACACGGAAACAAGGGAAATCTCATAGGAATGCAGATCATTATGTAGATGAGCCTTATGAGAAAAGCATGAGTGGCAACCGTGCCTGAACCAGGCCGCTGAGGGCCCCAGGCAGCAGGAAGAAGGGGTTATCTTAGTGTGCGGCGGCCACTCCGCTTCTTCCCCTCTGGATTACACCCCTACTGCCCCCAGGTGCACACCTCACCTGAGTTCCTCAATGGCTTTTTCTCCTAAGTCCAAAGTCCAGCTCCATCATGACTGCCTACGGCCATTCTCGCGGCTTCAGTTCTGCATCTTCTCCTGAAAATGACCGAATCCTTCTCTCCACGTTTCCCTATCCGCATTCAAAGAGGGAAAATCTGGCTGGCCTTACTAATTCCACCTCCTCTGTTAAAGAGGAGCCTCCCACTCTCAGACACTCCATGGCAGGGACATCAGCCAGGAAATCACAAAGGTTGGGGTGTGGGACAGAGCAGGAGGTGCAGACAGGGACTCCAGGGAGGGCTGAGGCCGGGGGCCAGGTGTCTCCATGCCTGGCGGCGTCCTGCAGTCAGGCCTAGTGTGATGGTCCCAGCACATGAACAGGACCCAAATGTTTGCCAGAAAGAAAAGCTGTTTCTGCATCAGAAGTTGGGTAAACACTTGCCTTCTAGATACTAAATGAAGAAGAATTAAATATGTGTTTTTGTTTTGAGATGAAATTTCACTCTTGTCACCCAGGCTATAGTGCAGTGGCGCCATCTTGGCTCACTGCAACCTCTGCCTGCCAGGTTCAAGTGATTCTCCTGCCTCAGCCTCCCAAGTAGCTGGGATTACAGGCATGCGCCACCATGCCTGGCTAATTTTTTGTCTTTTTAGTAGAGATGGGATTTCACCATGTTGGCCAGGCTGGTCTTGAACTCCTGACCTCAGGTGATCTGCCTGCCTCAGCCTCCCAAAGTGCTAGGTTACAGGTGTGAGCCACCACACCCATCCTAATAACACATTTTGACAAATTGTTGGAATCTAAATTAAGCCTAATGACTGCTACTGTAGTTATTAGCAATTATCTTATTAATAAAAGTGTATCTTTCTGTCCCTTGTCATATTTCTTTGGTTCGTTTTGCTTCCATTAAATGGGAGAAAAGGATACTCGAGTAACTTTTCTCACCCACCCGTGACAGCATCAGCGATTATACTTGAATTGTCTTTTAGTTCTACAAGTTATAATGTAGATGAGAGATGAATCCATAGATTAACACTGATCAAACAAAGCTTCTGAAACTATTATCTGATCCATTATCACTTTCTATAAAATTATAGAAGGAACCATTTGCAACTGAATAGAGGATCTCTGAGTTTTGCCTCCTTGATCATCCCCTGTAAAGAAGACAAAAACAGCAGAACAAAATCTGAAACCAACTTATATGAAGAATTAACCCAGAAGCTTAAGGGATTCTAGTGATTAAAAAAAAGAAAGAAATTATAGTTGAAATAGAAAGTCAAACTTTATAGTCTTACAGAGAAATTCTTACCCATTTTCCCAGAGAAGTCATAATCTATGCAAAAACAGAGAGAAAGGAGAAGAGGCTTGTTTCTTCCTAGCAATGAGAGAGAGAGAGAGAGAGAGAGAGAGAGAGAGAGGGAGAGAGAGAGAGAGAGAGAGAGAGAGAGAGAGAGGGAAGAGAAGAGAAGAGAAGAGAAGAGAAGAGAAGAGAAGAGAAGAGAAGAGAAGAGAAGAGAAGGGAAGAGAAGAGAAAAGGCCTGGTTCTCCCTAGCAAAAAAGAGAGAGAGAGAGAGACAGAGAGAGAGAGAGAGAGAGAGAGAGAGGAGGCTTGGCTCTCCCTAGCAAAAAAAGGAGAGAGAGTCCTGGTTCTCCCTAGCAATGAGAGAGAGAGAGGAGGCTTGGCTCTCCCTAGCAAAAAAAGGAGAGAGAGAGAGGCCTGGTTCTCCCTAGCAATAAGAGAGAGAGAGAAGAGGCTTGGTTGTCCCTAGCAAAGAGAGAGAGAGAGAGAGAAAAGAAGAAGAAGAAAAAAGAAGAAGAAGAAGAAGAAGAAGGAGGAGGAGGAGGAGGAGGAGGAGGAATAGGAGGAGGAGGAGGAAAAGGAGGAGGAGGAGGAAGAGGAGGAGGAGGAGGAAGAGGAGGAGGAGGAAGAGGAGGAGGAGGAGGTTTCGTTCTCCCTAGCAACAAGAGAGAGAGAGACAGAGACAGAGGAGAAGAGGCTTATTTCACCCTAGCAACAAAAGAGAGAGAGAGAGAGAGAAAAGAAGAAGAAGAAGAAAGGAGAAGAAGGAGAAGAAGGAGAAGGAGAAGGAGAAGGAGAAGAAGAAGAAGAATAAGAATAAGAATAAGAAGAAGAAGAAGAAGAAGAAGAAGAAGAAGAAGAAGGAGAAGAGGCGGCGGCGGCGGCGGCCTGGTTCTCCCTAGCAAAAAGAGAGAGAGAGGCCTGGTTCTCCCTAGCAATGAGATAGAGGGATGGAGAGAGAGAGAGAGACAGAGAGAGAGAGAAGAGGCTTGGCTCTCCCTAGCAAAACAGGAGAGAGAGAGAGAGAGAGAGAGAGAGACCTGGTTCTCCCTAGCAACGAGAGAGAGAGAGAGAAGAGGCTTGGTTGTCCCTAGCAAAGAGAGAGAGAGAGGGAGAGAGGAGAAGAGGCTTGGTTCTCTCTAGCAACGAGACAGAGAGAGAGAGAGAGAGAGAAGAGAAGAGGCTTGGTTCACCCTAGCAACAAAAGAGAGAGAGAGAGTAGAAGAGGCTTGATTCTCCCCAGCAATGATCTATGAGGAAGGCACTGAAGTAGCAGCAGTGGTAGTAAAAATATTGATACTTCTGTCTAAGTGTTACACTAAGTATGTTATTTGTATACTAACTCTGTAATCTTTACAATATCAGTGTTCAGTAGATGTTTTTTTACCCACATTTTACAGAAGAAGAAACTGAGGCTTATATAGGTGTGTAACTTACTCAAAGCTACACAAGAAACAAATATCCAGAAAGTGGTTGACCCTGAGGCCGTGCTCTCCAACAGACGCGATCCCAGGAAAACGTGCAGGCAGCCGTGCATCCTCTAGAGACTGATCCCAGGCCCACAAACAGCTGTCAGAAAGCAGTGCTGCTTTCCAAACCAAGGTCTTCTGGTGCCTAATCTCGTTCCTTTTCTACAAAATGCAATTACCTTAACTGTGAAGTGGAATAAACAATTTTGCTTCTCTCCAACCTAGCCATTTCATAATATAAGGTGTTATTAATGCCAGGATGTCATTTCTCAATTTCCTTAGTTTTAATTAATTTGCTTAGCATACTTTAATGTATATCTGATAGTTTAATCTTTTATAATAAAAAGTCTGTTGTAAGTTAATTAAAAGTGTTATTATGTCTTAAAACAGCAGGTTTTAATGGGCTGTTGATCACAGAGAATGGATTTCTTTATAATGATGTTTTTCTTCTTTAATTGTGAAGTATTTGTATAATCAACTATCATTATTGCCAACTTAATGGCAAAAGAAAATTTAAAAAGTAATTTTGCAAATACTAAAACTACAATATATAGATGAAAACAAGAATAATACAATGACACCTTGGATTTTAAAATAATTATGATAAATAATTGAACTTACAACATCTCTGTGGAGCAAGAAAAAAAACCCACTTCACTTGTAGGCAAATTGTAGCTGAAAGGAAGATTGAAATTATTTTCCCCAAGTAAGCAATGGTGATGACTTTGAAAAGGTAGGGTAAGGTTTTTGGCTCCAGGGATAATGGCATGTGAATTTATTTCTCTTTTATGAAACAGAAACAAAAATTAAAATTACAAACTTCAAGAGATTAAAGATTCTTTGAATCTTTGCTGAGAGAAATGAAAGACCTCAATAAATGAAGGGAAGTTTTTTGTTCATCAATTAGAAGAGTTTTGTTTTTTTTTTTTTTTAGTTTCACTCTTGTTGCCCAGCTTGGAGTGCAATGGCACAATCTCGGCTTACCATAACCTCTGCCTCCAAGGTTCAAGCAATTCTCCTGCCTCAGCCTTCTGAGTAGCTGGGATTACAGGCATGCACCACAATGCCCAGCTAATTTTGTATTTTTAGTAGAGATGGGGTTTCTCCATGTTTGTCAGTCCGGTCTCAAACTCCCAACTTCAGATGATCTGCCTGCCTAGGCCTCCCAAAGTGCTGGGATTACAGGCATGAGCCACTGCGCCCGGCCTAGAAGAGTTGATATTTTTAAGATGCTTATTCTTCCCAAGTTGATCTGTAGATCCAATGCACTCCCAGTCAAAATCCTGGCAATTTTTCACAGAGACTGACAAGCCGATTCTAACATTCACATGGAAATGCAGACAATCTGGAAACTGCCAAAAGTACTTTGAGAAGGAACCAAGTTGGAGGACCAAGACAGTTAAATCCAGGGAAGAGAATAAAGAGTCCAGGTATAGACCCATACATATATGGACAACTAATTTTTGACAAAGCTGTAAGGGCAATTTGGTGGAGAAAGGGCAGTTCTTTTCTACAAAAGGCACTGGAATAAATAACAGATTATATATACATACCCTGATATGGTTTGGCTGTGTCCCCACCCAAATCTCATCTTGAATTGTAGCTCCCAGAATTCCCATGTGTCATGGGAGGGACCCGGTGGAGGTAACTGAATCTTGGGGGCGGTTTCCCCCATGCTGTTCTTGGGATAGTGAATAAGTCTCACAAGATCTGATGGTTTTATAAAGGGCAGTTCCCCTGCACAAGCTCTCTTGCCTGCCGCCATGTAAGATGTGACTTTGCTCCTCATTCGCCTTCTGCCATGATTGTGAGGCCTCCCCAGCCATGTGGAATGTGAGTCCACTAAAACTCTTTCCTTTTAAATTACCCAGTCTCAGGTATGCCTTTATTAGCCATGTGAGAACAGACAAACACATACCCTATGCCAAAAAGTAACTAAAAATGTATCTTAGACATAAACACAAAGCCTAAGGTGATAAACTTCTACAAGTATAAATAGGAGAAAGTCTTTGTGCTCTTAGGTCAGTCAGGCAAAGATTTCATATTTATGACACCAAAAACACTTCATCAAAATTAATCATTCTGCTTGCCTGAAGACAAGCTACAGATTGACAGAAAATATCTGCAAATCATAGATCTACTTAAAACATCTAGAATATATAAAGAATTCTCAAAACTAGGTAATGGGAAAATAACCTTTTTTTTTTTCTTTTTTGAGATGGAGTCTTGCTCTGTCGCCCAGGCTGGAGGCAGTGGCGCAATCTCAGCTCACTGCAAGCTCCACCTCCCAGTAAACAACCCATTTTTTTAATGGACAAAAGATGTGAGCAGGCATTTCAGCAAGGAACATATATGGATCACAAATAACCACATAAAAAGATACTCAGTATCATGAGTTATTAGAAAAGTACAAATTAAAACCACAAGGAAGTACCACAATGCACACATCAGAATGACTAAAGTTAAGATTGATCATGACAGAAGTTAGCAGGGATTCAGAGGATCTTGAACCCTCATACGCTGCTGGTGGAAATGAAAATGGCACACTCATTTTGGAAAGCAGTTATCAGTTTCTTAAAAAGTTAAAAATTCATCTACCATACGATCCAGTCACTTTACCCCCAAGTATTTGCCTAAGAGGATTGAAAGTCAATGTGCATACAAACACATGCACATCAGTGTTCACAGCAGCTTCATCTGTAATAACCACATGCTGCAAACAACCCAAATGTCCATACAGAAAAGGGAATGAACTATGGATTCATGCTGCAACATAAATAAATCTCAAAATAATTATGCTTAACAAGAGAAGACAAAGCAAAAAAGAACATATTCTATGGCTCTATTTATACAAAACGCTAGGAAATGCAAATGAGTCTATAGTGTCAGAGCAGCTAGTGGCTGCCTGGAAGGGTCAGAAGCAATTATAATGACTCTACAGGGGTACGAGGAAATTTTGGAGAGTGACAGATATGTTGACTATCTTGATTGTGGTGATGGTTTCTTGAGTATTATACATATGTCAAACATATCAAATTATATTATTTATGTGCAGTTTATTGTATGTCAATTATAATGCTATAAATATCTTTTAGAAGTTAAATTTAAAATACAAATGTTAAGGGTGGATGTTGAGGAGATACAGCTAAGGGAAGCTTGTACAGTTTCAGGCAGTTCCAGCCTGGATTCCAGTATGTTGCATAACATACTGAACTCAAACCACTGAAAAGGAGGCTTAGCAGTTCTGCCTCAGTTATCCTCTATATGTCCCCAAACACAAAATCATCCCACCCTAAATCCACTCTAAGGCCCTACTTCCTGAACCTTTTACTCCCAGCAGAGGTAATGGTTCTCCAGGCCCCTGATACTGAAAATATCCATGTACCAGCAGTACCAGCATCTCCTGGGACCTTGTAATGAATGCAGGATCTCAGGTCCCACTGATACCTACTGAAACATAAATTGCATTTGAACAAGGTCCCCACAGGCTTGAGGGCACATCAAAATTTGAGACACAGTGCACCTGATGGAGCGTGACATAGGGAGGGCCTGTCCACGAGGACATGGGGTCTGCACCTGTTTCCTCCCTTTGCATGGCCCAGAAAAGCAGAAAAGAATGTGTGTCCTTCCTATGAATAATACAGGGAGATGGCATGTGAAGTTCAAGGCTCCTCTTTCCAAAAGCCCTGGCAGCCGGCAGAGCGGTGTGCAGGGGGGATGTTGAGGAGATACAGCTAAGGGAAGCTGGTACAATTTCAGGCAGTTCCAGCCTGGATTCCAGTATGTTGCATATAAACTCAAACCACTGAAAAGGGGGCTTAGCAGTTATGCCTCAGTTATCCTCTATATGCCCCCAAACACAAAATCATCCCACCCTAAATCCACTCGAAGGCCCTACTTCCTGCACCTTTTACTCCCAGCAGGAGGCTTGAAGGAAACCAGTGAGACCGTAGCACCAGGCACACAGAGCCACCCTCTCTCTGACTTTCTTTGTTGTAGAATCAGCAAAAGATTCCTCCCCTCCTCCTCAATATGGGCCATAGCTTTTTGACAGTGGCATGGAGCAATGGTACCCTCCAAAATGACAACCACCATCAAAGTAGTGACACAGTCACTACCTAAGTTACCCTCCAAAATGACAGCCACCATCAACATAGTGACGTGGTCACTACCTAAGGTACCCTCCAAAATGACAGCCACCATCAAAGTAGTGACACGGTCATGCCAGGTCCAAAGGCCTGTCTTTTTGTTCTTTAGTTTTCTCTCTTTCACTGAATAACAAAGGGACCCTCACCTGGGCTGGCCTCTGTCTGACGTAGTTTTAAATCTCAAGTCAGCAACACTGAGACTAGATTCTTTCGCCCGAAGATTTTCCAAGCAGCTGTATTGTTTGAAAACACAGTTGGAAATGTGTTCAAGAAGACGTTGGCTAAAAACCTAATCTTGTGATCTACAACTAAGAGGTTCTAAAAAAAAAATATCATTTGTTTCCCCCCCAAGAAAAGTTTTTTAACATCAGAGACGGGCATGTCACAGAGCAGGAACTGCATCAGGGGGCCGTGTGGGCTCCAATGGCCGGAAGCCCCAGAAGGCAGGCAAGCTTCTCAAGCACCTGTGCGATACCTATAAAGGGATGAGAGAGGATGAATGAATAAATCAGGAGAATGTCTAAATAGGTAGAAAACCGTAGGCACCCTGCAAAGCGCTAAGACAAAGATGGGAGAAATGCAGCTTTGGTGTCCAGGCAATAATGTGTAGATTAAAAACAAAGAGAGAGAAAAAAAAAAGAAAAGTTGTCATTAAAATGCTCCAAAATATACTGAATGGAATATTAAAGTCTCCCTTCAAGTCTGCTCCTAAATATGAGTTAATAAACCTGGGATTACACAGTGCAGTTGATTAGACAAGGGCCTCACATACAGCAAGCTCATGGTAGCTAATGTGATACCACAATAGGCTCTTGTATAGTATTTTGGAAGCATTCACTGAATGAATTCAGAGTCAGGTTTCCAATAAAACAAACAACACTCCCTTTACAGATTCTGTTTCAGTCAAAATTCCTAATTCGAGGGGAGTAAATGCCATGAGAAGAAGCTAAATCTTGTTAATGATCCTGCATGTGCAAAAAATATTCCCTGGAAAGTGCTAAGTTGCTACAAAAATGTCTGTAGAAGGGAAAAATTAATTCATTTGTGCTTTTTTGGTGATTCTCTTTCCTGGTAGAATCAGTAGTATTGATTTTTATTTGTAAAAGTCACTTCCATTTTTTTTTTTCCTCTTGACTATGTGTGTCAGCTAAAATTTTCCCTACTAGGAAGTCGCAGCTGTGGTTGTGAGACCTGGCTAACCTGCATTAGCCACGATTTCAAGCACGTCATTTAGTTTCTTTGACTGTCTTCATATGAAAAAGACAAGCAATCATGTTTTGAGAATTAAATTAGATCATGAATGTGAAAGTGCATTAATAGATGTAAATGTTAAAAATTGAAACTACTGTTATCATCTATTACTATTTTAATTTATATTCTTTTAACTAATTCATCACATGATTAAGTCAACAGAAGGAATCTGAACAGCCTTCTGACCCATTCACTGCATTTCTGTAAAAACAGATCCCAATAGGTCATTATGTACAAAATAGAAATTACAATTTTCAGGTATATGCAATTCCTACATGCAAGTTTCCTTAAGGCTAGAGATAGGCTTAAACTGAGTCCTATTTATTGCTGCTCTATGTCTTGACTATAAACTTTGACGTATCTGGGTTTCTCTGCAAGCAAGGATATGGAGAAAGATATTTCAGATGAACAAAAAGGACATTCAAGAAAGTAAATTTTGGAAGGCAATTCCCCATGGTCCTTTTGCACCTCTTGAATCAGCTTTCGTTCCAGACTGTCATTTCAAGGATATTTTTATAGCAAATAGCTTTGGAAGATAGAGATAGTGTCTACTTCTGGGGCAGAGGGTACATTTATTTCCTGACCAGGATAAGAAAGAGAATGCCTTTTTCTGTGGCATTGGTTGGGGCTTCCTAAACTCAGGGGTTCTTAGCTGTAATGCAAACTCTCTGTCTACCCTGTCCACATGGACCCTCTGTGTCATCCTCATGGGCTGTGGAGGGTAGAGGGAACTGATATGAACCTGAAGCTCATGCTGCCTTCTATGCTACAATAGTCTATCGTCTCTGACCCAGGAGTCTCATATCTTCTGGCAGCATCTAGGAAATGGCGGTGGGCTAACTTATTACCTTGAAAGTAGCATAAACTCTTCACAGTTCTTGACAGTAACATTTTCAAGGTGTTTACTGTTGATTTCTGAAGCATTTGGGCATCTTAGAAACTCCTGTTAAGTAGTGATTTGAACAATTCCATCACTACCACCAACGAACTAAAGAGAGCGCATAAGTCCACACAGACACAATTCTGGTAAAGCAGAGCTTTTCAAACTTGAATGAGAACTCGGATTCTCATTCAGTTCATCTGGGGCAGAGCTAAGATTCTGAATTTCTCACAGCTGCCTGGTGGTGCTGCCTCTCCTTGTCTGTGGCCCTCACTCTGGGTAGCAAAAGTGTGAATCATTGTTCCAGTGTTGATCTGATTCTGATTCAACATTGGGTGTATGTTAGAAAGAGATCATCCTGGCCAGGCACGGTGGCTCACATCCAGCACTTTGGGAGGCCAAGGCAGGTGTATCACCTAAGGTTAGGAGTTGGAGACCAGCCTGACCAACATGGAGAAACCCCATCTCTACTAAAAATGCAAAATTAGCCAGGTGTGGTGGTGCATGCCTGTAATCCCAACTACTTGGGAGGCTGAGGCAGGAGAATTGCTTTAACCTGGGAGGTGGAGGTCGCGGTGAGCCAAGATCGGACCATTGCACTCCAGCCTGGACAACAAGAGTGAAACTCTGTCTCAAAAAAAAAAAAAAAAAAAAGAAAGAGAGATCATCCTAAGCCACACCCCATCCAGGCTGCATCAAGAGCCCTTGAATGGGTCTGCGTCTTCCATAAGTCTCTCAGTGATTCCTTTGCACATTAGCATTGAGGGTCTTCATCCTAATTTCCAATGATGCAGAGAGCACAGACTCCTGCAGCTGGTCCCAAGCTGCAGGATGCCCAGGTCCTCTCCTTCATCACTTGAAGGGTGGAGAGACTGGAAGCCCCAGGAATCACCTTCCCCAGATTACAGTCAGCAGGACAGAAGCACATCCTGTGCCACTGGCCACAGCAGCACTCTTATCTCGCATTGATGGGAGCATGTTTTTTCTGGAGAGTTCCACACATTCTGGAGCACAGACTTATAGGACTGGAGGGCTGGGAGAGGGTATCCACAGAGGTCCCCTCAGCCCTCCTGATCAAGTGGGCCACACTGCGTAACTCGCCTTGGGCCTCAGTATCCCGTTTGTGGAATCAGTTTTCCAGGGAAGAGTTCTTCCTGCTTTCATGTGCTGGAGTCTAAATCATGTTCTCCAAATGGAAGCGATGTGTTATGGACTGAACGGTATCTCCCCAAAATCCCTGTGTTGAAGTCCTTACCTTCAGCACCTCATAATGTGACTATATTTAGAAATAGTGTCTTTAATGAGGCAATGAGGTAAAATGTGGCCATTAAGGTGGACCCTCATTCAATCTACCTGGTGTGTCCTTACAAGAAGAGGAAATTTGGAGACAGAGAGACACCAGGAATGCGTAGACACAGAAGAAAGACCAGGTGAGGACACAGTGAGAAGGTAGCCTTCTACAGGCCAGGAGAGAGGGCTGGGAAAGAACCAATTCTCCCAACACCTTGATCTTGGACTTCTGGTCTCCAGAACACTGAATAAAGAAATTTTTGTTGTTTGAAGCCCCTGGCTGTGGGTGCTGTTTGTTATAGCAGCTTGATCAAACTAACGTACTATCCCACAATCAAAAGGTTTCCAAGAAGCAGCGTTCTCAGTCATCCCTGCAATCCCTACATAGTATTTCATAGCCATCTCCACTGGGAAGTTCTTCCTGAAAGCATATCTTCATTTCTTCGACTAGAATGAAGGTTCCTTTTCTCCCTTCTTTAGTGAGAGAGAGAAAATGGCCACCATTCTCCATATAATAGCTTTTCACAAAGGTAAGCACTCTAAATAAATCATCCTTTCCCAAACTGAATAAATGGAAGCCCACAAGAAACAAACAACAACACTGCTCTGGTCTAAAAATGCAGACGCTAAAAGAAATGGAGGAAGGGCGCTAACAGGAAGCAGTGACTCGCAGCTGAAAACTAGGCAGCAGGTCTAATTTGTCCTTCGTCTCCTTTCTGTTGCATTTCGCGTTTCGTTTCCATGGAAATCCACTTTTGTGGGTGATCTCTCCTCGCAAGAACTACAGGCAGATTTTTCAATTTGCATAACGCAGTGATTTATGGTGCAGATACGAAGCTGGCAGGAAGGATGGAGGGTGGGGGAAATGGGGGACAACTGGAGCTGGGGGTCGGCCTCCAGTGAAAGCCGGAGATCCCAGATCCGCGGGGAGCACGGGGGAGCCACCGAGCAGGGCCTCAAGCCACGCACCAATGAAGTCTCTGAGGGACATCACTCTCCTTTTTCTCATGGAAAATGTATTTGCAAAATCCAGGGCATTCAAGTTGGTGTTTGGATATGGGAAAAATAAAAATAAAAATAAAAAAACCCTGGGTAACAGCAAATCTAGGGAATGTTATCGGGCATCAAGCGATCCCGAAATAGATCGTATTTCTGTGGGGAGGGCACACACGGACACACAGAAGCGCGTAGTGGACCCGCCCCCGCCACCCTGCCTGCCCCAGGCCTCCTGCTCTCACCTGGCTGCAGGTGCGCGAGTCTTTGAACTCCCGGACAGCCTTCCTCACTGAATCCTGACTTCCTTTTAGAATGAGCGGGGAGTGTTCAAAAAACCCAAGCCCCACCTCAGACCACCCAACCCAAACCAGATGCAGCAGTCCTTCGGGCCGGCCAGAACCCCCGAGCCCAGGATCTCGGACTGGGAGCGGATTCCCACCTGGGGATTCCGGTAGGGCAGCGAGGGCGGAGGTGCAGTCGGTGAAGGTTTCACGCTCTGCCCACCTTGCGCTCCTCATTCCGCACCCTCCGGGCGCGGCTGCCGCCTGGCCTGGCTGCCTCTCAAGGTCCGCTTCTACTTGGAGTCTTGCCGCGCCCCCCTCAGCCTGCAGCCCCTAAGCGGGCTACAACGCAGGCTTTGGGGTAGTCTCAGGTTCCACGTCCAGTGTTCCCACCTCGGCCTCCCTGCTCTTTGGCTCCCCCCGCTGGCCGGGCGGGCTTGACATTAAACCCCACTTGGAGGGTTCTTAAAGGACGCCCAGGTGCCACGTGGAGGGCTCAGAACCCCAGACATGGACTCTCCACAAACGACAGCTCTGATGGATCGGAGGACCCACAGGAATCCAAGCTCAGCGGGTGAGAAGGTGGCCTTCTACCAGCCAAGGAGAGCGGCCTTGAGAAGAACCGATTCTGCCCACATCTTGATCTTGGACTTCCGGGCTCCAGAACTGTGAAGAAATAAATTACAGACTCCAGGCCGCAGGAACGGTTCTTTTTGCAGTCTACTTAGTGCCAGCTTTCTCACATTTTTTGTGCTTTTTGTTGGTAGTTTCACTGTTTAAAACGGCCCCAAGCATAGTGTGGAAGGGCTGGCTCATGTGCTGTGCCTTATGGAGAAAATATGTGCCTTAGGTAAGTTTTGTTAGCCATGAGTTCAATATTAATGAATCAACAGTGTATACTAAATAAGGGGTCTTTAGACAGAAGCACATGTAAAGCAAAGAAAGTTATGAAACACACGGCCGGGCGCGGGGGCTCAAGCCTGTCGTCCCAATACTCCAGGAGGCAGAGGCGGGTGGATCAACTGAGGTCAGGAGTTCGAGATCAGCCTGGCAAACATGGTGAAACTCTGTCTCTACTAAAAATATAAAAATTAGCCAGGCATGGTGGTGCACACCTGTAATCCCAGCTACTTGGGAGGCTAAGGCAGGAGAATCGTTTGAACCCAGGAGGCAGAGGTTGCAGTGAGCAGAGATCATGCCATTGCACTCCAGCCTGGGTGACAGCGCGAGACTCTGCCTCAAAAACAAACACACACACACACACACACACACACACACACAAAACAAGGTTGATGAAAACATGACCAGGGGCTCACAGGAATCTAACCTTGTATTTCCCCTGGAAGCAGTGGTTCGGTATTCACTGATTTGCTAATTCAGTGTTCACAACAACTTTGTAGAACATAAACACCTCAAATAATGAGATTCAACTGTATGTCCTTTAAACTACTCCCACTTATAGACCTAATGAAGGGGAAAAGCATGCTTGAAAGCCCAAGAAAATTTACTCCGTGCAACCCTGGGCTCCATGGACATGGGTAGGCCACTGGCCAGCAGACTGGTTTATGTGGTCACTGCAAAAAGTTGTCAGGTTTGGCTGCCCCAGATCCCAGCTGTTAGAAATGGCACATTATCTGTAATATATCCAAATACCATGAGCTAACTGTGAACTTATCTGTGAAATTACAAAATTCGTTTAAATGATTTTGAAAGCCACTTCTAGCCCCGAATGTTGTGTTTTGATAATTATATCACAAAATGTCTATTTCTTTCACAAACAGGACCATGTCTAAGCTAGGTCCTCAAGCATTACGTATCACTTTAATGAGTGAAGGGAGCACACACCTTTCTCACTGGGATGTTTCAAGGACGTTTGAGCATACCATTCTGCAAATATCCATGCTTATGCCAAACTGCATGTACTGAACTGAAGCACACTCAGCTTTGGGGTGGGCCCCAGGAGGGTTGGGTGGGAGGAGCTGGGTGTGTGTGGCTGACCTTTCAGTCTGGTTGGGAAGACAAAGCGAATGCAAATGAAACAAACAGGTAGGAGTTCGATGGCTGAGTGGGCCATGCTGCACTTCAGTGACAGAAACTCTGGAAGCTGAATTTCCCTGCAGGCCACCCACTCCTGGCTTCTCTGTGCATCTGGCTAAGGCATTCCGAGTATCAGTGACTCCACACTCCCTGCTCACCTGCCCAGTGACCCAGATGTTTTCAAGCTATGGATTCTAAGGACTAGTGGAAAGAGAGAGCTGAAATGATTGATGGCTTCTTGAGTCCATGCTTCCAAACTGACCATGTGTCGCTGACTTTCCATCCATCTCCAAGAGAAAGGGTCTTCATCTGTAATCCTGAAGCCATCCCCACAACAGTTGACAGAAATAGCATGCCAGTTATAATTAAGCAGGAATCTGGCTGCACTTGGGCCCACTTCCTTGTTGCTGAAAGTCAAACAGCATTAGTTATTGACCATTTGCAACCCCATTGTTCCCACAGGTAGGATCCTGACATTAGAATCATAAGACTTTTGTTTAAGAATTGCTTAAGATGTTTTCCAGATTCTGAATTCCAGTGAAACAGCTGAGGCCAACCAGTTTGAAGACCCCTACAGGGGAACAGAATCAGCAGGAGAACACAGCTTCTTCATCTCCCCGACCCATGACTTCACCATGCACTCTTCCACCAATCAACCATCTCCTCATTTCACCCACTACAAAATCCTGAAGATCCCTACCCCCTTGGTGTCATGTGCATCCATGTGAAGAGACCACCAAACAGGCTTTGTGTGAGCAAGAAGGCTGTTTATTTCACCTGGGTGCAGGTGGGCTGAGTCCGAAAAGAGAGTCAGCAAAGGGTGGTGGGATTATCATTAGTTCTTACAGGTTTGGGATAGGCATACAAAGTACCTTCTTAAGGGCGGGGGAGAATATATTGTATCAGTTAGAGTGGGGCAGGAAAAAATCACAGTGATGGAATGTCATCAGTTAAGGATATTTTCACTTCTTTTGTGGATCTTCAGTTGCTTCAGGCCATCTGGATGTGTACGTGCAGGTCACAGGGGATATGATGGCTTAGCTTGGGCTCGGAGGCCTGACACCTGGGGAGTCAGATTTGAGGTTTCCTCCCATTTCCTCATTTGGCAGCCCTTTGTTAAATCTCCTTCTCTTTTGCAACGCAGTGTCTCGGTGTACCGACTTGCCGCATACATCGGGCAGTGGACCTATTATGGTTACAATCCTAGAAGCTGGAGGAAGACACTTCAATCTTGGGACCAGCAATAGCTCCTTGGGCAACCATGTGCTGTGAATGTACAACTACAATTTTTGATTATGAGGTAATCTTTCCTGACCTTCTGATAAATGGGGCATCAAGGTCCAAGACAGACTTTGGTTACAGCATTGCCTTATCTGGCACTCCAATGAGAAGGAAATCTCCATCCTACCTGGAAATTACAGAAGCTGCTATGTGGTTGGTATAAGAGGGTCCCTTGGGATTCAGAGCCCATGAGCACATTTTCTGTACTGTATATTCTCCTGACATTTAGAGGGCATTTCAAAATATAGTCATGACATGGAAGGTGGTGCAACTCAGAGCAGAGCATCGGCCTAGGCAAAGAAACAAGGGTCTTTTGGAGTGACCCATGCCAGATTTTCTAACTTTCATCATCTCTATTCTTCAAGGCTAATCATATGTTTGTCTTAGGGCTGTCTCGGGGTTATTGCGAGGTTGTTGTAAGGATTAAATGAGGCATGGCACGTACAAAGCACTCAGGGAAATGCCTGGTGTCCTGTGTTCCAGGTGGTCATCATTATTACCTAAGCAGAAAACATTTATTATTGACCACACGTGTACACAGCTTAAAAATTCTGTTCTGGGCTGGGTGTGGTGGCTCACACTGTCATCCCAGCACTTTGGGAGGCCAAGGTGGTAGGATCACTTGAGCCCAGGAGTTCAGGACCAGTCCAGGTGTCATAGTGAGACCCCATCTCTATAAAAAAGTTTTTTAATTATGTAAAAAAATCTGTTGCAATTTAATCATACCTTTGTGCTAGTAAAACAGAGCTTTATTCTTTTGCCCAGATGCAAAACCAGAATGCAGCCCCCTGAGTGGTGGGTTTCAGCACTGATGTGGCACAGCTCTCAGGCGAACAAACACAGAGTGAATCAGCACAGTTGCCGGGCCACATTCTCCCAGCATCACTGACAGCCTCCTCCTGCAGCCACCAGGAAGACCTGAATTTATCTCCCCGAGTAGCCACCATTTATCTCCAAAACCCATCGTGGAATCGTAAAGACTAAATGTATAAATTGGGACAAAACCTCAAACTTTAAAAAATAAATAAAAATCACAGTAGGCTATGATTTGCAGTTCAAAGGACGTTTCCAATTCAGTTTATTCCTATTCTCCTCTTGGATTAGGTTGAATTTAAATTTGAGAGTGAAGGAGAGAGAAGGAACTTTTGTCTTTCCCTAGTAATCCCCTCTGCAGCCTTTGCTCATCAGCTCCTCCTGGGGACCACCGTGTGTTTAGATGGCAGAGCTTCAATCACCATGGAAACGGATCAGAGAAGCTCTGGTTCTGAAAGGGCAGGGTCTTCTGGTTGCCATAAGCAATGTTTTCCTAATGGTTTTTCAAGGCTAGAGATGTGTTTATGGTCCGTGGACTATTTATTTGTATCAAAAATTAAAGCCTGCTTCATGTGATCTTTAGCATTTGCCTTCAGTTAGATTTTCCTTTCGTTTGTATGACTGTCACTTTGTGAAAACAAATTAATCTCCCAGAACATTATAAACACCACACACCATCATCAGTAAGGAATGATTCTTGTTTTATAAGACCAAGTGGTAGAAAATACAGTCATGCTTCTTCATGTTATATAGATATAGAAGAACATCTTATTAGCCTGTGCTTCTCAGCTGTGATATTCAAATCCAAGCCATGTCAGCCAGAGTGAAAATCACTTGAAGCAGTGGATGGGAGGGAGTCCTGGGGGCGATTTGTCTCCTGAATCTGAATTACAGGGCAGGGCAGACAGTGACTGCCTCTTGTTCTCCCTAATTTTCTGTATTCACAGTTGACTGGCAGGGTGTAGGCACTTCTTCAGCTTTCATTTAGTCATTAATTCATTACTTCATTCATTCATTTATTCAGAAGCATGCACTGAGTACCCAGCATGTGTAAAGGATGGATAGACCATAAAGCAGACACAGGATTAACTTCACATCACGTCAGTCGTCACAAAGCTCCTACAGAAAGTATGGTGCAGGTGCCGCATCAGGAGTCAATGTGTCAATAATGTATTGTGAAATGACCCAGATTTATAATGCAAAAGCTTTTCCTACAGATAATTAAGACATAAGTGCATTAACTCAGGGAGAATGAAAAATAAGCCAGATCTCTGGCCATATTGAAGGTCTACCTAACTCAGAAGAGAAGGTCCTTTTCCATGAGTGCACCATTCAAAATTCAGAGCCAACTAAACACATGGGTCCTTTGCTAGTCTCTTTAATCAGGTATCCATAATCCATTGTATTTGCTGTAGGGGTTTCTGACGGATTTTTTTGTTGCATCATCACACACCTATGTTGTGTCAGACTCCACAGGCATTCCAGAGGAACTTGCCATTCATTCATTGATGCGACTAGTGCTGTATGAGACCCCCGAGGAGCCAAAAGGACCTTTGAATTCATCTCTGCAGAGTGTCCGCACCAGAAGAGGTTAAGAACTCGTTTTCTGAGAGTGTGCTGGCCTACCCCAGGGGAGTCTTTGAAAGATACCTTTGATTTCCACCTTTATCACCTCCCCAGGACCAAGACAGGTAAGCCCCACTTTCAACAACCTGTAAATGAAAAATAAAATTCTAAGCTCCCAAACCAACCGATGGACCCCTCTCTTGGCCAAGGGCATTCCAAAGAAACCTGAAAAATTAGTTCAGGCCACGAGTGGAAGTTGAGTCAGACATGTCTCATGATACCCTCCTCCCTTTGGGATTCAGGCACAACTGACCAGCATCAACATTAAAATAGGGATTTTAAGACTGACAGAGCAGACTCTTTGTAGCAGTAAGAGACCAAATTCCACCCTGACTCTAGTACAGCATCACACGACAGACAGCAGGCCCTAAAAGAAATCAAAGTATTTTACCCAGAAATATTCCTTTGACATATTTTGAAATGGCCCTGAAGAGCTTTCTGTTGTGGGGAAAAATCTATGGTCTGTATAGAATTACCTGCCCTTTCCAGATCTTTTCCCTGATCCAGGAGAGAATTAACTAAGAGTTTGGCACCTTTTAGGTCTGATAAGAGTTCCCAAGTCGGCTACCTGGCGGCTTCAGCTGCATGATAAAAAACCTTGGTCTCTACAACCCCTTATCTTAACCCAGATATTCCTTTCTATTGAGTCCAGGACTTTGGATAATAACATCTCTTTCAATCAATTGCCAATCAGAAAATGTTTGAATCCACCTATGACTTGGAAGCCTCCACACCTCAAGTTGTCCCACCTTTCCAGACCAAACCAATGTACATTTGACATGTATTGATTGATGTCTCATGTCTCCCTAAAGTGTATAAAACCAAGCTGTAGCCTGACCACCTTGGGTACATGCCATCAGGACCTCCTGGGGTTGTCTCACAGGTCATGGTCCTCACACTTGGCTCAGAATAAATCTCTTCAAATTTTTTCATCAACAAACCTCACAGTCTAACACAGAGGCAGGTGCATTCATGACAAGTCACAATAGCTATCACTAACAACGCTGCCTTAGGCGTCAAGCAAAGCACCGTGGTGAGTAATTCTGTTTGGGGATGCCTGAGAAAGCCTCAACATGTAGTCCTCTTTTCGATCACTCATGTCAGACTAGAAGCACCCAGCAGGGTGCATGCCCTTGGGCAGGTCCTGAGCACCAGGTGTGGCTGGATTGTCCTTCCAGACACGGGACTGGGTGAGAGATGACCAGGCACTGTGCAGCCCTCATGGGTCCCCTGGGATGGAATGCTGTGGAGGGACCAGGGAGAGACCGTGGGTATCTGGGGACACATGTAGAGCACATTCCACAGCAAACAGGTGGTAACTGGAGATGTTCAAATTGCAGAGCATGGTGATGAGGTCTATCCTGGGGCTTTGTAACATGGTTACATGTTACATCAGGTAGCATCAGCACTTTTAGATAATTTCATCACTAAGTCTCCATAGAGGAATTCAGAAATCAGCTTTCAACAACTCACTCTAAAATATTCTCACAAAAGATGTGAAGCAAAATAAGCAATTTGGAGAACAATGGAATGTGCTCTATGCAACCATTTTGTTTAAATAAGAAAGTGAGAAAATAAAAAAAATGTGGCCCATAAATTAAAAAAAAAAAAAAAAGCAAACACAAACACAGAAAACAAAACAAGTACCTCTGGGAGGACAACAGCTAGTGGAGTGGGAAGATGATAAAGGAGGAGACCACCCCTCATATTGTCTTATGCCCAATTTCTGCCTCCAAAGAAAGAAGAAATAAAAACTAAAAGGCAGAAATGAAATCCACAGGCAGACAGTCCGGCGCCGCGCCCTGGGCCTGGTAGTTAAAGATCCACCCCTGACCTAACCGGTTATGTCATCTATAGATTCCAGACATTGTATGGAAAAGCACTGTGAAAATCCCTGTCCTGTTCTGTTCCGTTCTAATTACCGGTGCATGCAGCCCCCAGTCACGTGCCCCCTGCTTGCTCAATCGATCACGACTCTCTCACGCGGACCCCCTTAGAGTTGTAAGCCCTTAAGAGGGACAGGAATTGCTCACTTGGGGAGCTCGGTTTTTGAGAGGTGAGTCTTGCCGATGCTTCTGGCCGAATAAAGCCCTTCCTTCTTTAACTCGGTGTCTGAGGGGTTTTGTCTGCAGCTCATCCTGCTACAATGGGACCCGAGCAAAGGGGGATTTCCCAGGCCACCTGTTGACATTCTTGATGCATGAACCATGTTAATGTGCCCCTACTAAATATTAAGTTCAGAATTTTAAAACTTAATTAATATTGTGTGAGGAAGCTGAAGATCCAGGAAATTAAGTCCTCATCTGAGGCC
This sequence comes from Homo sapiens, assembly GCF_000001405.40. NCBI lineage: Eukaryota > Metazoa > Chordata > Mammalia > Primates > Hominidae > Homo > Homo sapiens. The sequence goes on along the minus strand of NC_000015.10, from coordinate 25,981,816 downwards.
TCAAAGCTCCATGACAGTCACAAAGGGATATTCAGCCTCACCTGGCTGCCCCGATGTCCCCTGCAGACCCCCTGCAGGCTGCCTCCCTCCTTCCGTACCTCAGTCCCCCAAAACAAACACTCATTGCCTGGAAAGCCACCTCAGCGGCCACCCTCACTCCCATTGCACCTCATTTATGTCGCTATCATATAGTACAAGGTATTAATGCTTCCTGATTCTATAATATGTCTTCTTATTAAGTGTTCCCTTAGAAGAGACCTAGTACTTATTATTTTATTTTATTTCCACCAAATTTAACCAGGTAATTCTTATTTCCCCTTTACAAAACTGAAGCTAGGAGTGATTAAGTTGCACAGAGCCACACAGTTCTTGAATCACAGAATTAGACTCTGATGACTTGAATTTCGTATCTCATGTTTCTGTGTGTTCCATGCTCTTTGCTGGAAATGTGTTGATCATTTTTGTTTTACCAACACTCTCTAAAGCCTGGCAAAAAAATGCTGACTACATCTGTTTTCTGCATGAACCCTGGGAGCAGGTTTAAGCTGGGCTCTTGAATATTGATGGAAGGAGGTCTTGGCAATATTTGACGATCTTCCATGATTTCCCCAGCAAAAGGATTTTAATGGTCTCCATGTGAGATGACAAAATTAACTCCTTTCCTGCAATCCCATTTTGGGGTCGTAAAGCAGAGAGACAAATCTGTAATCTTGACTAAATTCACCAACTCTGAGAATGCTATTCAAACAAAACCACTCACTCCCCTCTGTCTCTCCTGGAGATGGAGCCAAAGAAACACTCTGTTCTGGAGCAGCTGCTTTTAGGAGTGTTTTTATCTACAGTAAAACAATGTGCTCTTCCCACCTGCCTTCACTTTGTGTTTCAGATGATAAACCTACCGGAAGGGACCATAATGAAGTCTTTTTCTTTCTTCTCATTAAGGGAATTTGAGTGTGCCGCATTGCTGGGAACTCATATCTTGTTTTACTTCCAGTGTGACACTTTACACCAACATCTTGTACATTTTGTGCAAGTGTATGAATAAGTGCACCCATCTCTCCTCCCGTGGTAGAAAACACACATCTTGAAAGGCATCAAAACGTTTCAATGTAACCCAAACAATATACCATGCTCACCCTGATCTCACTCGCTCTGTCTTGGAAAATTGTAGTGCACATCTAACGGTTGGCCAAAGTCCTTGAGCACAGCCCATTTCACAGCACTTAGCTCCTAATTGAAATTTCACAGTACAACACTTAAGACACAACTCCAAATTGCATCGCCATTTGAGTAAATGTATTTTCCCAGCCATTTAACTGTTTGTGATTTCTGCTTGGGTCTATGCTGCTTATGATTTGCTGTTGGTTGCCCTTCCCAAGAAGTCTTTCAGTATTTATTTGAGGATATTCTGGAAAGTCCTATTTCTCTTTGAATTGAATTTAACCCAGTAGTTTAGTTTATAGTCTCTCCCAGTGGTGTGCCTTTGGAAGGAAAGAGAACATTTCCATTCTCAGAGGAGACACTAGCTCTTGGCCCCCTCACCCCAGGCATTTCCAAACTGTCAGCCCTTATGGGATTCCTTATTTGTTCTGTCAGCCCGATCCTAATATGAGATGGTGTAGGAACTCAATGCAATGAGCAATATGTAAAGAATAATTCATTTGAAAACATAAAAAGTCTGTTAATAGGGAAGATCATAGTAACAATCCTTTTCTTTCTAGATGGACTATTTTAAAAAAAAATTATTACAGGTACTTCAAATAAGCAAAAGAATAGAATAGTATAAATGTCCCATATGCCCATGTTCCAGCTTCAACAATTATCAATACTGTGTTAACTTTGCATCATCTACCACATTCACCTCCATTTTCTTCTTTGACTGGTTTTGTACTAGATCACTTGCTAGAGAATTTTAAGGATATATCATTTCATCCCATAAATATTTCATTCAATTTTCTCTAACTGCTAATGACTTTATTTTATTGTTGCCACCATGACATAATTACCCTTCACAGAATTAACTTTAATCTCTTAACTTCATCTACTGCCCAGTCCATATTTGAAGGCTCCCAATTGTCTCAAAACATCATTTCATAGTTGGTTTATTTTAAATCGGGCAACAAATAGGTTTACATATTGCTTTTGATTGTTATAACTTGTTTCTTTTATCTGTGAGTCTCTATCTTCTTTTCTCCAGACCTGGGATCTGGCCTCTGGAATTCTCTCTCCCCACTCTGTCCTAGATTTGAGAAAGGACTCCCTTATTGGGACACTTAATTGTTCATCTATCCCATATATTCCCTGCCAATTAGGGTAGGTCTGATGACTTTCTCCTTGCAGGTCGGGTTGCTTATTTCTTTACTGAAATAGAAATACAGATTCACTGAAACTCAGGGCATATGGGCCACCCACTTTTTCTGCCATCCAACACCTATATCCTCTCTGCAGTGTGGCTTCCAGTCACTTGCCCACAGCGGGACATTATCTAAATCACCCTTTTGATGGGTAGAGAGACTTAGTTCCCTGAAACATAGCTGAGAAAAACAATGGAGAAAGAAAGGGAGATCTAAAAGGGCTCTGTCCAAAACCCAGAACTAATACAACTCACCTCCTAAGACCTCACATTGAAGTGCCTTGGCAAGGAGGTAGAGCCAGAATTGAGGAAACCGAGTTGAAAGCCACACCGCAGACAGACCAACTGTGCTTAAAGTGGAGGTCCCAACCTGGACAGGCTCTCTAAATGGTTTGGGTGGGACCACAATGTTCCCACTGAAGTATTGAGTCAATTTGAAAACACTGTCAAGAAGAGACAAGGAATCCACTACTCTTGCCATTAAATGTCTCTGCTAAAATAAGGAAAATGATATCGAACATTTTGCATCCCCTCCTGGAGACCTTTGTGGGTGCAGTTGGGTAAATGGCTCCTGACAGCACACGAGGCTGCGGCCTGGCCTTGTGCATGAGGGACTCACCAATGAGGCAGCTTTGGAGGGTCCTTCATGCAACAGCAACTGACCTGTTCTTGAAATACCTGTCCTTCTGGCCAGCTTTTTTTTTCCCCAAAATTCTAAAGTCTTTTATTAATATTTTTAAACTTCTGCTAATGTTGAGTCAACTCTCCCTCCATCAGTGCCTTTGGTTCACTATGATTATCACTGTCCAATCCCAGTCTGTCTGTGATCTGATCTGCTGAAGCATCACTCGTTTTTTAAATTTCCAAATTCTGTCATATAATCCACAAAGTTGAGGCACTTAATGTAGGTGTCTTCCTTAAAACCTTCCTGAAAATGTCAAGCAGGATAGGGCCAAAGCCTGAGCTCATAAACCATCCATGGGATCCCCCAGGGTGGATTCCCATCCACTAACTAGTCCCTGAGGTTTCACTGTTCAACTAGAGGTCAACACACATGTCAGGCTTCCAACTGCCCATGATGTCTCTCTTGACTATAAGGAAATACCTTTCTCTGTTTTTTCTGCGGCTTCCGTAATTTGTATATTGGTTCGCTTGATGGAGTTTCATAACTCCTATAGGTTCTCTTCAGTCTCTCTTTACTTTTTTTTCCCATTTTGTTCCTCTGACTGGGTGATATCATATGACCAATTTTCAAGCTCACTGATTTTTCTTCTTGGTTACATCTGCTGTTGAAGCTCTCTGAAATTTTTCAGTTCAATTCATTGTGTTCTTTAGCTCCAGAATTTCTATTTTCTTTTAAAAATGGTTTCTACCTCTTTGTTGAAATTTTCATATGGTTCATGTATTATCTCCTGATTTAGTTTAGTCATCTACCTGTGTTTTCTTTTCAACACTCCTTAGCAACATTGTACTGAAGTCATAGCTAATGCAATAAGGATCATGCCTGTAATCCCAGCACTTTGGGAAGCTGAGGTGGGTGGATCACAAGGTCAGGAGTTCAAGACCAGCCTGGCCAAGATGGTGAAACCCCATGTCTACTAAAAATACAAAAAATTAGCCGGGCATGGTGGCAGGCTCCTGTAATCCCAGCTACTTCGGGGGGCTGAGGCAGAGAATTGCTTGAACCTGGGAGGCAGAGGTTGCAGTGAGCTGAGATCACACCACTGCCATCCAGCCTGGGTGACAGGGTGATACTCCGTCTGAAAAACAAACAAACAAAAAAAAACACCAAACACACACACACACACACACACACACACACACACACACACACACACACACAAAACCGAAAAGAAAAGGAAAGGCCCGAGCAGTGGCTCACACCTGTAATCCCAGTGACACAGAAAGGCTAGGCTCTTGGCTAAACTCCACCCTTAAGCCTGGAACTGAGGCTCTAAGTGAAAACAGCTGAGCCCATTTTTCTGCCCAAATGTTGCCTTTTTGGCCTGCCCTGCCCCTATCCTGTGCCCATAAAAGACTTCAGCTGGCAGAGCAACACAAGTGGCTGAGCGTGGAGGATACAAGTGACTGGGCAGCAAGCAGAGAAGCGACTGAATCTCAGAGACTATGGATAGACATGGCTAACTTCAGACAGTGCAGTTTCCGAGGGATGCCTGGCCAGAGACAGTTGGGCTTCGGGAAAAAAATACTTTCCCATCCCCTCTTCAGCCCCTCCCTTTCTGCTGAGAGCCACCCACCACTCAGTAAAGTCTTCCACATGCATCACCTTTCTTTTTCTTTTTTTTTTGAGATGAAGTCTCGCTCTGTCACCCAGGCTGGAGTACAGTGGCCCGATCTCGGGTCACTGCAACCTCCGTGTCCCAGGTTCAAGCGATTCTCCTGCCTCAGCCTCCTGAGTAGCTGGGATTACAGGCAGCTGCCACCATGCTTGGCTAATTTTTTGTATTTTTAATAGAGACGGGGTTTCACCATGTTGGCCAGCCTAGTCTCAAACCCCTGACCTCAGGTGATCTTCCCACCTCGGCCTCCAAAGTGCTGAGATTACAGGCATGAGCCACCACGACCAGCCGCATCACCTTTCAAACAGTTCGTGTGACCTGATTCTTCTCGAATGCTGGACAAGAACCTGGGTGCCAAGAGGGCAGGGGCTGCCATCCTGACCCTCCACTGAGCTGGTTGTCACTTGGCCGTCCCCAGATGGCAGAGCTGAAAGAGCATTGGTTGTAACACGCTTGGACGCTGCTGCGGGCCTACACAGAACCTGCTGCCGCCAGAGAGGAGTGACCAGCCACTTCCAGTGTTGGTTCGCTCCAGTTCCTGCACTTGCTTGCTCACATGTTCCCTCCCTGGAGGAGCGGCCAGCAGTGGGCTGAATGAAACGCCCATGAAGAGGGTCAAGAAAACTATCCCTTCTCACCAGCACTTTAGGAGGCCAAGGTGAGTGGATTGCTTGAGCCCAGGAGTTTGAGACCAGCCTGGGCAATATGGCAAAAGCTGGTCTCTACAAAAAATACAAAAATTAGCTGTGCATAGTGGCACATGCCTGTGCTCCCAGCTACTTGGGAGGCTGAGGTGAGAGAATCACCTGAGCCCGGAGATTGAGGCTGCAGTGAACCAAGATTGTGCCACTGCACTCCAGCCTGGGTGACAGATCAAGATTCTGTCCAAAAATAAAAATTAAAAAAAAAAAAAGTTGAGCTGTCATAATTGAAATAAAAACCTGAAACTGAGGAATTTCCCTTTTTTTCTCAGAACACTTGTCTTCTTTTTCTTCCTTTAATAAGTTGGTGCACCAGTTACTGCTTTAGAAGTCAAAAGATGATTAGACAGATTTCTAGTTTCCTTGGTGTATTTAGCAAGTACTTCCCTGTTTCTTGGTTCAAAATAAGGGATTCATATTTTTTCATGTCATACACCAATGCTTTCTGTAATAAGCTTAATTACTTTAGATCTTTCTGCTGGAGCCATTTCAAAATAAAAACAGAACTGAGATTCCCTGCAGGATACCCTTGCACCGGAAAAGTAATCAGCTGACTTATTTTTGTGCATTGAAAGCACAAAATTCTGAGTAAATGCCACCACGTTTCATCACTAATTGGGACAGACCCATCTGATCTTTCCGTACAAGGATGTCCCTGCCGAGAAACTTTCCAAAATGGATTCACTTTGCCGGGGACAGCAACCCTCACCTGAACCGCCTTGCACACACCCTGGGATGCAGTGGCTGTAGTTAGCATTGTACGGGCATCAGAAGAGGGTTGTTTTCAGTGGAAATGACTTTGAACTCTCCATGTCACACACGGAAAGAAATCAGGCTACAGAAGTCATCATAAAATATTTTTATGTGGTCTCAAATGTGTTGTTTCAGGAAGGTCTTGGAAAGCTTTCAGTGCTTCTATTTTTAGGGCTGAACGAGAATTCAGGGACACGGGAGAGTGAGAAGCAATCATTTTTGCTCCGAGTATTTTAAGATCTCTGGGAAAAGATTACTTTTAGATGAACTTAATCTTTATTTTACTTCCCCAGGATTTTTTTTTCTCCCCAACCTGTAATTTTCTGGTGAAACCACCCTAACCACCACCATTTCGAGTCTCAGCCCCTTACTATGACCTCTTAGCCTCTGTGTGCATTTCCCCTAGAGCCAAGCTTAGACATGGCAGCTTGATGTCCCCCCTGAGCCCAGCACAGTGGCTACTAGGTTAATAGGGGCCAAAAGAAAAACACCATAAAATAATAACATAACAAGCATGGTAGGCAGGTAGGCAGGCAGGCAGACAGCAAGGAAGTTCTCTCTCCAAACCAAAACCTCCTTAAGGGTGGTTGTATTAGTCATGTTCTCCAGAGACACAACCAATAGGATGGATGGATGGATGGATGGATAGATAGATAAATAGATAGATATGGATATGTGGATGGATTGATAGATGATTGATAGATGATAGATAGATAGATGTGGATGGATGACTAGAGACAGACGGATGGATGGACACATATGAATGGATGGATGAATGAATAGACACAAATAGATAGAAATGGTTGAACAGATGGATAGACAAATAGAGATGGATAGATGGATAAATAGATAATGAGGAATTAGTTCATGTGATTATAGGGCTGAGAAGCCCCACCATCTGCCATCTGCAAACTGGAGACTCAGTAGAGCTAGTATCTAATTTAGCGTCTGAAGGCCTGAGAACCAGGGAAGCCAATGGTGTAACCCCCAGTTCAAGGACAGGAAAAGATGAGATGAAATCTTGCAGTTTAAGCAGTGACGCAGAAAAAAAAGAGGCAAATGTCTCCTCCCTCCCTTTGTTCTACCCAGGTTGTCACCAGGGTGGATGCAGTGCCGCATGTTGGAGACGGTGATCCACTTTACTGAGTCCCCCAGTGTGAATGCTGACTTCATCTCGAAACACCTCACAGACACATCCAGAAACAAGGTTTAATCTGGGCACCCATAGTTCAGTCAAGGCAACACATAAAATTAACCATCACAGCAGTGTCTCTTTTCTATTTTTTGCTTATCTCCACATGGCATTTTGACATAGAAGACACTCAAAAAATACTGACAGACTGAACTCACAGAGGCCTGCGTTCTGCTGTGAAATGGTGTTGCAAGTCCTCTCATGCATCCCAGCAAAGTGAGTTTATACAACAGATGCTCAGGAGGGGCTTGTTGACTGAACAAAGAGAGAGGAGGGAGAGAAGCAGCAGCTCCCCGTTCTAGGCCTGTTGGAGTTCAAGCCAAAGCTGAGAGCACTGCCAAAAACAGTCCTGAGAAGAGAACATCCTGGGTGAAAACCCAGACCTCCAGTCCTCCACACAAACATGTGCCCCACCCTTTGCTATTACTTTATTTTTATAATGGAAGGATAGGGTCTCACTATTTTGCCCAGGCTGGTCTTGAAGTTCTGGCCTTAAGCAATTCTTCCTCAACCCCCTAACCTGCTGGGATTACGAACATGAGCCACACCACGCAGCCGGGTATAGGTTCTTCTCTTTAAGGCAGATAAGTGATTTCTCCCTGCTCCAAAGGTCCTGCTCTTCTTTATCCAAGGGTGAACGATGAACAGCACAAGGCTAGAGACTTACTCCCACCTCACTCCTGGCTTCCCTGTCCCCAGTGTGGCCAGGAAAGACCAAGACCCCTTCTTCATCACAGCTTCAGAAACAACTGGCAAAGTTGCTTTATTCTCCTTAATTTCAACAGCTTTGCTATTTTCGTGGAAGGAGTTCATTCCTTCCAGTGGGTTCTCGCTCCCAACGACTTCAAGAATGAAATCACAGACCTTCTCAGTAAGTGTTACAGCTCTTAAAGACACTGTCTACAGTCTGCTCTTTCACGACGTTCAAATGTCACTGGAGCTTCTTCCCATTGCGTTCATGGTCTCGCTGACTTCAGGAGTGAAGCCACAGACCCTCACAGTGAGTATTACAGCTCTTAAAGGTGGCACATACACAGTTGTTTTTTGCTCCTGGTGGATTCGTGGACTCGCTGACTTCAACAACGATCCTGCACCTCCTCACGGTGAGTATCACTGCTCACAAAAGCAGCACATACCAAAACAGCAATCTACCAAAATTTACTGTGAAGTGCAAAAGAACAGAGCTTCCACAGCGCTGAATGGGACCAATCTGCATGCCGCTGCAGGCTCCGGTGGCCAGCTTTTATTCCCTTATTTGGCCCTGCCCACATCCTGCTGATTGGTCCATTTTACAGCGTGCTGATTGGTCCATTTTACAGAGTGCTAATTGGTGCATTTACAATCCTTTAGCTAGACACAAAAGTTCTCCAAGTCCCCACCCTATCCAGAAGCGCAGCTGGCTTCACCTCTCATTTTGAGGTGAGCTTTTTGACTTGGAGGGACACACACGTTCACCATTCAAGTGTGTCCCCCATAGGCAAGGTACTTTCTCTTCAAGGTAGTCACAATTCCCTCCCCATTTTGAAGAAGAGAAAATAGTGGGATGATTTTCTTAAGAAATCCTTATACTTCTATGCAGTAGGATTCTCTGATGGATGCCAAAGAACCTGAAAGACCCTCTGTGAAATAAGGAGAGTCTCCTCTGGCCCACAGCTGAGTGCTTGTCCTCATCACAGCCCCCAGAGCCAGACTCCCCTGGCCCCTGCTCTCCCACTCGGAGCAACTTAATGCATGGCTCCTTTGACTGCCAGCTTCACGGCTGATAAAGAAGACACCTCTCCACCTGCAGCAAACGCAGAGCAGCACAGCTCGGCTCGCTGGTGAAGTCTCACGCTTCCTGTTAGAGGAGCTTGTTCCATGCCCTGAACGTCTTTCACTGGGTGCTACATGGGACTCGTGCTCATGTTCCACCCTCCTTGGCCTTTTAAGCCATTGAGCATGTAATGTTCTACTCTTGTAATAGTACATTTGGCAGGAGGCATAAACAAAATCACAGACCGTAAGCTACAAAAGAAAAAACAAAAATACTGCTTGAGCTATATCAGATGCTGATGGTGGCCTGCACATTTAGATATCCATGAATCTCAAATGTAGCCTTCTGAATCCTCACCATAAATTTCATCCCTGCTCAGGGAATCTGCTGTAATTTACATCCTATATTATACAGCCCAGGCAAAAGGGGAACTGTGCCTTTGTGTAAGCCCTCAGCACTAACAAAAGGCTTTACTGTGAAAGCCATGCTCCCATTTTTCTTTCAGATTTACATCAACAGTTCTGTCCTAATATTAAGTGGGCTATTTTACACCTTCACAGAGTAAATAGTTGGGCTGGCAACATATACACATTTTTTTCATTTCAGCCTTTATAAGTAAGCGATGTTCACTCAAAAACATATATCTTTGTAGGAAGAGGAAGACAAAGGACTCTGGTTTATTTCTTGGAAAGGAATTCTGACCTTTGCCATCAAGTCTGGCCTGAGAAAGAGAGAGGTATTATCTGGGTCACGAAAGGTTGCATTCTGTTCCTCCTTTCTTCCCCACTACCTCTAGTTGCAGAAAAATGCTTGAAATATCTCTAAAAACATGGCATCATTTATTCTACAATTACATGTTAGTTTAGAAGTGAATATCCTTAAGATAGGTTGCACGTCAGCTGACACTAAAACATTCATGATTAGATTTTTGTCAAAAAGATGGAGAAATGGGATAAACATATTTGCATCTAACCAAATGTACATCCTCCTGGATATTTTAAATCTTCTTTAAATTATTTGCAACACCTAATACAATCTAAATGCTGCGTAAATTGTTGTTATACTGTATTGCTTAGGGAATTATAATAAGAAAAAAGTTTGTACATATTCAGTACAGATACAACCATCCATTTTTTCCTCGAATATTTTTGATTTGGGGTTGGTTGAATCCACAGGGAGGAACCCACAGATATGGAGGGCTGACGGTAGATATATAATGTTTACATGGTTTCCAAGGCACTTACATGGACATTATATAATTTTCTCTTGGGGATTTATACAATCAGCAATACTTAGTTTAAATAGTCTAAATAGCTCATTTGTTTATTTCAAAATATCCCTTTTATGGCCACTTTCCGTGGATGAGTGAGCCCCCTCATTCACCATGCCTCTCTTCTTGTGCTCTAATTCCTGATAATGAGGTCATAAGCTATTCCCTAAGCCAACTGGGTGGGGACACAGGCGAGAAGAATGTCTGAGAGGCTATGCCTTCTGAACATTCCGAGTAAGAGATGGATGACGGTCATGCTATGAATAGCCACGCGTAAATCTCAACAATTTTTAGTCCATTTATTGCCCTGCATGAGACAGCTGAGTAAAATTCTCATAGCATCATAGGTAATTAGCAGTCTATGGCTTCTCCCAGAAAATCTCTTCTATGTTACTGGCCTTCATCCAAAAAGTGCATCCTGTGTGGCTTCCTTCCCCTCCCAACACCAAATTAAAGGAAGGTAGAAGCCAGCCTCATCTCCCCGCTGGCCAGTCAACCCTTGCGGTCCCAACATCAAAGGAAAGCCATTGCGGATGAAATGGTACCATGTTGAGCAAAGCGGGAGCAGGGCCATCGGCTCCAGGGTCTTGTCTAATCCAACATTTTAAGATTAAGATATCAGTTTCTTAAATTACCATGTATCCAATGGGTTGTACAGAGCATCCATTACCACTGACCAAATGATTTGTTGTTTTTAATTAAATCCAGTAACAGTTATTGCCACTTTTGCACAATCTTGAATACTGCAGTGTTTTTGGAGATGAATCTAGCTTCAATAAAGCAATGTACAAGGTTCCTTTTTTATTAAATTTAAATTAGCTGGAGAGTTTAAATAAATCACCACTGAAAAGAAGAGTGAGCAAATATTATCAGCTCAATAAATCTATCCCTGTGCATTGAAAAAGATAAGCTTATATTAACTGCTGGACTGTATGGCAGAGTTACAGTTACATCTACTGGAAGTACTTAGGGGAAATAACTCACTAGTAAAACACCAAGATACAAAGGGAATGTTTCTTTTGTATTTTCCTTTTAAGGGTTCTGTGCCAATGCACTGCTTCTGCTTCTTGCTCTGACCTCACTGAGAGCGCTTTTAAACCCACAAATATTATCACAGACATGATGGACCATTCATGTGACAAGAGTAACTGAGTACAAGGAAAAACTAGAAAAAAAGAAGTTAGATGACTAAAGAGGTTTCAAGTGTGTTTTAAAATCTGATATACCACGAAATGGTTTATTTCCATGTAACTGAAAGTTAAAAATGTGTTTCCTGCCAGAAACCAGGAAGGGAAAATACAGCAAGACTTAGTTTTAATAAGTAGACACCTTAATAAATTGCATGAGGTTTAAATGAGAAAATAACATAGCCTTTCTTAGTCATGATGAGTTAGTGTCCTGACAGTTTCATTAAACATGACATGTTTAATTGTGTAAGCTTTCTTACATACATACTAAATTATCCTTAAAATTTTCATAACGCTGGCCAGGCACAGTGGCTCACATCTATAATCCCAGCACTTTGGAAGGCTGAGGCAGGGGAATTGCTTGAGACCAGGAGTTCGAGACCACGAGTTCAAGGCCAGCCTGGGCAATATAGCAATACTCTATCTCTACAAAAAATAAAATAAAATCATTAGCCAGTCATGGTGGCACACACCTGTAGTTCTAGCTTGAGCCTAGGAGTTTGAGTCTGCAGTAAGCCGTGATTGTACCACTGCACTCCAGCCTGGGAGGCAGAGTGAAATACTGACTTTAAAAATCCATAATGCTGGCTGGGTGAGGTGGCTCACTCCTGTAATCCCAGCACTCTGGGAGGCTGAGGCAGGGGGATTTCTTGAGTTTAGGATTTCAAGACTAAACTGGGCAACATGGAAAAACCCTGTCTCTACTAAAAATACAAAAAAAAATGAGCCAGGTGTGGTGGTGCATGCCTGTAGTCCCAGCTATTTGGGAGGCTGAGGTGGGAGAATCCCCTGAGCCTGGGAGGTCAAAGCTGCATTGAGCCGAGATCACACCACTGCACTCCAGCCTGGACAACCAGAGTGAGACTGTGTCTCAAAAAATAAATAAATAAATAAATAAATAAATAAATAAATCCATAATGCTGCTGCTTATACTTTCTCTATTCTACACACACACACACACACACACACACACACACACACACACACACACGGAACAATTCTCCCACAGTTGCAGGCACTTACATATTCAGCCACAGGGATAAAACAGTACATGTTTCCTTCAACTTTTATTACCTTCTGTTACCTTTAATGGAATGTAGCCATTAAACATATGCCATGTTCTCACATCACATTGGATGTTGGAAGTAGTAGGAACATTAGAAATGACATTATCTAATTATTTTAAGGTGAGAAAACTGAGATTGAGAGCAGTGGACCAATCAGTTGGCAGATCATGAGACATCAGTGATTGCACTAAGAGAAGAACCCATATCACTTGTGTTCCAAGTCAATGTTCTTTCCATTACAGCAAATTATCTCTTTGTTACAGATGGCTTATTTAACCAGCCTAAAAATGAATGGAGAGGAGACAACAGGCTCCTCTCTAATTTTGTATACTCTGGGTACATTTGTGAGTGGGAAGAAGAAGAGTGTCAGAGGTCCCGGGTTTGAGCATGGTGAACTGGAGAGAGGATCAGCTAAGGAAGAACCCTTCCTTTAAGATTGAATTCTGAGATTAACTAGCTGTGTGGCCCTGGATAAGTCATTTACCCTCTTTGGGTATCAATTTCTTCATTTAAAGAAGGGATTTGGATTATCAGTTGATCTACGTTATATTGCAGTGATTGTCATTTGATGAATGATTGACTACCACTCTTAATAAAATACAAGAACAATTATATTATCATAACATGGTGCCATACATTCCAGTGCCTGTGTAAGTCAAATAGAATCTCACATAAAGTATAAATGTCATGGTGTCTCAGTTGTTCATTGAAAGTGCTCCAAACATATGAAGCACTGGATTTCTTTAAGTTGCCTGTTGTTTTGTCTTGTTGGCATCTTTGGCTCCTCATGCAGGATTGTAACTGTATCCATTTAAATAATTAATAATCAATTGCAAATATATAGCACTAGAGTGAAGAGACAGCCAAGTCACTTTCCTTAACAAAGTAGTGATTATCAGACTTACTTTCCACTATAAACAATACAAAAATGGACAAAATATATGAAGCAATGTTTTCAGGCATTGAAAAGTACATAGTATAGAGCTGTGATCCTTGAGAAAAGGGAAATACGCTGAGTGAGCCTGTGTTCATCCAACTTTCTGCCTAAGGGCACTTTCCAAACTGCAAGAAGAGGGATAGAGCCCAAAGAGAAAGCTAAGTTCTAAGCTGCTAAGTAGGATGGAATTTGCAGAACAAGACATAGGAGAAGACACAGCTTCGAAGATGAAAATTACTGTATGTCTGCATAGTGATCCCCTGAAATTTTTGGCAAAATATGAAGCTATTTCTGCATAGACTGAAACTCCATGAGGTCCATCAAATAATAGCTGATTTGAAGCGGCCGGGTGTGGTGGCTCACGCCTGTAATCCCAGCACTTTGGGAGGCCGAGGCAGGTGGATCACAAGGTCAGGAGATAGAGACCATCCTGGCCAACATGGTGAAACCCTGTCTCTACCAAACACACACACACACACACACACACACACACCACACACACACACAAATTAGCTGAGTGTGGTGGCACATGCCTTTAGTCCCAGCTACTTGGGAGGCTGAGGCAGGAGAATGGCTTGAACCCAGGAGGCAGAGGTTGCAGTGAGCTGAGATTGCGCCACTCACTCCAGTCTGGTGACAGAGTGAGACTCCGTCTCTAAATAAATAAATAAATAAATAAATAAATAAATAAATAAAATAGCTGATTTGGGGTTGTGAGCTGAATGGAGGCATGTGGAGCAGTGAGACCCTACTACATACCCCAAGCGTTTCATTGAGATCCCAAACACTTCACTAAGGTGCGGTAGCTGAGGTAATGTAGTGTTATTGTAGCCCAGTGGGTCTGGTTGGGAGCAATTGTATCTCCTAGAGGACTAATAGCAATGTTTAGTTATTTTTGGTTGTCACAACTATGAGGATGCCACTCATACCTTGTGAGGAGAGGTTAGGAATGCTGCTAAACACCCTACAATGCACAGGCCAGTCCCCCTCACCACAGAATCCTCCATTCTAACATTCCATAGTGTCACTGTTGAACACATATTCAGAATCCAAAACGTGTTGAAATATCTGGCCTTGAATAAATATTTATAGAAGGGGCTGGGCATGGTGACTCATGCCTGTAATCCCAGCACTTTGGGAGGCTGAGGCAGGAGAATCACTTGAACCCAGGAATTTGAGGCCGCAGTGAGCTATAATCACACCACTGCACTCCAGCCTGGTGACAGAGCGAGACCCTATTTTTAAAAAATATGTATATATAAAATATATATATAAAATATATATATAATATATATAAAATATATATATAATATATATAAAATATATATATAATATATATAAAATATATATAATATATATAAAATATATATAATATATATAAAATATATATATAATATATATAAAAAATATATAATATATATACACACACACACATAAAATAAAAGATAATTAAATATTCTTAAAAAAAAAGGATTGGGGGCTGTGGGGCATGGTGGCTGAGGTGGGCGGATCACGAGGTCAGGAGATCGAGACCATCCTGGCTAACATGGTGAAACCCCGTCTCTACTAAAAATACAAAAAATTAGCCAGGCGTGGTGGCGGGCACCTGTAGTCCCAGCTACTCAGGAGACTGAGGCAGGAGAATGGCTTGAACCTGGGAGGCGGAGCTTGCAGTGAGCCAAGATCACGCCACTGCTCTCCAGCCTGGGCAACAGAGAAAGACTCCATCTCAAAAAAAATAAGAAGGATTGGGGACAGCCAAGCACCCTCTTCCTTTTGAGCACGCTGGCACTTGAGGCATGATATCCAGCTCAGAAAAGGAGCTACAGAATGTCAACTAGGAGCTGCACCCCCGCAGGTCCAACAATTCCAGGGAAGGAGGTAAATCTTTGAGGCCAGAGTCTGTGGAGAGAGAAGGAGGAACTACCTTTGCAGAAACTCAAAGCAGGAACAGTGTATTTGAATTGGAAGGAAAGAAAGTCTTCACCTATTTTAAATCTAACTTAATCAGTTGGTTAAAATGGGGAAAAGAAACCCCCTTGTACAATGCTGAAAGATATAGAAAGAGCTGGGAGTCAATGGCAACCAGGCCAACAATTCATGACTTTTTCTATTCTTTGGGGGTAAAAATTACACGGATAAAAATGAGAAGATAATAAAGAGAAAGTTGCTTCCATTCAGCTGCACGTACTTCTTAATCTTTGAACTAAACCAAGCAGAAAAATGAGAGACCACCCTGTTGTTCTCCAGAGCAAGTTGAGTGATAGACGTAGATGTCTGCCATGAAATTGAGTAAGGCCAGGAAGTGCTTTTTTCTCATTTGGAGGTCAAAATATACATTTCTTTCTTCACAGATGGGAAAAACCTTTTATCAAATTGCTAGCAGTCACACTTCAACATGCAAACATGTTTCCTTATAAACATTCCTGGTATTAGTTGTTCATGAATGCATTTTTCATTTTAGAAGGTTTATGCACCTCAAAAAAAGTAATCATATGCATTTATAACGACTGACAGCTCGATTTGTTAAATTATGTGCTAAAGTGTGAGAAACATGATACTTCTGTCTTTAAAAGTAACATTTAGCATATTTTTGTCATCCTACCTTTCATTTTTTTTTTTGAAGAGATCTTGCTTGAGAGTTTGGAATACATAGGGCTTTGTTAAGATCATCTTCTATTCTCTGAGACTGTCACAAAATGTCCTATTCTGCCAGGTTCTCTGACTCACCAGCAATTCAAGTGCTCACAAATGACAGAAGACGAGGCTGACACGGGGCCTAACCCAGGTCTGCCAGCACACACTTCTTTGTTCTACAGAGGGACAGAAAGATGTTTTTCTTTCTACCAGCCACATGCACGTGCACATATACATACCCACGCAGAGACTAAAGATACCACAAGACTAGACTTGGAATCGATGTTACAATGTCCTTGAAGCAAAAAAGTTCAAGAGAGGTGGGCTCTAACCTTGCTTAGGGTAATTCAAATATGTTTTGACTAACGCAATGCAGTAGGTCAATAAGTGATCACGGTCCAACTCTGTGATTCTATGCCATCGGATACAATGCAGGACACCCAGTTAAGTTTGCAATGTTGGAGACATCTGTATGCTAAAACACTATTTGTTATTTATCTGAAATTCAAATTTAACAAATGTCCTGTGTTTTTAATGCTAAATCTGGCAGCCCTAGAGTAAAACATATGCGAAATAGAAAGAAACTCCTTACAGGAGGCTCGATTCACCCACATTGGCCTCTTCGTCCTCTAGAGCCTTCACCTGAACTGACTTTGGTGGGTTTAGCCACAGCTGTCCCCAGTGTGGGCAGTGAAGAGAATCCTTGAGGGTAAATGAGTCCTCAGGAGCCACAGGGCCACAATGGCTGCTGCCATCTCTGCAGCCGAGGGCTGAGGCATGGTGCTCAGCAAGCCAGCCCCTTGAGGGGGTTGGAGATGCTTGGTGGCCTCTGCTGTGTTCTTCCCCAGGTCCACAGCCTTGCCACAGCCTGGCTGGAGCAGCAGAAACACCCCCATTCCCTATCCACGACCTCAACCCCTTCTCCACATTTGTTTTCTTCCCAAGGAACAGAAAAGCTCGGGGGTGAACCTAGAGGCTTTGTATGCATTCTTTTTGGTGTTCTTGTTTAAATTCACCCATGATGCTGTGAGGAGCATAGCTATTATCCAGAATTTACAGTTGATGAAACCAAGGCTACATCATAAATATAGACCATGCTCTCAAGGACGCCAAGCAGAAGACACAAAAGACGTGGCCCTGTCCTCACAAGTGTGTTATCTAACAGGAGAGGAGGACAGCCATATATTAAACACATTTATAGACTCACACATGACAGACAAAATGCAATTTAATACAGTTTAGCTCATGAGCCCTTTTGACAAACAGAAATTGCCCATGCCTTCCCTGGATGTTATCTGGGGTATCCCATGAATCATCGCTAAAACCAGGTGATGGCAACGGTGAGTTCAAATTTGTTTTTTCAAGCAACATGTTTTCCTCTCTGTATTTCCCCTCTGCTCTATTGAGACTCACTGGTAAAGGATACCATTTTTCTTCTTTTGCAAACATGTATTCACAACTACAGTGTTGGCATTTGGCATTTTCCCTGGTGAGCCCTGGTGTTAAAGAATATATAACAGGGCTGGGCGGGGTGGCTCATGCCTGTAATCCCAGCACCTTGGGAGACTGAGGTGGGAGGATCACTTGAGCCCAGGAGTTTGAGAGCAGCTTGGAGAACATAGGGAGACCTTGTCTCTACAAAAAAAAATAATAAATTAGCAGGCATGGTGGTGTGCACCTGTAGTCCCAGCTACTCGGGAGGCTGAGGTAGGAGGGAGGATCACTCAAGCCTGGGTGGTCAAGGCTACAGTAAGCTGTGATTGTGCCACTGCCCTCCAGACTGGGCAACAGAGTGAAACCCTGTCTCTGAAAAAAGTTCTTTTTAAAGAATATATAACAGCAATAATTCTAGCATTATCATTCTTTCTTTAGTTTTGATATGTCCTTATCAGTACCTTGAAGCTTGTGGGCATCATCAGATTCATGGCCTGGACTTGAAATCCAACAGCCCTAAATTAGATACCATGTTCCTCAACTTTACAGAGGCCTGAACTTCGTGGGAAGGATGATGCATGTCAGAGCCAGTGTAAGTGGGAAGAGCCTTGAAGAAAGTCAAGGAAAGAGTTGGACAGGGACCTGGGAGGGCATTAGAGAGCTCGTCTCATTCAGGATATGAAGATTACAAATTCTGATGATTTCTTTTCTTTAAATAACTGCTCTATTGGAATATAATTCTATACCATAATGCTCATTCTTTTAAAGTATACAATTCGATGGTTTTCACTATACTTAATGTTGCTAACCATCAGCACTAATTCCAGTATGTTCTCATCACCCCGTGAAGGAACCCCATACACCTTAGCAGCCACCTTCATACCCACTTCTACTCCAACCCCCAGAAACTACTAATCCACTTTCTGTCTCTATGGATTTGCCTGTTCTGGACATTTCATATAAATGGAATCATACAATGTGTGTCCTTTGGTGTCTAGTTATTTTACTGAATTCAATGTTTTCAAGGCTCAGCTATATTGTAGCTTGTATCAGTATTCCATTCCTTTTGAAGGCTGAATAATACTCCATTGTATGGATATGCCACATTTTGTTATGCTTTCAGCACTTGATGGACATGTAGGTTGTTTCCACTTTTTGGCTTTTATGAATAATGCTGTACTGAATATTTCCTATGGACAGATGTGCCCAGATCTCTGGGCAAACACCTAGGAGTAGAGTTTGCTGGGTCATATGGTAACTCTGTTTATTTTTTTTGAGAAACTGCCAAGCTGTTTTCTATGGCAGCTATACCACTTTACATTTTCGCCAGCAATGCATGAGGCTTCTTATTATTTCTTAATGTTGACAGGAAAATATATCTGGCTGAGCATGGTGGCTCACACCTGTAATCCCAGCACTTTGAGAGGCCGAGGTGGGTGGATCACCTGAGGTCAGGAGTTCAAGACCAGCCTGGTCAACATGGTGAAACATCATTTCTACTAAAAATACAAAAAAAATTAGCTGAACGCAGTGACAGGTGCCTGTAATCCCAGCTACTCAAGAAGTTGAAGCAAGAGAATCGCTTGACCCTGGAAGGCAGAGGTTGCAGTGAGCCAAGATTGTGCCATTGCACTCCAGTCTGGGAGACAAGAGCGAAGCTACATCTCAAATAAAAAAAAAAAAAAAGGAGAAAATATATAAAATACTAAATTGATGCAGAATAAGCAAAAATGTGAATACATTAGTGAATATTGAAACTATTGGAAAGAAAGCCCCCAAAAATGCCTTTCAAAAAGTTGCCAGGCCTGGACAGTTGTGTTAGGTCATTATTGCATTGTTATAAAGAAATACCTGAGACTGGCCAGGCACGGTGGCTCATGCCTGTAATCCCAGCACCTTGGGAGGCCAAGGCATGTGGATCACGAGGTCAAGACATCGAGACCATCCTGGCCAACATGGTGCAACTCTGTCTCTACTAAAAATACAAAAGATAGCTGGGAGTGGTGGTGCACATCTGTAATCCCAGCTACTTGGGAGGCTGAGGCAGGAGAATCACTTGATCCCAGGAGGCGGAGGTTGCAGTGAGCTGAGATTGCGCCACTGCACTCCAGCCTGGCAACAGAGCGAGGCTCTGGCTGTGTCAAAAAAAAAAAAAAAGAAATACCTGAGACTGAGTAATTTATTAAAAAAAAAAAAAGATGTTTAATTGGCTCATGGTTCTGCAGGCTTTACAGGAAGCATGGTGCTGGCATCACCTCAGACTCTGGGGATGTCTCGGGAAGCTTATAATCACGGCAGAAGGTGAAGGAGTAGGCACCTCACAGAACAAAGGCAGGTGCAAGGGAGAGGGTGTTGGGAGGAGGTGCCACGCACTTTTAAGCGACCAGATCTTGCAAGAACTCACTGTCAGGAAGACAGCACCAAACCATGAGGGATCCACCCCCATAATCCAAATACTTCCCACCAGGCCCCACCTCCAGCACTGGGGATTACAATTCAACATGCGATTTGGCTGGGGACAAATATCTAACGTATAGCAACAGTTCAGAAGCAAATTCTTCTACATCCCCCAAATCAGTGAGGAACTTCATGGTAGCCATAAGGCCTCAGCATCAAATATTCCCCATTGCAGAGGTGGGATCACAGCTCCTACCTCCTTGAATTGAGATGTGGCCACAAGGCATGAATTGGCACTGAAGTGTGAGAAGAAGTGATGTGTGTCACTGCTGGGCAGAGGCTTTAAGGACTAAGGTAAGATTTGCGATGCTCTTTTTTTTTTTTTTTTTTTTTGAGATGGAGTCTCTCTCTGTCACCCAGGCTGGAGTGAATGGTTCAATCTCAGCTCACTGCAACCTTTGCCTTCTCGGTTCAAGCAATTCTCCTGCCTCAGCCTCCCAAGTAGCTGAGGTTACAGGTGCCTGCCACCATGCCCAGCTAATTTTTGTATTGCTCTCTTTTCTTCTACTGCAGGAACCATCTGCACTCCACATGGCAGGTCCCTGTCAGCCTGTGTCCAAAGTGACCAAGACATGAAGCAGAGACCAAAGCATCAGTAGGCATGCAGTGTGACAAAGAGACAAATGTCTGCCTGTTTAAGCAGTGACATTTTGGACTTATTCCCACAGCAGAACCTAACCTATCATGCTGATGCAAAAGTTAGTACCACAATCGGAGCATAATAAAGAATCTATATGTGGCATGAGCTTACATGCCAAACAGTACAAGGGTGAGGGAAATTGCTATGGGAAACCAAAATGATCACAGTCTATACAATGTTGTGGCAAAATATTTGGTAAAATAATTGCCTGCAATAACTGAGAAGTCAGGTCATAAGAACTTTCAACTCTAGGAGAAGAGGTTGGAAAACATTAGCTGTACATGCCAATTATTACTGGTTGTGTTTAGCAAGTTTTTACAAGAAAAAAAGATAAACCCAGAAAAGAACTGGCCAGTCTGCAAGTGGAGATAAAATAAAATAGACAGAATCCAAAATATCATGGATTTATAGAGTCCAAACAGGCAACTTCTTCTGAATCCCAAATGGTAGAAGGTAAAACTGAGGTGGCCTTTGAGAGATGGGCCCTGCTCCTGGATTCAAGAGGGCTTCAAAGATGAGGTAACACCCTGAGATATAGTCAGGGATCTATCAAATTGTAGGAACAGGAAAGATCATTCCAGGCAGAAAGGATAGATGTACAAAAAAAAATTGTGAAGCAACCTAGAGTGTTTAAAGAAATATAAGTGGTCAGTATTGCATCATAACAGCGTCTAAACTCTCCCAAGCCCAGGATCTAAAACAGGTGAAAAAGGACTAGCTCCAGGTTCTGTGAAACTTTGAAATTCACCCGACTGAGTAGCCAGTGATGAGGGGCCGTGTCACTGCTCAACACCAAGCCAATCTGTCAACATTATCGAATCTGTTTCCTACAAAGACCGCTCTAGCAGAGGAGTGGTGGGGTTGGAAGGAGCCACTAAAGGTAGATGGGCCAAGTAAGAGACTCAATCCTTCCATAGCCAAAGCATGAGAGTGAGGCCCTGAAATCTACAGGGGCTCTGAGGCTGGAGAGGAGGACATGGGTTCTAGAGATATGTAAGAGAGAGGGTCAATAGGACTGGACAACAGATGAGATGGAGGTTTTTGGTAGGATAAGGAAAGAATGGGATCAAGAATCATTTCCAGATCCCTGAGTAGGGAACAGGGTGAGCACAGGGACTCACAACCAAGGCAGGGAAGACAAGAAGAGCAGGTGTGGGAATCAGGAGCAAATAGAATGAGTCTGTTTTGGAACACATTGAGCTTGAAATATTTGTGGCATGGCCCTTGGAAATGTCCAGTAGAAATTTAACACCCGAGGGAAAAGGTAGGGACTCAAGGCAGATGCTTGATCTTGGGTGTTGCTTAGACATCCAGGGAAAATAGTTAGCGCCACCAGCCACCCCACCCTACCTGGGGGAAAGGCAACACATCCTCACCACCAAGAACACAGCCCAACTCCACTCTTCCAGCCCATGGAAGCTGATAGAAAGTGGATGTGGTGTGTCTTTATCCACAGTGGGCAGATGCTTAATTCAAGTAGCAGTAAACCGTTGCCATCATCTGGGAAAGAAAGAGGAGAGAATTTTTTACTCTTCCTCCCCCTATTCCTGCCCTGAGCCTCCCTCTGAGTAAAATAATCTATCACCCTGTTAGCCATGGTTCACTCCAGAGGATGGCCAGATGCTGACTGGGAGGAAACTGGCAGGCAGGGCAGGATGCTTGGGGACATCTCACTCACCACTCCCTCAAAGGTGTGATGAACAAATACCCTCAAGCAATTTCACTCACAGTGACCAGTAGCTGACAAGATTAAACTACACCTGCAATGTTAATTGGTCCAAGTGAGAGACACTGAATGCATGTATAATGATGTGCTCTAAGGGTGGGGCTCCCTGGGAGAGACTTGGAGACTCAGAACTGTGCACAGGAAGTGTGTTGGGCATGCTCAGGAGCAACCCTGGGAGAGGAAACCGCCTTTGCAAAATTATAACTGAGGAAATTATGACAGTGAAAAAAATCAGACCTAACCAACTCCATCTTGCTTCTAACCTTTAAGCTATGCTTTTTCATTCCTGGCCATAGGCCAAACTAACTTTGGGAAGGAATTCAGTTCATGGTTTGACTCTGAAACAAAATTGATAACAGCCCTTTCTCAAAAAGACCCCCTTCTTGCCTGGGGATCAGTCTGCTTTTGCAGGACTAACAAATTAGCTACAAGATTAGAAATTATAGTTTAGGGGTCATGCAGCCTCTGGCTCCAAGAGTCTGAACCTCCCCAAATTGCTCCTAGGGATAAGATCAATGCTTGAGACATTTTGCAGAGCCTGCACTCGATGGATCAGCTTACACCACCCAGACTGATGGTAATCTGGCTCAGCCAGTTCTGCCATCCCATCCAGGAACAGAAGACAGCAAGAGAAACTCACTTCAACCCCCTATAATTCCAACCTGATCAATCAGCGCTTCCCACTTCCCAAGCCCCTACCCACCAAATTATCTTTAAAAACGCTAATCCTTGAATGCTCAGGGAGGCTGATTGGAGTAAGAATAAAATTCCAGTCTCCCGCACAGCTGGCTCTGCATGAATTACTCTTTCTCCATTGCAATCCCCCATCTTAATAAATTGGCTCTGACTAGGCAGCAGGAAAAGTGAACCCATTGGGTGGTTACAGAAGCAGGACAGGGTAGAAGCAGCGAGTGCACAGGGATGCTTCCGTCAGTCCTACAGGGAACTCTGAAGCCTGGCTATTTCTACATAGGGGTCCACCTCAAAGACAAAAAGGCAGGGGCTTTGTAGCCTCCTGTGGGTCAGTCAGGAGCAGATGTGACCTGGATATGTCAGTTCCCCAGTGGATAGTTACCCAAGTCAATGGCCATTGTCCCTTTGAAGAAAGGCTGGACATCACAAGGTCCCTCTGCATGGGGACCCAGCTACTCTTCAGTCAATGGGGTCCACATTTAAGATTCTAGAATAAATAGCTGAGGCATATAACTCTAAGACAAGATAGATAGGTAGGTAGGTAGGTAGGTGGATAGAAATTTTTTCCTGGGTACTTTGCCTCAGAGAATGGATACACAGTATTACTTTCAAAGATTTTACACTTTTTTTTTTTTCAGAGCAATTCAAGCATAGAGAATGAAAACTGGCGATCTTTCTTTCGGCACAAAAGTTCTTTTCATATTTTCTAAGCAGACAAAAAGAAGTCTATGTATTACAAGCACACACCTACCAAACTCTATACATGTATGTATGTGTACGTTACATGTATGTATGTGTATGTGTACGTGTGTCTACAAAAGTTCTCTGAGGAATCTGCTACCACAGAGGCACCTCCCTCCAGGAAGAGTTCTTGTTGCTCAACTGCAAATCTTGAAGTCGGGACCCAGCCGGGGTCCACTCTTCCCACCTCAGCCTCAGTGCTGCGCAGGGGGCAGGTGTGGGGGAGACGTTTTCCTCTGGAAACAGCCCACTTCAAGTTCAACGAAAGCAGCTTCTTCCCTTCCTCTCATATCTCACATACCGTGAAAGAGGAATGTGCTCCTAAATATTGAATCTACAAGGCTGCAGGCATTTTTGGAGAAAAAAATTAGGTACGAGCTTGATAGAGGAATGAAACAACAATGGAGGAGCATGTGTGTATCATGTGCGTGTGTGTGGTGTGTGTGGCATACGTGTGTACTGTGTGCGATGTGTGTGGTGTATGTGGTGTGGTGTGGGGTGTGTGTGATATGTGTGTGGTGTGTATGTGTGTATAGTGTGGTGTGTGTGTGATCTGTGTGATGTGTGTGGTATATGATATGCGTGGTATGTGATGTGTGTGGTGTATGGGGTGTGTGGGTGGTGTGTGTGTATGCCTGATGTGTATGTGTGTGGTGTGTGTGATATGTGAAGTGGTTGATATGCATGTATGTGGTGTGTCTGTGTGTTATGTGTGCTGTGTGTGGTGCTATGTGTGTGGTATGGAGTATGTGTGTGGCGTGTGTGTGTGGTATGTGTAGGATGTATATGGTATGTGTTTGGGGTGTGTGTATGTGTGTGTGTGCCTGATTATGTGTGTGTGTGATGTGAATGTGTGTCTGTGTGGTATATGTGGTGTGTGGTGTGGAGGGGTGTGTGTGTATGTGTGGTATGTATGTCTATGTGGTATGTGGTGTGTGGTGTGGGAAAGTGTATGTGTTGTGTGTGGTATGTGGTGCGTGTACACCTGATGTGTGTGTGGTGTAAGTGTGTGCCTGTGTGGTATGTGGTGTGTGGTGTGGGTGTGTGCACCTGATACGTGTGTGCGTGGTATAAGTATGTGTGTGGTGTGGCGGGTGGATGTGTGGTGTATGGTGTGTGGTGTGGGTATGAGAGTGAATATGGCCCTGATGAGAAACAAAATGAGGGTTCCCCTATGGAGCTTCTGTTCAGTTCCAGCCTGTCATTACGTGAAATCAGCTTCATTTTCTTCTGGCACACGTCTTCTCTCCTATTGTTACTCTAGACCCAAGTTTTACTTGAGTGAACTTATGCGATGGGCATGTGTACAGTGGACCCCTCAGCAGACATCACTTGTTCCGGAACAGACAACCTTTGCTTATGCCGGTGTTGCCCATAGGAGTTACAACAATAATGCAAGAAAAACTAAACTCAAAGATGACGGATTACAGGTGTGATGTAGATTACATAACAGAGTTACTGCATAAAATACAGGAGGCCCAGTTAAATTTGAATTTCAAATACACACACACAAAATTTTAGTGTGAATATACCTTATGCAATATTTGAGACATACCTATACTAAAATATATTTGTTTTGTCAATATGAATTCAACTTTAGTGGGCATCCTATATTTTTATGTGTTAATTCTGGCGATTCTACTATATAATGCTGGTTCTTATTGTGATTGTATAAGAAAGTTGCTGGACTCTAATCAGCAGACCCATACACGAAGGAAATACATTAGCCCAAACATCAAACTTCTCATGAATGAACATACATATGTATGTTTTAGGCTGAAATAAGACCATACAATTTTTTATGATTCCCTACCATAAATGATGTTTTCACTTAACCAACCAACTTACAAGTCAAGTTTGCATCAGCAAAAACAATTTCTGTATATATATTTTTTAATTTTAGAAGTGACCCATTATGTAGAAATGGTGAGATCCTTTCGCTCAATTCTCAATGAGTTGGAGCCAACATTTTGTCTCAATACTGTGCAGTGAAAAGTTCTTTTCAAACTATTGACATCCCCAAAGGTATGCACTTAAGAGCTTGTCCAAGTCTGTCGCTTTCCTATTGGCCTCCACCAGGGAGTGAGTGAGCGAGCAAGACATAACAAGATGCCCCTCAGTTGTGCACTTACTACATATTCATAGCTGCAAATGTCTGGCAAGACAAGGACAAGGCTGCTTAGAAGATGCACAAACAGAAAGCACTAGCCTCATGAATGCCTGGAGGAATTAACTCACATTACCAATCCCCTCCCTCCCATCTCTTCACCCTATAGAAACCAATGTCCACTGAAATCTTTAAGAAATAAACATTTTCTTTAGAAAAAAATTCTGTTTCTAAATATGCATATAAAAATGATCCCTTCACTTAATTTAAAAATATTTTAGTTATGGCTTTACAGAGAATATGTTCCTAATAATGGAGAAAAAAAGAAGTATCTCTATGTAAAATACAGAGAGCAAATAGACTAAAATATAGTGGTTATCACGAAGTGATATGATTGTGGCTGATTTTATTTTCTACTTTTCAAATCTTTATACTTTTTACAATAGATATGTATTAATTTCATAATCATAAAAATGGACCTTGTTTTTAAAACCCACTGTGGTTTTCAAATATGTGTCCTGGTGCAGATACAACCGGTGTTGTCCCCAAGTGCCGGTGCTGCCTCTCCTGGGTACTAGATTTTTTCCATTATCTCCACCTCCAAATCAAAGACTGATGCCCTCCAAGAAAAGCTCTGGAAGTGCTGACAAGCTGCTACCTCAAGGGAGTTCAAGAGCTCCTTGTGTTGAGAAGGAAATAGCTGGAGCACATATATAACCCATCAAGCTGCAGCCTAAAGATAAGATCAAAAAGCAGCCAGAGAATGAAATGGAAGGCTTCCCTGCTTCTTCACACAGGTGAGATTCTCACTTTTCAAGTTCAGAGTAAAATAAGTATTTGAAAGTAGAATCCACACGGGAGAAATTTGGGTTCACATTATTAGTACACTAACAATATGGAAGAGTCTTCAAATCAACTCAGGAAAATGGCTTTAAAAGAAAAGAAAGGTCAGGAGTGACGTCAGCCAGATGATGGAATAGAAACCCCTCACCAGGCTCTTGTTCCCCAGCATAGACACTGACTTAACAACAACATATGGACCAAATTGCTTTTGTCAGAGTTCCAGACCCCAATTAAGAGGTTGCAGCATCCCAGGTGAGCTCAAAGCCAAGAAAAGCTGTGTTGATCCAGGTGGTGAAGTGAGTTGCACTCTGTCTGCCCTGTCCCCTTCCTGGATGCAATATGGTGTAACTGGAAGAAAACTCTGCCCCGGGGCCTTTCCCTCGAGAGAGAAAGAGAAGAGCTGAATTTGTGTCCAGTGTTCTGGATTTTCAAGGGGCTGCCAAGGGGTTAGTGCTGGCCTTGCCTAACTCGAGGTGCAGACAGGGCTCCACTGTACTTTGGATGTCAGACTGGGGACAGCTGAGAACAAGGCCAGCATTGTGGCTTGTTACACCAGAGACACTACAGTATTGCAGACAAGCACCAGGAGGTGCAAGGGATTTTGGACTCCTGAGAAGAAGCACGACAAATCTCTTTTATTGGGAATGAAAGGTTTCAGAGTCCCCAGAATCTCTAGCTAGGCTGATTGGTACAAATCCTCCTGTATATAAAACCAGTTTGTAAAGACTGAGAGGGGTGGCTGGTTTCTTCAAATGCCCAAATCTCAACAAAGGATCACAGGCATATATAGAATAGAGAAAGGTGACCTAGTCAAAGGAACAAAATAAATCTCCAGAAAATGACCTTAAAGATATGGAGATATATGGCCAGCCGCAGTGGTTCACACCTGTAATCCCAGCACTTTGGGAGGCCGAGGCAGGCGGATCACAAGGTCAGGAGATCGAGACCATCCTGGCTAACACGGTGAAACCCATTTTCTACTAAAAGT
The DNA here is from genome assembly GCF_000001405.40 of Homo sapiens. Lineage (NCBI taxonomy): Eukaryota > Metazoa > Chordata > Mammalia > Primates > Hominidae > Homo > Homo sapiens. The sequence continues at coordinate 25,954,037 of NC_000015.10, read as the reverse complement.
ACAAAAAATTAGCTGGGAGTGGTGGCGGGCGCCCGTAGTTCCAGCTACTGGGGAGACTGAGGCAGGAGAATGGTGTGAATCTGGGAGGTGGACATTGCAGGGAGCCTCAGACTGGGTGACAGAGCAAGACTCTGTCTCAAAAAAAAAAAAAGATATGGAGATATATTAATTACTTGCCAAAGAACTCAAAATAACTGTCTCAAGGGTATTCAATGACCTAAAAGAGAACATAGATGGACAACTTCATAAAATCAGAAAAACACATGAACAAAATGAGAATATCAACAAAGAGATAGAAACTGCAAAAACAACACAGAAATTCTAGAGCTAAAGAATACAATACTTTGGGAGGCCGAGGCGGGTGGATCACGAGGTCAAGAGACAGAGACCATCCTGGCCAACATGATGAAACCCCGTCTCTACTAAAAATACAAAAATTAGCCAGGCATGGTGGTGGGTGCCTATAGTCCCAGCTACTCAGGAGGCTGAGGCAGGAGAATCACTTGAACCCGGAAGGCAGAAGTTTCAGTGAGCCAAGATTGTGCCACTGCACTCCAGCCTGGCGACAGAGAGAGACTCAAAAAAAAAAAAAAAAAGAATACAATAATTGAATTGGAAAATTCACTAGAGGGTTTCAATAACAAACTTGATCAAACAGAAAAAAAGAATCAGCAAACTTTCATATGTCAACAGTGAACTCATTCTTGACAAAGATGCTAAGAGCATACATTGGGGAAAGGACTCTCTTCAATAAATTATACCAGGAAAACTAGATAGCCACATGCAGAAAATGAAACTAGACCCCTATCTCTCACCATATACAAAAAATCAAATCAAAGTGGATTAAAGACTTAAACTTACGACCTCAAACTATGAAGCTACTAAAAGAAAACATTGGGTAAATTCTCCAGCTCATTGGTCTGGGGAAAGATTTTCTGAGTAATACTCCACGAGCATAGGCAACCAAATCAAAAATGGACAAATGGGATCACGTTGAGTTGAAAAGCTCCTGCACAGCAAGGGAAGCAAACCACAAAGTGAAGAGGTAACCCACAGAACGGGAGAAAATATTTGCAAACTACACATCTGAAAAGGGATTCAAAACCAGAATTATGTAACAAGCTCAAACAACTCTGTAGGAAAAAAATCTAATAATCCAAACAAAAAATAGGCAAAAGATGTGAATAGATATTTCTTAAAAAGAGACATACAAATGCAAACAGGCTTGTGAAAAGGTGCTCAACATAACTGATCCTCAGAGAAACGCAAATCAAAACTACAATAAGACACCATGTCACCCCAGTTAAAATGGCTTTTATCCAAACAAATACTGACAAGGATGTGGAGACAAGGGAACTCTTGTACATTGTTGGTGGGAATGTAAATTACCACAGCCACTGTGGAGAGCAGTTTGGAGGTTCCTGAAAAAACTAAAAATGGAACTACCATATGACCCAGTAATCCCACTGCTAGGTTTATACTCAAAAGAAAGGAAATCAATATATCAAAGAGATATCTGCACTCCGATGTTTGTTGCAGCACTGTTCACAATAGCCAAGATTTGAAAGCAATTATCTGTCCATCAATACATAAATGCATAACGAAAATGTGTTATATGTGCAGTACTATTCAGCCATAAAAAAGAATGGGATACTGTCATTTGCAACAACATGGATGGAACTGGAGGTCGTTATGTTAAGTGAAATAAGCCAGGCACAGGAAGACAAACTTCACATGTTCTCATTTATTTGTGGGAGCTAAAAATGAAAATAATTGAACTCGTGGAGATAGGGAGTAGAACGATGGGCCTGGCATGGTGGCTCATGCCTGTCATCTCAGCATTTTTGGAGGCCAAGGTGGAAGGATTGTTTGAGCCTAGGAGTTCAAGACAAGCCTGTGCTACATAGCAAAACCTCACCTCTACTAAAAAATCAAAAACATTAGCCAGGCTTGGTGGCAATGAAATTCAGTGGAACTCATGGGACACCATCAAGTAAGGGGAAAGCTTCATGACAGTGGATTTGGCAGTGATTTCTTGGATATGACACCAAAGGCACAGAAAACAAAAGAAAAAATAGGCATATAAGAATACATTGAACTTTAAAATTTCTGTGCATCAAAGGAAACAATCAAAGTGAAAAGGCAGCTTCTGGTGGAAGAACATATTTGCAAATTGTATATCTAAGGGGTTAATATCCAAAATATTGAAAGAACTACTACAAGCCAACAACAGAAAAACAAATAATCTGATTAAAAATTGGCAAAGAACTTGAATAGACATTTCTCCAAAGAAGATATGCAAATGGCCAACAAGCGTATGAAAAGATGCTCAACATCACTAATCATTAGAAAAATGTAAATTAAAACCACAATGAGCTGTCACCTTATACCCATTAAGATGGCCACTATTAAAATAACAGAAAACAACAAGCACTATCTAGGATGGAGAAATTGAAATCCCTGTGTGCTGTTGGTGGAATGTAAAATGGTATAGCTGCTATAACGAGCAGTATGGAGGTTCCTCAAAAAATTGTAACTAGAAATACCACATGATCCAGCAATCTCATTTCTGGGTATACATCCGAAAGGATTGAAAACAAGATCTCAAAGAAATACTTGCACACGCATGTTAATTGCAACATTATTCACAGTAGCTAAGAGGGAGAAGCAATCCAGTGTCCATAAGTGGATGAAACAATAAAGAAAATGTGGGCCAGATGCAGTGCTTCATATCTGTAATTCCAGAACTTTGGAAGGCCAAGGCAGGAGAATAGCTAGAGCCCAAGAGCTCAAGACAAGCCTGGGCAAAATAGTGAGACCCCATCTCCACACACACACACAAAAAATGTTTTTAATTAGCCAGGCATGGTATCATGTGCCTGTAGTCCCAGCTACTCAGAAGGCTGAGGCAGCAGGATAGCTTGAGAATTGGAGATTCAGACTGCAGTGAGCCACGATCTTGCCACTGCACTCCAGCCTGGGCAACAGAGTGAGATTGTCTCAATCAATCAATCAATCAATCAATGTGGTCTATCCATGCAATGGAATACTATAATATTATTAGCCTTAAAAAAGAAAGAGGCCTTGTCACATGCTACAACATAGATGAACCTTGAAAACATTACACTAGTACTAGTTGAAATGAGCCAGTCACACAAAGACAAATAGTGTATGATTTCTCTTACATTAGGTTCGTAATTAGTCAAACTCATAGAAACAGAAAATAAAATGGTTGTTTCCAGAAGCCAGGGGATAGAGAAATGGGGAGTTGTTGTAGAGTGGATATAGTTTCAGTTCTCCAAGAGGAGCAAGTTCTAGAAACTCATTACTCAACAAATGTATATACTTATCACTACTGCACTGTATACTTACAAATGGTTAATATGGTAAATTTTATGTTGTGCATTATCACCATAATATTTTTAAAAGAAGGGGCTTGTGTTTCCCTTTTGTGATCACCCATTTTTCACTTCAGCATTTTGAACTTTAGGTTTCCTGTAGCTGTTTTCCTGACCCCTGGAGATACCGGGCTCAGAATGTCTCCAGCACCTTGTAGGCAGATACTTCTCAGCATCTTATTGGGCTCTGTGTGCTTGATGCTTAAAGTGACATGGAGACATGCCACTTGCTGAGAGGCAAAGAAAGGCAAAAGGTGACTGCTTTCCTGGCTTCAATGAAGGCAGAGAGAAGGGATATTGGAGGCACAGATGTTAAGGCATAAGCAATACCAAGAGTTGCCAACAGAAGAATTAACCCCTGTCCTGGTAACATTTGCAGGTGTTTTTCACAGGGCCAGTGGATTTCATGTGAGTGCTGTCCAGCACCAAAGGAAATGGCCAACACACATGGAGCAGCCTGCAGCGTCCAGCACCAAGGAGGGTGGCCAGCAGGCATGGCGCAGCCTGCCTGTCCCAGGAAAGCAGGAGTCACAGGACACACTGGACCCAGGTAAACATGTATATTAGTTTCCTGTGGCTGTTATAGCAAATTACCAAAAATTTCATGACTCAAAACAACAGAAATTTATATTTTCTCACAGGTTTGGATTCCAGAAGTCCAAAATTAGTATCACTGGCCTGAAATCTAAGTATCAGCAGAGCCAATGCTCTCAGAGGCTGAGGGGAAAATCCATCCTCTGACTTCCTCAGCTTCTGATGGCTGCTGGCATTCATTGTCTTGCAGCTCCACCACTCCAGGCTCTGCCTTCTTGGTCACAGGGCCTCCTCCTCTTCTGTCTGAAGTTAAATCTCCTTTATCTCCCTCTTATAAGGATATATGTGCCAGGATTTAATGCCCACGGAGACAATCCAGGATAATCTCTCCTCAAGATCTTTAACTTAATCATACCTGAAAATATGCTTTTTCCAAATGAGGTAATATCTACAGGTTCTAGGAATTAGGACTTAATTATTAGCTCCCACTTATAAGTGAGAACATGCAGTATTTGGTTTTCTGTCTCTGTGTTAGTTTGCTTAGGATCATGACCTCCAACTGCATCCATGTTGCTGAAAAGGACATCATTTAGTTCCTTTTTATGGCTGTATAGTATTCCATTGTGTATATGTGCCACATTTTCTTAAAAAGAGATTTATTATGGGGTCCTGGCTTACATGATTATGAAGGCAAAGAAGCTGCCATCTGGAAGCTGGAAGACTCAGGAAAACTGGTGATTTAATTCTGTCCAAGTCAGAAGGCCTGAGAACCAGGAGAGCTGATGGTGTACATCCCAGTCCCAGGGGAGGAGAAGATAAGATGGGATGTCCCAGCACACCCAAAGAGGTAGAAAGAAAGGGGGCAAATTCCCCCTTCCTCCTTTTGTTCTACTCAAGCCCTCACCAAGTTGGATGATGCCCATCTCCATGGGGCCATCTATGTTACTGAATTCACTGACTCAAAAGCTAATGTCATCTGGAAACACTCACAAACACACCCAGAAACTATGTTTAATCTGAGCACCCTGTGGCCTAGTCAAGTTGGCATATAAAATTAACCTTCACAGTGTAATCCCAGGACTTTGGACAGCCGAGAATGGCGGATCGCTTGAGCTTGGGAGTTTCAGACTGGCCTGGGCAACTTGGTGAAACCTGGTCTGTTTCTTTTCATTTATTTATTTATTTTTGAGACAGAGTTTCACTGTTGTCGCCCAGGCTGGATCTCTTGTTGCAGTGGCACGATCTCAGCTCGCCACAACCTCTGCCTCCCGGGTTTAAGTGATCCTCGTGCCTCAGCCTCCCAAGTGGCTGGGATTCCAGGCGTGAGCCACCATGCCCGGCTAATTTTGTATTTTTATTTTATTTTTTTTTGGTGGAGATGGGGTTTCTCTATACTGTTTGGGCTGGTCTCCGTGCTCCGCCTGCCTCAGCCTCCCAAAGTGCTGGGATTGCAGGCGTGAGCCAACACTCCCAGTCAAGACCCGGAATGGAAAAACAAAACGAAAACCACAAAGATTAACCAGGCATAGTGGGCCGCACGGGTATCCCAGATACTCTGAAGGCTGATGTAGGAGGATTGCTTGAGCCCGAGGGCCCGGGGGTCAAGGTGGCAGTGAGCTGTGATGGCGCTGCTGCACTCCATACTGGGCGACAGAGCGGGACTCTGTCTCAGGAAAAGGGAAAGAAAAAAAAAGAAAGTAAATAAAATTGCTAAATCAAGGAACAGCTTGACAGTAATTATTGACAGAAATAGGGGCAAAAGTTAGCAGACACCAGTGTTCACTTAGTGGGAACTGCAGGTGTCCCCAGACAGGAGGCTGCTACTTCTCCAAAAGAAATCTATTATTGACTACCAATAAAAAAATACACTGTAGATTTGTTATGATACACAAATGGCTAAACTTTATATAGCCACGACAGTATTCTAGCACTGCTCTAAGCCTTTTCCTGCTCTGGAATAGCTACTATTGTTACCTCCATTGTACAGAAAACAGATGCCAGAGGGAGGACCATGGAAACTATGAAATTGACTTGTAAGTTTTGGACCTAAAGGTTCTTCCTGCTCTACTCCTTACATCGCCACATTTTAGTTAACATATCTCTTAAAATACTGGTCCTTTCTATATTTAGAGGGACTCCTCTTGCAATTTGAAGTGTTTTTTTGCACTAAGCATTTGGTCATAAGATCATCTGTGATTCATGTCAGTTTAAGTACCTCTTTAGACATTGTTCAGTTAGGAATGTAAATAGGAGCTAGCATTGTGTGTAAAAGGAAAGAACAGCTGCTTACAACCATTTTTGTTTCATAATACAAATGTAAATCAATATGTTATTGGAAATGCAGGCTGGGAGGGGAGGGGAAAAATGCAGAGAGAAAAGCCCCATCTCTGCTTGGAGTTCAGCACTGGGTCTCTTTTCCCTTCCACCTTCCTTGTCAAGGCTGCCACAGTGACAGAAGCACACAGGGCTGCCTTTTAGTGACACCTGCTGGGACAGACCTGGCAGAAGGGATTGCACATTTGCATGTTTCCTGGCTGCCTCTGTTAGCCCCTGAGTCAGCAGCCCACTCCAATTCATGCTGAGCTTGGACAGCTCGGGTTTGAAAAATTCCCCCTTCCCTTGGAGCAACCGCTTTCCAGCCTCCTCATCATTCCAAAAGGAGAATGACCTACATGCCAGCATGACAGAGATCTGGAAATTTATAGAAGCTCCATTGTGAGCCTAAATCCTTAACAGGGGCTCAAACTGCCAACACCGAATGAACAGAGAGGTTTTGCAATAAAGCAGGAAGTCATTAAAATAATGAATCACCCGGCTGGGTTTTGAGCTCCTTTCCCACTAATTTAATGGAAAGATTTATTGTCTTTACAATGTATACTTTCAGAAATTTTGCATAAATTTATTATTTACATTTTAACATAAGTAACTCCTTTGTGTTTTATCACTGAGCAAATTCTATGTAGCAAACCAATGCTATATTTTGGCAAACTCACATTATAGCTTAGAAAATACTAAAGACCCATTGTAAACTGAGGGCAGCATTAAGCAAATTATACTTACCTTTGTGACTACAAAACTTAATGATTCAATGCTTTTCCTGTGAAATTTGTCTTTCAATGCTGATAGTCTTTTAATAAAAAATGTCAATTAAATATTTTCATATTTTCTCTTAATGCAAATATACAGAAAATAAATTTTATCTTAAAAGGTAGTGTTTCTCATGGGAGAAGAAATAAATTTTTTAGTTGCTTTCTCAACCAAGTATGTGAAAGGAAGTTGTTTCCCTTTATATTTTAATAATTAATTTAGTCAAGGCCATATTTGGAGCAAGACTGTTTCACTTTCGCAGTAGTAGAATTTTCAGTGTTTTATGTCTCCATTCATAGCCCATGACACGAGGTTTACTAGCTCCCCATTTTTGCTACGCTAAACAGGGATGCGTTTCCAGGAAGAGGAGTGCTGGGCACCAGGCAGGACTCTGGCGGCCCCACATGGCACTGGTCTCAGGATACACGGGCTGGAGGAAGCATCCGACCCGGCACTTCCTGTCCTGAGCCTGTTGTCTGATCCTCTGTAGGTTCTGCTTCCTTCCTGTCTTGGAGGGCTTGGGCAGGAGGGCGGCAGCCCTCCTAGAAGGGGCGCTCCTATGTGGAGGGGACGCTCTGCGCGGTCCGGGCCGTGGGGTGTGGGTTCTGTGTCCTGGCCTGAGCCTCTCCCAGGAAGCGACAGCATGGAGCCGGGGATCTGGTGAGGAGGTGAGGAGCGGAGATTGTTAGCCGCCTCCCTTTAAGGGCAGACACTAAAAAGAAAAGACGTTTGTGCAGAAAGGCCCCGCCCATGGCCTCCTGCCCACCTGGAGCTTGGAAACTCCCAGGGAAAGGCCCTGGAACAAATGCAGGCAAATGTGAGGATGCTCAGGCTCAGCTCTGCAAGGAGAGAACGAGCTTTCGGGTCACCATGGAGGAGTGGGCCTCACTGGTCAAGCCTTCCCCACTCTCAGCCTCAGTTTCCCCGCAGAGTGGGAAGGCCAAAGAGACTGTCAGCAAAGGGCCTGTGCAGGAGCCACAGTCGTGGTCAATACATAGTTGCCAGGTGCCAAGCGTTGCCTGAAACCAGACTCAACTATGCAAGAAATAGCAAGCCAGCAGACCCGGCTGCAGGATCTACAGGGCCTGTGCAAAGTGGAAACGCAGAGACACTTTGCGAAAGTCATTGTGAAATTTAAGACACCAACAGGAGAGGATTGAACACAGCAGGAACCCTCTGAGGGCTGAGCTCTGTGCAGCAGCACAGGTGGGACACTCATGACAGAGCCTGCCATCCTTTAATTTTTCTCTAAGTATTTTCCACAAAATGAATAGACGTCCCAATCTCTACTGACAGGAAGGAGGTTCAGTCTCTGATTTTGAGAACTGCCCTGCCCTCCGCCCACTGCTCACACAGGGCTATGCCAGGCCAGGTGTCCCATCACGTGGGACAAGCCTGCAGGATCCCTGGGCCTGGCCTCCAGCTCCTTCAGGCCCATTCCCTCTCAGGCCCTCCCACCACCTTGGGGATATAGAAACTGCAGGCCACAGCTGCTCCTGGGACCGACCAGCATCTCCCCTCACCTGTGCAGAAGCCTGTAGCTCCTGCCTGGAAATTTCAGAGCTGGCTTTCTCTCCACCTGACATGAGCTGAAAGGCCCATATAGCAGAATCATTCCCAAACAGCAAACTACACCCCCTCCCCAACCTTCACATTCTCTCCCAAGTTGAGGAACCCGCTTAGGAACAGCAAAGAAAGGGAAGAAAAAGCAAACACAGGAGTTTGCCTATAAAAACCGCCTGAAACCGAGCTTGCAGTGAGCCGAGATCGCACCACTGCACTCCAGGCTGAGCGACAGAGCGAGACTCCGTCTCAAAAAAAAAAAAAAAAAAAAAAAAACCGTCTGAAAGTCCTGAACCCAGGAGGCGGAGCTTGCAGTGAGCCAAGATGGCTCCACCGCACTCCAGCCTGGGCGACAGAGCAAGACTCCGTCTCAAAAAAAAAAAAAAAAACCGCCTGAAAGTTTACCTCCTGCCCCACCGTGATTGAGAGCAGACCCTTAACTCTCCCAGGACAACTGCTCTGGTTGTGTTGACTTCACATTCTGGCATCTGAGGCCGCTCGGAAGGCGTGGGACACAGACCACCACAGCGCAATGAGGACTGAATGGGGTCCATGGTCTTGAGAAATAAACACCCTCAGGAAAAAAAAAAAAACTCAGAAGGAAGGTCCTCTCAGATGAGAAGGGGTAAAAGTCCTTCTCCCTCCACATGGATCCACATCCCAGAGACTCTAGCCTGGCTTGGGAAAGCTCCCACAAGAGAGGCCAGCCCACACAGGTTATCTCATTTTTGTTCTTAGCTCTTGAGAGATGACAACCTGCTAACAGTCCTCGCTTGCTCTGGGCGTCTGCTCGGCCTCCTGGCCACGCTGGAGGAGCCCTTCAGCCCACAGCTGCGCTTTGGGGGCCCCTCTCTGGGGCTGGCGGAGGCCCGAGTGGGCTCCCTCTGCTGGCGGGGAGGTGTGGAGGGCGAGGGAAGGGCAGGAGATCCGGGCAGCGCTGGCTGGCCAGCGCAGGTTCAGGGTGGGTCCCGGCGTGGTGGGTCCCGGCTCACTGGGCCCCGCACTCCGTGCCACTGGCTGCTGCTGGGCTTCATCAGAGGCAGGGTCCTCTGTGTGGACTGCCTTTCCCTCTTGGAGGGGTCATTGGCTACGATAGCGGGTTTCCCTCTCTTTGTTGCTTCCTCTCTTTTCCTCTGCTTCCTCTGGGCTGCTGGAGTGCCCAGGCTAGGTACGGCAACGTTGGGCAGCGAGTACCAGTGAGAGATGAAGCCTGGCTTCTGGGATGGGTGGGGACTTGGAAAACTTTTCTGGCTAGCTAAAAGATTGTAAATGCACCAATCAGCACTGTGAATCTAGCTAAAGGTTTGTAAACATGCCAATCAACACTCTGTCAAAACGGACCAATCAGCTCTCTGTAAAAAGGACCAATCAACTCTCTGTAAAATGGACCAATCAGCTCTCTGTAAAATGACCAATCAGCAGGATGTGGGTGGGGCCAAATAAAGGAATAAAAGCAGGCCGCCCGTACCGATAGCAGCCACCATTCCCGTTTTATTCACCGCTGTAGAGGTGTTATTCTTTCGCTTTTCTGCTGGTTGCTGTGTGGTTCCACGGCTCTTTTATGAGCTGTAACTTCACCACAAAGGTCTGCGATTTTATTTTTGAGGTCAGCAAGGTCACTGACCCAGTGGAAGGAGGAACACCAGATCTGCCACCTTTAAGAGCTATAACACCTTTAAGAGCTATAACACTCACTGCCAAGGTCTGCAGCTTCACTCTTGAAGTCAGCAACACCAGGAACTCACCAGAAGGAGAAAACTCTGGACACACCTGAGCATCTGAAAGAATGAACTGGGGACATGAAACTTTAAAAACTGTAACACTCACCGTGAGGGGCCATGGCTTCATTCTTAAAAGTCAGTGAGAGCAAGTACCACACTACTTCTAGACACGCTAAGATCCTTCCCCTTGGGCTCTGTGCAAAACCTTGGAAATGTCACGTTTAAATATTTCAATGTGGTCTCTTGTGTGGAGGTGGGATACTGGACATGGAGGGAGAGCTGGGTTTCCATCTTTCAGCTTCAGGAATTGAAGGAAAAGAGGGTGTGCATCTGAGCAAAGTGGGAACAAGCAGCACCACTTGCTCGGACAACCTTATGACTCAGGAGGGCACGTGAGCACATAACACACTGCAGTCTCTCTTAAGGGAGGCTTTCCAGCGCCTCCAGCCACAGTGGAGGTTCCGTTCCTCTCCCAGAAGCCCATGAAGGTTTCTGCCAGACCCCCAAAAGCAGACAGGACCCTCACGTGTGGGGTGGGGTGTACATGGAGCAGGCAGCATTACTGCAAGATGTGGACAGGATTCTTTTTCAATTTCAGGTAAAGGTGGGGTTCCAGGAGCACTGCAGAATGGGCCCTCACGGCAGTGTCAGGGAAGATTCGTCTCAAAAGATGTTGCCTGGGTGGTAACAAAGGCCTGGCCAGGGACAGGCTGGGGCCTGCAACTGGGTCATCTGTCCTATCCTAGCCTGAGAACAGGACCAATTTAGTGCCCGTCAGAGTTTGCCTTAGAACGGAGATGGGGCCGCAGGTGAAGGCGGAGCGGCAGGTAGTATTCCTCTGGCTTTCCAGCTGAGGAAAGCTCTGTCTCAGGTCTGGGGAACTGTCCGCGGTTGTCGTTTTCCAGGGTTGGTATGTCCAGGCAGTGCCCAGGCTTTTCCTTTCTGCCCAGCTGCCATGCCCAGGAAAAAAAAAGCTAAAGTCACAACTGTGATCTGCGTGATTTTTTTTTTGTCTTTGTTCAACTTTTCTATCACCCCTGTTCCAGAAACTCCTACATATGGCAGAGTGCTTTCCACTGAGCTCCCTTTTGAGTAGCTGGTCACCGTGCAAGGTTTTAATGAGGCACAGCCATGCACACGGTGAATTTTCACACCATTTCACTTTAAAGCAGAGCCACACGTGAGCTCGGACGGTAGGGGGTTTCTGGTAAGGAAAAGAGAAAACAAAGTCTCAGAAGCTGCAACGACAGGCCTCAGGGAAAATTGAATCGCCCTTGTCAAAAAGCAAACAGATGACTCCTTACAAATATAGAATGGACGTGTGTTGCTGCTTTATTTAACTCATCAGTGAAGAGTTCACCAGGAAGGCAAAGTTGGTTCAAACGGAGTTCATGGAACAAGGTCTAGAGCATCAATCGGAAAGGAAAGAGGAAAAATGTCACTGAAATAAGTTTGCCAAGTGGTGGCAAACCTGGCTAATGTCCTGAAGTGGCAAAAGGAAAAAAAAAAAAATAAGACTGAACAAAATGCTGAAGGCTTTGATATGATCTTCTCCACTGGACACCAATAGTTTGCATCTCTACTGACCAAGAGCAAGTTCACCAGTCACCTCACAGGCTTTAGGCTTGAATGGTGCAGAATTTAAAATGACCCCAGGGCTTTTCACCTTAATCCCTGGGACAGCAAACATGATGAAGCACCTTGCTCACAGTTACGCTCTCTTACCTGGCAAAGGGTATTTTGCAGATGTAATTAAGGTTACCAAATTACTTGACTTTGAAGTCATCAAAAGGGGGATTGTCTGGGTGGGCCTCATTTAATCACTCTTGCCTTAAAGGCCAAGAGTTTTCTCCAGCTGGTGGCAAAAACAAAAGTCAGTAGGTGGAGGTGGGTGCGGGGGTATGCATGAGTTGGAGGTTCTAGGTTGTTGGGATAGAGGGGCCATGTAACAAGAACCTGAGAGCAACCTGAGGGAGCTGAGAACCAGGCTGGTGACTGGGAAGGAAATGGGACCTTGATTCTACAATTCCACAAAACCTGCCAACAACCTGGATATTACCCAAAACTAGAGAAAACAAACAATAATTAAATAAAGCGGGGCAAGACGTGCAAGAAGAGCTCATCTCACAGTTCATTCCTAGCCTTCCCAGCTGGCTTCCAGATCCCACGATCTCTGCATCATCCCAAAGAGAAACACACTTGACAGGACACCCTACCATCAAATCAAGCTTGTGTTTTTCAGATATTTTTGACCAACACCTACATCATAGGAAATATACTTAAAATTGTAACCCAATACATGTGCGCATGCATACACACACACACAGACCACGCACTTGAAGCTAAAGTTTCACAAAAAATACCTGATATGATGTGCTATAGGCCGAATTATGTCCCTCCTGCAAAATTCATATGTTGAAGCCCCGACCCCCAGGACCTCAGCATGTTCCCTCATTTGGAGAGGGGGGTCTTCATAGAGGTAAGTTGAAATGAACTCATATGGGTGGGCCTTAATCCGGTAGGACTGGTGTCTTTATAAGAAGTGGAGATGAGGACAGACAGATGCAGGGGAATGACCATCAGAGGACACAGGGGGAAGGCATCTTGCTGTCTACAAGCCAGGGAGAAGGCCTCGGAAGGAACCAACCCTGCAGGCACCTTGATGTTGAATCTACAGGCTTCAGAACAGTGAGACAATCCATTTCTGTTGTGTAAGCCCTCCAGTCTATGGGACTTTGTTACAGCAGCCCTAGCAAACCTAATGCATGGTGCATTCCAATAGTTTCTACTCTATTCCTTTTGTTTCTTCTTTAATGCTGTTTGAAACAAAATCGATTCTAGGATCACAAATAGACCACACATGCAGGTTGAAGAACTGAGAGCAGTCTAAGATCCATTTTCTACACCAGTAATTGAACACGTGTTACTAATAGCTTCAGAAATGAAAAAGTCTATATACGTATATATATCCAAAACAGAGAATCACCTTGAGGGAGGGAGTCTAAATATAATGGCTTTAACAGAGGAAATGAATTTCTCCAATCATCCCTGACACAAACATAATGAATGATACCTTCCAACGCTCTTTGAAAAAGTAAATGAACTCGAGTTTAAGGAGAGTAAAGCAATTTTTCCAGCTCTTTCTGAAGCAATGATCAAGAAAGGTCTTGGTATTTCCATGTCACGCTGCAGAGAAGAAAGCCAGGAGTCAGCCAGGATCGAGCCACTAGGCTTGTGCTGTCCATTCTGAAAATTTTGGGAAAGAAGAGTGGGTACCTCTGGGGCTGGGAGAAATCTCTTCTCTACCAGAAAGGCAAGAAATTATGCCAAGCGGGGTGTGGTGGCTCATGCTTGTAATACTAAAACTCTGGGAGGCTGAGGTGGGAGGATTGCTTGAGCTCAGGAGTTTATCAGCCTGGGCAACATAGTAAAAACCTGTCTCTACAATTTTTTTTTTTAGTTAGCCAGGCTTGGTAGTGTGTGCCTGTGATCCCAGCTACTCAGGGGGCTGAGGTGGGAGGATTGCCAGGAAGTCAAGGCTGCAGTGAGCTGTGATTGTGCCTCGGCACTCCAGCCTGGGTGACAGAGTGACAAATTGTACCCAAATCACGTGAAAACTTACAGTATTTCTAAGAGTAGAGTATTGGCAAAATGACACAGTCCTGCTTCCAGGAATGCTAGAAAACCATGATCTTGGAGTAAATATCATCGTCATCCTCCGCATCACATACTGCATGTAATGGGAGGGATTAGAATAGTCATGAGAATATGTGTCTGGAATTTCACAGCTTAGTAAACACGTCCCACAGATAGTATGTTGAAGCCTATTGGCTCTTTCATGAGTCGGGTGTTGGTGCACAGAGGGTCCAGGCCTGGAGAATGGGGAGCGGGCCCCATGCTCTGGAGCCAGGTGGGTGTGAGGGCCTGGGCCACATGGTGGGTGCACCCTATCCTAGCCCAAACCCGCGGTGAGCCTCTACTTCCTGGGGCTCACTTTGTACTGAGGGCAAGATAACATTGCTTCAAGCTGCAGTGAGAAGTAAATATATTAGTCCTGGGAAGCACTTAGAATGGTGCACAGCCCCCACCCCCACCCCATCTAACCCCCACTGCCCCTGTCCCTCCTTCCGCCCCACCCCACTGTTTCTGTCCCGGGGTGTCAGTCTTTATTATTTGAACACGAAACACCCAAGGCCCTTGTGAAAATGCAGGTTCTGTTTCAGCGCCTGGGGTGAGGCCTGAGATTGCACTTTCTTAACCAGCTCCCAGGTGATGCTAAGGACACTGGCCTGTGGGCCTTGTTTTGGGTAGCAAGTATCTAGAACATGCAACAGAAACTGCTTGTTCCTCAGAGACAGAAGAGGTTGAGTATGGTTAACCATTTTTACATATGTGTTTTTTTAAAAAACACGCTTGGATGCCACCGTGCAGGAAGTACAAACCAAGGGCTGGGTCAAACCTCCTGGCCAGGCAGCTTGGACAGAAACATAATGAGAAGCATCTGGGCTTCATGCAGCTGTGACTGAGGGGACTCTCTGAGCCCTCACTTCCAGGGCTGCAGGTCATGCACCCAGCCCAACCGCAGCTTCTGCTCAGCTGGTGAAGCTTACAGGCTGTGAAAGTTAGTGAAATGCTTTGTGTTCAATCGCCTGGGGTAGGCTTCAGGTATCCAAACTGGGGTCGGGGGGGGGGGGCGGCGGGGGGGCAGGGCTAAGGCTGGAGCAGAGGCAGCTTTGCCATGGAAGCTGAGGGACCCCCTACTTTGGGATGCCCTACGGCTCTTGCACCTGGGTCCTTACTGGCATTTTTTCCAAAAACCAACCACATTTCAGAAAGCATCACAAATACCCACCCCTAGCTCTGCCACACTCGCTAACCAAAATGTTTTCCTGCCCAGTTTCATCCTTCACCCTGCCCCCTCCCCCCTCCAAAACTTGGTGGGCCATGCTTCTGGGAGAGTGAAACTCTTCCATTTTATTTATTTATTTATTTTTATTTTTTTGGTTTTTTGGGTTTTTGTTGTTTTTTGTTTTTTTTTTTTTTTTGAGACGGAGTCTTGCTCTGTCGCCCAGGCTGTAGTGCAGTGACGTGATCTCAGCTCACTGCAAGCTCCGCCTCCCGGGTTCACGCCATTCTCCTGCCTCAGCCTCCCGAGTAGCTGGGACTACAGGCGTCTGCCACCACGCCCGGCTAATTTTTTGTATTTTTAGTAGAGACGGGGCTTCACCGTGTTAGCCAGGATGGTCTCGATCTCCTGACCCCTGGATCCGCCCGCCTCAGCCTCCCAAAGTGCTGGGATTACAGGCGTGAGCCACCGCGCCTGGCTGAAACACTTCCATTTTAAAATCATACCATTTCCCTATAGCACATCCCGAATGCTCTCACCCCAGAAGGCAGGAGGGGAGCGCCAGAGCAAGACCCGGGTGCCCATGTGCACAGGGGCACGATGCCCAGCAGGTGGAGGCAACCCACATGTCTATGGAGGGATGAGCGGATATGCACAATGTCTATGCACACAGTGGAGCGTCATTCAACCTGGAAACAGAAGGGAGTTCTGACACATGCTACACTAAGGATGAACACTGAGGACATGATGCTACTGAAATAAGCCAATCACAAAGTAAAATTCCTGTGTGAGTCCACTCACATGAGGCACCTAGAGGCATCAAGCTCATAAAGACAGAGTCTTTGGGGGGGAGAAAAATGGTATTTAATGGGGACAGATTTTCAGTTTTGCAATATTAAAGAGTTATTGAGACTGGTTACACAACAGTATGGAATGTGTTTAATCCCACTGTACTCTACACTTAAAAGATGGCTAAAATCAGTGCTTTGGAAGGCTGAGGTGGGAGGATCACTTGAGGCTAGGAGTTTGAAAGCAACCCAGCAACAGAAACCATGAAATCTCCATCCAAGGAATACCCTCCACAACCTACCCCAAACCAACATGAAAGTGAGGTTGTGTGAAGGTGCGCTTGCTCTTCAGACACCTCAGCACAGTCCTCTAACTTCCTTCCAAGTGGATTGCTATCATCTCTACAAAAATTTAAAAATTAACTGGGCATGGTGGCGTGTGCCTACAGTTCCAGCTACTGGGGAGGCTGAGGTGGGAGGATAGCTTGAACCTGGGAGTTCTTAGGCTGCAGTGAGCTGTGATCACACCACACCGCGGCAGCCTGGGAGGAAGCAAAATCTTGTCTCAAAAGAAACCAAAAAAGGCTAAAATGGTAAACTTTATGTTATGTATATTTTACTAAAATTTAAAAAAAATATTTTTTTAAAAGAATTCTTCAAGGAGTCCTCCCTTAGGATATGATGGGCCTAGAATCAAGATCTCTCTTCCCTTCTGGGGAGTGTTTCTTGTTTCCACCAGGGGCTCATCAGAGGTGGCGTGAAGCAGGACATACACAGAACTGTGAAATCTCCATCCAAGGAATGCCCCCCACATGCTACCCCAAACCAACATGAAAGTGAGGTTGTGCAAAGGGGAGCTTGCTCTTCAGACACTTCAGTGCAGTCCTCTAACTTCCTTCCAAGTGGGTCACAGCATCTGATGCCCTATGGAGCTGGTCCTGCACCTTCCATGTTGGGGGTGTCATAGTCTGTGTGTGCAGCTGTAACAAAATACTGCAGACTGGGTAATTCATAAAGAACAGAAATTTATTCTTTCACAGTTCTGCAGGCTGGGAAGTCCAAGATCCAAGCACCAGCAGGTTCGGTGCCTGGCGAGGGCCCAGGTCTCCGCTTCCAAGATGGTGCCTGTTGCTGCGTCCTCCAAAGGAAAGGAAGGTTGTGTCACCACATGGTGGGAGGCAAAAGGGCAAGCCAGCTGAATGCTCTGTGAGGCCCCTTTTATGAGGGTCTGATCCCACTCAAGAAGAAAGAGCCCTCGTGGTCTAATCACCTGCAAAAGTCCCTCCTCTTAATACTATCACATTGGCCATTAAGTTTCCACACCTGAATTTTGCAGGGGACACATTCAAACTGTAGCAGAGGGCCTCACAGCCAAGCAAAAGTTCACTTGATTAAATATATACATCTTGGTACTGTAATCCTGTTATATATCAAATACAGGCAGAACTGGGGAAAATCAGGATATGTTTTTTGGGGATAAGAAGGATAAAAGTCCAACCTTATGTAGTAAGACATTTTATCCTTAACTGGCCAAATGATAATTCTTCCCTACTGAAATCAGTTACTATATCTATCTATCTATCTATAATCTATCTATCTATCTATCTATCTATCTATCTATCTATCTATCCATCTACTTATCTATCTACCTATCAATCTAAGCTGCTGGCTTAAAATGTGTCTTACTTGAAAGCTCTCTCAGACCACAGTGTGGGACAGAGGCCTCCATGAGTGCTTCTCACACCAGCACAGAACTTTCTATTATTCGTACGTGGAGGATGTCAAGTTTATTCTTATGAAAAGAAATTGTTCGCAGGAAAGTCACAGGTTTTAAGAGAAATGAAATCATGACGCCCATGAGTTGCGCATTTAGAATGCTAGCGGTTTCTTCAGGAGTCTGTGACAAATTGTCGTGTCATCAGGCTATCACATGCTCCATCTGCCTTCCTAGACTCTTACAGAATTCCCAGACCAGGATAGATCCCATTCTCCTTTTCTACATCTTCCCACTGCAAACTCTGGCCTCAGATAAGAATATTGCTTTGGCAGGGGGTGTAATGTTATTAGAAATAAAGTTAATTAGGAAATGTTTGTGTCTAACCTATTGAATATATGAAATATAATTAATTTTCTGTATCAACTCTTAGAACTGTGAATTGAGTGGCAGGGATGAGGATGAGCTCACAGTAGGCTGGGTATGCACTTTGCCTTCTGGGATTCAAAGAAGTAGGTCCATGCTGTCAGGGCCCAAGCTTTGCTCTCCGTCTCTTGCTGCCCGGACATCTCTTTCCCCTGCTGTGTCCCTTGGACTGTCCTGGGACAGCATCCTCAAGCCCTCCCCGTCTTCCATTTCTGCTGTGCCTCATTAATCGCAAGGAAGCCCATTCACCTCCATGCAGCCAATCAGCACTTAGCCTTTCTTTCTTTCTTTCTTTCTTCCTTCCTTCCTTCCTTCCTTCCTTCCTTCCTTCCTTCCTTCCTTCCTTTCTTTCTTTCTTTCTTTCTTTCTTTCTTTCTTTCTTTCTTTCTTTCTTTTCTTTTTTTTTTTTTGAGACAGAGTCTCACTCTGTGGCCCAAGCTGGAGTGCAGTGGCATGATCTTGGCTCACTCCAACCTTTGCCACTGGGGCTCAAGCGATTCTCCTGCCTCAGCCTCTCAAGTAGTTGGGACTACAGGCACACGGCATCACACCTGGTTAATTTTTTTGTATTTTTAGTAGAGACAGGGTTTCACCCTGTTGCCCTGGGTGGTCTCGAACTCCTGAGGTCAGGAAATCCACCCGCCTCAGCCTCCCAAAGTGCCAGGATTACAGGCATGAGCCACCATGCCCGGCCCTCTTCTTAAATGCTTCTAGTGTTTGATGACTATTAGATTTTGGTGAATATTAGATTTTGACACATAGCATGCATGTTCTAACATCTCAGAACCATTTTTTTTGAATCAAAAACAAATTTAAAGGAAGGGATATGATATTTTTTCCAATAAAAACAGGAAAATGGACTTGGCAGTGGCTGCCTGCTAGGCAGTAAGTGATTGAAGAGTGACTTCATTTCAGAAACATAGCTGCTTTCATCTTTCAGTAAATGAGTCTAAGACCTTTCTCAGGGCACATGCATAAAATAAGGCTAGACATTTTTATAAAACTTACGTCTTTATTCAAACTACAGGAAAAGAATCCAAATGGAAAGCAAGGCAGTGTTCTTCAGGCTAAGGCTTTTTTTTTTTTTTTTTTTTTTTTGAGACGGAGTCTCGCTCCACTATTGCCCAGGCTGGAGTGAGTGCAGTGGTGTGATCTCGGCTTACTGCAAGCTCCGCCTCTCGGGTTCACGCCATTCTCCTGCCTCAGCCTCCCGAGTAGCTGGGACTACAGACCCCCTCCACCACACCCGGCTAATTTTGTTTTTCGTATTTTTTAGTAGAGACGGGGTTTCACCATGTTAGCCAGGATGGTCTCGATCTCCTGACCTCGTGATCCGCCCACCTTGGCCTCCCAAAGTGCTGGGATTACAGACATGAGCCGCCACACCTGGCCAGGCTAAGCCATTTTTATTGAGCATTTACCCCTAGAGGGAGTTCTACAACCCACTAAAGGCCAGGCCTGACTGCATCCTCCCAATTCCCTGTTGTCAAGAAACGCTGGGCCGGGTACAGTGGCTCACGCCTGTAATCCCAACACTTTCGGAGGCCGAGGCAGGCGGATCACTTGAGGTCAGGAGTTCAAGACCAACCTGGCCAATATGGTGAAACCCCTTCTCTACTAAAAACACAAAAATTAGCTGGGTGTGGTGGAGCATGCCTGTAATTCCAGCTACTCGGGAGCCTGACCGATGAGAATTGCTTGAACCTGGGCAGCAGAGGTTGCAGTGAGCTGAGATTGTGCCACTGGGCGACAAAGTGAGACTGCCTCAAAAAAAAAAAAAAAAAAGAAAGAAAGAAAAAGAAAAGAAACCCTGTAGCTAGCGATGTAAGTCGTGCGCCACTAGCTGGCACTGTCGCTCACAGCACACTGCAGGCCTCTGCACCTTTTGCCTCCCTGAGAAAGGCAAAGAAGAATCCCAGTTTACCACGGTGTCCTGTGCTGCTCAGCCTCCGAGTCGTGTCCCTCCCATCAGAGGCCTTCCACGGAGCTCAACCCCTCCCTAGGGCTTGGAGGACGGTGGCAACAGACGAATCTACATACGGGCCTGGCATGTGCGGGCTGGATCAGCTGGAGTTTGAAGGAGAGAATCCGATTCAAAAGAGAGCAGGGGAAGTGGTACCGAGAGAAGCAAGGCAGATGGCAGCGCAGAGTCTGAGAGCGGGAGGGGGCACTTTCAGCCTCAGGAGACGCTCCTGGCAGAGGGCTAGGGCCTGAGATGGGGCAGGGGGCGGGCAGAGAGTGGCTTCCTTCTTCCCTACTGTTTTCCTCCCTCCCTCCCTTCCTTTCTGCCCCCTCGGGGCAGCCAGTGCACAGAGCTCTGCCACCGTCCTTCAGGTAACACTTCACATTACCCTCTCCATGTGGCCTCAGTTAACACATGGTATGTAAAACAAGGAGTTGAGATGAGACCTCTACCGAATTATAGTCATACTCTGTCACAGTCCTCGTGGCACCTTTTCTTTGTAGAGTCGGAACAAGACCCAGAGTATATGGGATGATGAAACCTGAGCATCAGGGTGGCAGGAGCTGTCAGTTAGGAGTGAAGGCAGAGAGAGAGGGACAGACACCACCACCCACCCCACCGCAGTGCAGTCAGTGAAGGCAGGGGGATGGGCTGACTCAATGCATTCACCCAGTGAGTGGGTCGCTCTAAAATACTCATCATTGTTTTCCAGGGCAATATTAGCATTGGCAGCTTTTAAGAGCACCTGAGAATCTGCTCAGAGCATGTGTATCACTGCCTGACTCCTAAACCATGGGATGATTTAGGAGACGTGAGTGATGTGCCCAAGGGTGAGAGTTGAAGGAGAAGGGGGCGGAGACTGTGTATTCCCTGACATTCCCCATTCCCAGTCAGCTCGGGGATCATAAGCTTTGGTGACAGCCTGTGAGCGGTGCCCTGGGAGCCACATTTGCTTTCGCAGTACTATGCTTTGCTAATGTTTGGGAGGGGGACAGCTAACACGTCACACATGTGACAGCCCGGCTGTGCACCGGGACAATCCCCCTTCCAGGCCAGGAAACAAGTGGGTTCTATAAAGGACACTGAACACATTCCTCTGGAGTGGAGCAAGGTGCTTTTCAGTTTTGGCAGCCCAAGGACGAAAAAGCCCAACCACATCCTGCAGTGGAGGAGAGACGGAAAGTCAAATTTAGGGATTCACTCTCACTCCGCACAGGCATCCCCAAGACAAATGGACAATTGTAGTGTTATTTTAAGATTTAAAATTTTCCAGAGTTCTGAAACACCTTTGAGAACTTTCAAAGAAAGCTATTTCTGTCCTTTGAAGGTTAGGCCAACATTTACACTTCTACCTGAATTGTCCAGCTTCTGGCATAGTTAAGCACTTCCCAGCTTCTCCAGAGAAAGCTATGTTCATGATGAGAAAGTTCTTATTGTGCGGTGATGTGAGGTGACACTGCTGGGGGTGGGCAGAGCCCCAGAGAGACTGTTAGAGATCACATGTTTCCACAGGGGTCCTGAAGACGTGCAGAGGTGGAATAAGATCTCCCGTTGGGCTTCTCCCTCTCCACCGACACACTCTAAGCTCCTTGAGAAGGCCTAACATTGGTGTGGAAACCATATCTTCATACTTCTGTGGGTCACAGCCAAATTTATACATGAAAAAGACAAAAGATCATTTCTGTTTCTTTTATGAAATAGAGTAATTTTATACTTTTTCTGTTACCAAATTCAAATTCACTTAACTGTAGGAATTTTAAAATTTACAAAGTTAATCAGAAATGCACTCCAACCTCTTTTCTTCTAACTCTGCCTTAGAATTTCAGAGATAAGGATGTTCATCTTCAATCAGGGGATTGGCCCTTTCTTTCTACTGCTCCATTCTCATGTAGGAGTGATTCATACGCACAAAGGACTATGTTAGTGAAGGGAGGCTGATGCTCACATGAGGGTCACATGCTTCTATGCAGTTCACAGTTAAATATGAAACTGAATGTCAACAAGCAGTTTGGTACAACAATGGGATATCATTCAGACCATCCCTATAAATAGCTGGCATTTATTGAGCACTCACTATTGCCCCAGAGACTTTCTAAGTACTTTATATGTATTAATTATTTACTAATTGTACTCATAGGGTAGGGCTTCTCAACTTCAATAAGTTTGACACTTTGGGCTGTGTATTGTAGTGTGTTTAGCAGCACTCTTTCCTGGCCTCTTTCCACTAAATGCTAGTAAGATCCCCTCCCAAGTCATGAAACCAAAACTGTCTCCATACATTGCCAAATGTCCCCCGGGAGTTAAAACCACTATACCGTCACCCCCAGGTGAGAAACCACTGCCCTATGGCTGCTCCATGAAACATGAAATGGTTGGCAGAAAAGCAGGCCTGGAAAAGTTATTTGGACCTAAGCTATGAACTGGGAGAAATGTTCCTAATGTCTCTGAACACAATAGTTTATGTTGGGAAACCCTCCAGGGAAATTAAGGGGGCAAATTCTGCTTAAGAAAGAATTCTGGAAGTGACATCTGCAAGATGGCAGAATAGGAAGTGCCAGCCCTTGTTCCCCTCAGAAATACTGATTTAATAACCATCCATAGATAAAATTACTTTTCTGAGAGCTCTGGACTCCAAGCAAGAGTATTCAACACCTTGATGGGGCACAGAAATGAGAAAAGACACATTGAAAAGGGTAAGAATATTTTTACTTTACCAGCACCAAGCCTCCTCTAGGCCAGTAGAATGCAGCACCAAGACAGATCTCCTTGGCCCATAAGTTCTCCCATGGGGGAAAGAGAGCATGCAGTGAGCATCTGACTCTTCTGTAGCCTTTTGATTTACTGCCTGAGAGGCTCACTTCTGTTATGCCTCACCCAGAACACTGAGTGAATCAGAAAGGCTAGATTGCCTGGGGGCTGCTAAGAACAACAGAAATAGATGAGGGCTCTCAACAACCAACATGCAGACCTCAACGGCATGCTGGTGGCGCACAGCAGCAGGCCACCTGCCCATGGACCACAGCAGCAAGCCTGCTTACCCACTGACCCCAGCAGTTTTCCAGCCTATGGATCCCACCAGCCAGCCCACTCAGAATCTCTGGCCAGCCTGACTGGGAAGGGGTTTCCCTGCTGAAGCCAGCCTGTAAAGATTAAAAGAGATGACTCCTTCTTCAAAAGTACAGGCACCAGTGCAAAGCCATAAGGATCACAAAGAATCAGGAAAATACAACGATGCCAAAAGAACACAATAAAACCGATAACTGATCTTTTAAAAGATGGAGACCTAAGAACTGCCTGGAAAAGAATTCAAAATAAGTGTCTTAAATAATCTCAGTGAACTATTAAAGAACACAGAAAGAAAGCCACATGATATCGTGAAAACAATACATGAACAAAATGAGAACTTCAACAAAGACATAGAGATGATAAAAGAAAATAAATTTTGGAGCTGAAGGACACAATGACCGAACTGAAAAATTTCAGAGGAAACTTCAACAGCAGACTTGATCAGGTAGAAGAAGAGGCATCTGTGTGCACAAAGAGAGATCGTTTGAAATTATCCAGTCAGAGGAACAAAAAAAAAACAGAAATAATTTTTTAAAAGTAAAGAGAACTTAGGGAACTTA
Source organism: Homo sapiens (assembly GCF_000001405.40). Lineage (NCBI taxonomy): Eukaryota > Metazoa > Chordata > Mammalia > Primates > Hominidae > Homo > Homo sapiens. The sequence goes on along the minus strand of NC_000015.10, from coordinate 25,930,371 downwards.
TGAACATCATCAAACATACCAATATATGCTTTATGGGATTTCTACAAAGAGAAGAGGAAGAGAAAGTGGTAGAAAACTTATTTAAGGAAATAATGGTTGAAAACTTCCCACATCTGGGAAGGGAAATAGACATCCAGTTTTATGAAGCCCAGATAACCCCAATTACCCAATTAGAAGAGTAAAGAGAAAAAAGAATTTAAAAAAAGAGTGAACAGGGCCTACAAGAATTGTGGGGCGCCATCAAGTGAACTAATTTCCACATAATAGACATTCCCAAAGGAGACAAAAGAGAAAAGGCCTAGAAAGCATACTTAAATAAATAATGGATAAAATTTTCCCAAATCTGAAAAAAAAATGACACCATCCAGGTACAAGAAGCTCAGAAGTTACCAATAAAATTCAGCCCAAAGAGGAAATCCCAAAGGCACATTATAATCAAATTTAAAAAAATCAAAGACAAAGAAAGAATGTTTAAAGCAGCAAGATAAAAGAAACAAACCAAATGCAAGAGATACCCAATACAGCTTTCAGTGGATTTCTCAGCAGAAACCTTGCAGGCAAGGACAGAGTGGAATGCTGTATTTGATGTGCTAAAGGAAAAAACTACCAACCGAGCATACTGTGCCTAGCATAGCTATTCTTCAGATACTAAGGAAAGATAGACTTTCCCACACAAACAAAAGCAGAAGGAATTCATCATCACCAAATCTGTGTTACAAGAAATGCCCAAGGGAGTTCTTCAATTTGAAAGAAATGGTTGCTAACATGTAACAAGAAAATATCTAAGGGTATTAAACTCACTAATAAAAGAAAAAAAGACAAATTCAGAATATCCTAATACTGCAATTGGGGCAAGTAAATCACTTATTTCTTAAGTATGAAGACAGAAGACAAAACTATTAAACATGATGGTAACTACAACAATTGGTTAAAAGATAGGCAATATAAAAAGATGTAAATTGAAACATGAAAAAGTCAAGATGGGGCATATTAGTGGAGAGTTTATTTTTGTTACTTTTATTCTTTGCAGTCAAATTAAGTCATTATCAATTTAAAATAACCTGTTATAACTATAAGATGTTTTTTGTACACATGGTAAACACAAAGCAAAAACCTGTAATAGATATACTAAAAATAAGTGGCACAGAATCAAAACATACTACTAGAAAAAATCACTTAACCATGAAGGAAGACAGTAATAGAGGGAAAAAGAAGAAAAGGTCTAAAAAAAACCCAGAAAACAAATAAAGTGGTGGTAATAAACCCTTACCTATCAATAATAACCTTGAATATAAATGGATTAAATTATCCAGTTAAAAGACAAAGAATGACTGAATGGATAAAAAACAAGACCCATGGCCGGGCACAGTGGCTCATGCCTGTAATCCCAGCACTTTTGGAGGCCGAGGTGGGTGGATCACAAGGTCAGGAGTTTGAGATCAGCCTGGCCAACATGATGAAACCCCATCTCTACTAAAAACACAAAAATTAGCCAGGCATGGTGGCAAGCGTGTGTAATCCCAGCTACTCAGGAGCTGAGGCAGGAGAATCACTTGAACCCGGGAGGCAAAGGTTGCAGTGAGCGAAGATTGCGCCACTGCACTCCAGCCTGGGTGACAGAGTGAGACTTCATCTCAAACAAACAAACAACAACAAAAACAAGACCCAACTATATGCTATCTACAAGAAACTCATTTCACCTAAACCTATGTGATACAGCAAAAGCATCTCAAAGAGGGAAGCTCGGCAATAAATGCCTACATAAAAGGTAGAACCAGTGGAGGAATGTGGAACCATGGCCACTATAGTTGCTCTTTGCAGTGGTCTGGGGAGGAAGAAGTTGACACACCTTGTAATGGCTGCTGTTAGCCTTACACATCCCAGGACTCATATGGTGCTATGGAGAAGAGGTTGTTCACAATATAAACAGATATCCAGCAATGAGGACCTGCCCATTCCAATGGAAAATTCTTATAAAGAAGCCCTTAAGAAATGTATCTTGTGTGGAAAGCAGGTAGATTTTAAGAATGTACAGCGTCCCAGTTTATTTCTCCATTTGTTGGATGCATTTGTGGAAGGCACAAAACAGGTCTTTGTGGGAAGAAACAGAAAGAAATCACAAAAGCAATTAAGAGAGCTCAAATAATGGGGTTTCTGCCAGTTACATCCAAGGATGCTGCATATCTCAAGGACCCTAAAGTTTGTAACATCAGATATCAGGAGTAAATTATATCATGTTACCACCGATAAACTTATTTTACAGGTAAAAAAAAAAGGTAGAAAGACTTCAAATAACCCAATGACACACCTCAAGGAACTAGAAAAGCAAGAACAAAGCCAATGCAAAATAATTAGAAGGAAAAAATAATAAACATTAGAGCAGAAAAAAATTAAATTGAAACCAAAGAAAACCATATAAAAGATCATTGTTGTTTCGTTTTGCTTTGTGTTTTAGTTTAAAGAGAGTTTATTCAAGCACAAAGATTTAGCACTGTAACCCAGGACGTGCTTCCAAGTTGTCTTGGGGAGTGCTCCAGAGAACAAACGAGAGACTCAAGTTTTTAAAGAAAACAAAGGATGAATCAGGAGAGTTGGTGATTACCAAAGTTATTCATCAGCAATTCTCATTGGTTTACAAAATGACATTGGTATTAACCAATTGTCTATCCATTGTTCAACGATAGTGTGTATGGCATTGTATGGCTACTTGCTGTCAGTTAGTCTAAAGCCTACATAGCAGGCGACTTCAAGAGGTAATTATTTCACTCAAGGGGGAGTGAGACTTGACTGCTATTACAATTTAAATGCTTTTCTGAGCCTAATAATTTAAAGATTTATTTCTCATTTCCCCCTTTTGAGCAAAATCTTTATTTTTGAAATAACTGATCAAAATCTGAGTGTCAGAAAGCTCACTTCTGATAGTCCTGTCTCACACTGAGGAGGGAAGGAGGAGAAGTCTCAGTGAGGAATTTTTATTTTAAGAGCATTCAAAAGTAAAATTAGGATGGCATCACAGAGTGGCAAAGAATGAGACCTCAGTCAGATCATTGATTTATCACCTGTTGAATCATCTGTAGTATTTGGAAATGCCATCATTTTAGTTTTCTTGGAAGAAGTAATATATAAGGATTATAAGCAAAAAAGAGAATTTGTATGAAAGAATGAAAAAAACAAAAAGACGAGTTTCATTAGGAAGCCAACTGAAAACATCATGAAGAAAATTAAATCCAGGTTCTTCTTTCGAGATTTGTTGTAACCAAGAAATAATTCAGAGTTTAGTCCAAATTGTAGGAAAATAATAAAAACTCAGAAACAGTGGTCAGGGCTAGAATCTAATAAGAAATGTATATAATTTCCTGTGAAACAGTTTTTCTTTCTCTAGTTCCCCATTTTTTTACCAAAGGGAAATCTTAGTAGGACCAATTTACTTGTAAAATAAGTTTCCATATGACATTTGACCTGCTAATTTGTACAAAATGCAACAAGAATAGTGATTAGCCCTAAAGACAGCTTTGTAAGTTGGCTTTGCTGGAGCTTTTTCATAACAAATTTCAGATTAGACTTTCAAAGCCTCTTGAGGCTGCGAAGACAAGCCATGAATTCACCATTAGACTTTGCCTGTAATACTTATACAAATTGAGTGAATTCCTGTCTTCTCAAGGTCCCTAATTATCTTGAGGTTCCTGGGCCTGTCAGAATGTGATATTCTTTTCTTACTGTAAGGTCAGGAATCTTGTAAGAGAACCATGTAGATAATGTACCAGGCCAGTCTTTCTCCAAGTCTATTGGTCTTATAAAGTCAATTTCATTCCCTCAAAGCAGTTTGGTCATATCCAAAAATGTGTCATTCCAGTCATTATGTCAGGGAAAACAGATTCTTATTGAACTTATGAAAATATCTATATTGCCATAAAATAAGAACACTCAAATAATTCCCAAATTTTGGAGAAATCAGGTCAAGAGAAAGGCAAATGTTTTAATTTTGCTCACAAAACTCTACTTTACCCAATTGCTATAAGCTATAAATACCTCAAAAAGAAAAAAAAGTATTTGGCTCTGAAAACAAAATATAAAAAGAATCAGTAATGTTTCAACCAAAAAAGTCATAAAAAGCATTTCAGTCTTCTATCAGTTCAGTCCCATGTAATTAACTTTTGTTCTGCTTGATGTTGGGTTAGCAATCCTCATAAGCACATCAACTTTTTCTTATTACTATTATTATTATTATTATTATGATTTTGAGACAGAGTCTCGCTCTGTGGTCCAGGTTGGAGTACAATGGCGGAATCTCAGCTCACCTCAGCTCAATCTCCACCTCCTGGGCTCATGTAATTCTCCCACCTCAGCCTCCCAAGTAGCTGGGACTACAGGCATGGGACACCATGCTTGTCTAATTTTTCTACTTTTAGTAGAGACAGGGTTTTGCCATGTTGCCCAAGCTGTCTTGAACTCCTGGGCTCAAGTGATCCACCAGCCTTAGTCTCCCAAAGTGCTAGGATTACTGGCATGAGCCACACACCAGGCCCACATCAGCTTTTTAACTGAAGTCCTGAAAGTTTTTACCTATTCCAATGGTATTATCTTGAAAGTTATGAGAAATCTGTGTTCACAAGTACTTGTCAATATTCTTTCTATGAATTTCCTTTTGCTGACTTGTCAGGTTCTGAGTTCCCTTCACTGCAGCTTCAAGCAGAATGGCTTTGGTGTCCTACTCACAGTGCCAAAACTACATGGTCCAAGGGAAAGTGTCCCCTTTGCCTCCTGAAAGTTTACAAAGGCTACTGCAACCTTCAACAGGTTCAGCTGGACAAAAACAGCCCATGCCTGTACCAGGGTGCCAGCTGTCAGAGAAGCAGCAGAAGTCAAAGGAAGCCTGCTTCAGGTCCCATCTTGGTCACCCAAATGTCAATTTATGTTTACTGATTTATTATAAAGGATATTAAAAAGACACAGATGAAAGGGTGCATAAGCTAGGTCTGACGGAAGGGATTCAGAGCTTCCATGCCCTCCATGGGCATGCCACTCTCTGGGAACCTCTATGTGTTCAGTTCTCCAGAAACTCAAAAATTTGTTTTTTTTTTTTTGAAAAGATAAACAAAATCACCAAAGCTTTAGCTAAGTAAAAAAAAAAAAAAAAAGAGAGAGAGAAGAACCAAATAAATTAAAACAAAAATAAAAAGGAGACATTACTACTGATACCACAGAAACACAAAAGATCATTAAAGACTATTATGAACAACTATATGCCAACAAATTGGAAAACCTGAAAGAAATGAATACATTTCTGCACACATATAACTTACCAAGACTGAACCATGAAGAAACAGAAAACCTGAACAGACCAATAACAAGTAATGACATTGAAGTACTAATAAAAGGTCTCCCATTAAAAGAAAAAAAGTCCAGGAACTGACAACTTCAGTGCTGAATTCTACTAAACATTTAAAGAACTAGTACCAATACTACTCAAACAATTCCAAAAAATTGAAGAGAAGGGAATACTTCCAAAGTCCTTCTACAATGCCAGCATTACTGCAATACCAAATAAGGATACAACAAAAAAGATAACGACACAGCAAAAAGATAAGGATAAGGATACAACAAAAAACAAAACTACAGGCCAATATTCCTGATAAATATAGATACAAAAAATTCTCCGCAAAATACTGGCACACCAAATTCAACAACACATTAAAAAGAACATTTGTCATGATCAAGTGAGATTCATTCCAGGAATTCAAAGACGGTTCAACATACACAAATCAACGAACATGATATATCACATTAACAAAATGAAGAACAAAAGACATAATGATTGTTTAAATAAATGCTGAAAACATTTTATAAAATTTACATTGCTTCATGATTAAAACTCTCAACAAGCTGTATATAGAAGAAACATATCTCAACACAATAAAAGCCACATATGAAAAGTCTACAGCTAAAATCATACTGAATGGTGAAAAAGTTGAAAGCCTTTCCTCTGAAATCTATAACAAGACAAGAATGCCCACTTTCACTATTTTTATTCAATATAGTGCTGGAAGTCCTAGCTAGAGTAATTAGGCAAGAGAAGGACATAAAGGACATCCAATATCCTTAACAAGCATCAGTACAAAAATTCTCAACAAAATCCTGGCAAACGAAATCCAGCAGCAAATCAAAAAGCCTATGCACCATGATCCAGTAGGCCTCATCCCCAGGTTGCAAGTTGGTTCCACATATGCAAATTAATAAATGTGATTCATCACATAAACAGAACTAAGGATAAAAACCACATGATTTTCTCAATAGATGCAGAAAAGGCATTAAATAAAATTCAAAATCCAGGTGCAGTGGCTCACGCCTGTAATCCCAGCACTTTGGGAGGCTGAGGCAGGCAGATCACAAGGTCAGGAGATCGAGACCATCCTGGCTAACATGGTGAAACCCCCTCTCTACTAAAAAATACAAAAAATTAGCCAGGCTTGGTGGCAGGTGCCTGTAGTCCCAGCTACTCGGGAGGCTGAGGCAGGAGAATGGTGTGAACCCAGGAGACAGAGATTGCAGTGAGCCAAGATCATGCCACTGCACTCCAGCCTGGGTGACAGAATGAGAAACTGTCTCAAAAAAAAAAATTCAAAATCCATTTATGTTAAGAAGTCTCAATAAACTAGGTACTTAAGGAACATACTTCAAAATAGTAAGAGCAATCGATGCAAACCCACAGCCAACATCCTGCAAAATTGGCAAAAGCTAGAAGCATTCCCCTTGAAAACCAGCAGAAGACAAGGATACCCTCCTTCACTACTCCTATTCAACATAGTATTGGAAGTTCTGGCTAGGGCAATCAGGCAAGAGAAAGAAATAAAGGACATTCAAATAAAAATGAGAGGAAGTCAAGCTATCCCTGTTCAAAAATGACATGATCCTATATCTAGAAAACCTCAGCCTCAGCCCAAAAGCTTCTTAAGGTGATAAACAACTTAAGCAAAGTCTCAAGGAACAAAATGAATGTGTGAAAATCACTAGCATTTCTTTACCCTGACAACAGTCAAGCCAAAAGCTAGATCAGGAATGAACTCCCATTCACCACTGCCACCAAAACAATAAAATATCTAGGAATACAGCTACTAGGGAGGTGAAAGATCTCTACAATGAGAATTAGAAAACACTGCTCAAAGAAACCAGAGATGACACAAATGGGAAAACATTCCTTGCTCATGGATAGAAAGAATTAGTATCATGAAAACGGACATACTGCCCAAAGCAATTTATAGATTCCATGCTATTCCCACTAAACTACCACTGACATTCTTCACAGACCTAGAAAAAACTATGGTAAAATTCATATGGACCCAAAAAAGAGCCTGTATAGCCAAGGCAATTCTAAGCACAAAAAACAAAGCTCGTGGCATCACATTACCAGACTTCAAACTATACTACAGGGCTACAGTAACCAAAACAGCATGGTACTGGTACAAAAACAGACACATAGACCAATGGAACAGAATACACAACCAGAAATAAGACCACACACTTACAACCATCTGATTTTTTACAAACCTGACAAAAACAAGCAATGGGGAAAGGATTGCTTATTCAATAAATGGTGCTGGGATAACTAGCTAGCCATTTGCAGAAGATTGAAATTGGACCCCTTCATTATATCATATACAAAAATTAACTCAAGATGGATTAAAGACTTAAATGTAAAACCCCAAACTGTGAAAATCCTGGAAGATAACTTAGGCAATACCATTCAGAACACAGGCATGGGCAAAAATTTCATGACAAAGACACCAAAAGCAATTGCAACAAAAGCAAAAATTGACAAATGGGATCTAATTAAACTAAAAAGCTTCTCCACAGCAAAAGAAACTATCATCTGAGTAAGCAAACAACCTACAGAATGGGAGACAATTTTTGCCCACTATGCACTGACAAAGGCCTAATATCCAATGTCTATAAGGAACTTAAACAAATTTACAAGAAAAAAACAAACAACCCCATAAAAAAAAGTGGGCAAAGGACATAAACAGACATTTTTCAAAATAAAGCATACATGCAGCCAACAATCATATTAAAAAAATACTGAAAATCACTGGTCATTAGAGAAATACAAATCAAAACCACAATGAGATACCATCTACAATTAAAAAGTTAAAAAAATAACAGATGCTGGTGAGGTTGTGGAGAAAAAGGAATGCTTATACACTCTTAGTGGGAGTGTAAATTAGTTTGGCTATTGTGGAGGACAGTGTGGTGATTCCTCAAAGACCTAAATACAGAAATGCCATTCGACCCAACAATCCCATTACTGGGTATATACCCAAAGGGATATAAGTCATTTTATTATAAAAACACATGCATATGTATGTTCACTGTAGTACTATTCACGATAATGTAGACATGGAATCAACCTAAATGCCCAAGAATGATATTCTGGGTAAAGAAAATGTGGTAACTATACCCCATGGAATATTGTGCAGCCATAAAAAAAAAAGAATGAGATCATGTCCTTGGCAGGGACATAGATTGGAGCTGGAGGCCATTATTCTTAGCAAACTAACACAGGAACAGAAAACCAAATACTGCATTTTCTCACTTATAAGTGGGAGCTAAATGATGAGAACACATGGACACATAGTGGGAAACAACACACAGTGGGGCCTTTTGGAGGGTGGGTGGGAGGAGGGGGAAGATCAAGAAAAACAACTAATGTGTACTAAGTTTAATATTTGGGTGATTGTTGGGGAACAGGCCCCCAAATCTGGCCATAAACTGGCCCCAAAACTGGCCATAAACAAAATCTCTCCAGCACTGTGACATGTTCGCATGTTCAGCATGATGGCCATGATGGCCACGGTGAAGGTTGTGGGTTTACCAGAATGAGGGCAAGGAACACCTGGTCCACCCAGGGCAGAAAACCACTTAAAGGTGTTCCTAAGCCACAAACAATAGCATGAGCGATCTGTGCCTTAAGGACATGCTCCTACTTCAGATAACTAGCCAGAGCCCATCCCTTTGTTTCAGCCCATCCCTTGGTTTCCCATAAGGAATACTTTTAGTAAATCTATAATCTATAGAAACGATGCTTATCACTGGCTTGCTGTCAATAAATATGTGGGTAAATCTCTGTTCAAGGTTCTCAGCTCTGAAGGCTGTGAGACCCCTGATTTCCCACTCCACATGCTATATTTCTGTGTGTGTGTCTTTAATACCTCTAGCACCACTGGGTTAGGGTCTCCACGACCAAGCTGGTCTCTGGTCTCGGCAGGTAATGAAATAATCTGTACAACAAACCCCCATGACATGTTTACCTATGTAACAAACCTGCACTTGCATCCCTGAACTTAAAATAAAAGTTAAAAAAAAAAAGGAAATAAAGGGCATCCAAATTGGAAAGGAAGAAGTCAAACTGTCCTTGTTCACAGGTGACATGATCCTGTATTTAGAAAAACCTAAAAACTCCCCCAAAAAACAACTGGAAATGATAAATGAATTCAGTAAAAGTGGCAGTATACAAAATCAACACACAAAAATCAGTAACAGATTTATACAAGAAGAGTGAACAAAATGAAAAAGAAATCAGGAAAACAATTCCATTTACAATAGCTACAAAAAATACCTAGAAATACATTTAACCAAAGGAGTGAAAATCTCTACAACAAAAACTATAAAACACTGATGAAAAAAATTAAAGAGGATATAAACACATATGTGAAAAGATATCCCATGCTCACAGATTGGAAGAATTAATATTGTTAAAATGTTCATACTACCCAAAGTGATCTACAGATTCAATGCAATATCTATGAAAATACAAATGGCATTTTATATTATTTTTTTCTGACACAGGGTCTTGCTCTGTCACCCAGGCCGGAATGCAGTGCCACGATCACAGCTCACTATAGCCTCAACCTCCCAGACTCAAGCAATCTTCCCACTCAGCCTCCCAAGTAGCTAGGACTGCAGGCAGGTGTCACCACACCCAGCTATTTTTGAAAATTTTTTGTAGAAACAGGGATTTCACTGTGTTGCCGAGGCTGGTCTCCAACTCCTGGCCTCAAGCAATCCTCCTGCCCGAGCCTCTCAAACTGCAGTGATCACAGGTGTGAGCCACTGCCCCCAGCCAGCATTCTTTAAGAAATAGAAAAAACAATCCTACAATTTGTGTAGACCCACAAAACACCTTGAATAACCAAAGCAATCCTGACCAGAAACAACAAATCTGGAATCACTATCTGACTTCAAAATATACTACAAAGCTATAGTAACCAAAATAGCATGGTACTGGCACAAAAAACAGACACATAGACAATGGCATTGCAGAGAGAATCCAGAAATAAATTCACACATTTACAACAAACTCATTTTCAACAAAGACACCAAGAGCATGCATTGGGAAAAGGATAGTGTCTTCAGTAAACAGTGCGGGGAAAACTGGATAGCCACATGCAGAGTAATGGAACTAGAACCCTATCTCTTACCACATACAAAAATCAAATCAAATCAAAATGGATTAAAAACTTAAATCTAAGACATGAAACTATAGATCTACTGAAACAAAGCATGGAAAAAGGATTCGGAACATTTGTCTGGGCAAAGATTTTTTTGGTAAGACCTCACAAGAGCAAGCAACACAAGTGAAAATAGGATGGGTGTAGTGGCTCGTGCCTATAATCCTAGCACTTTGGAAGGCCAAGGTGGGCAAATTTCTTGAACCTAGGAGTTTGAGACCAGCCTAGGTGACATGGTGAAACCCCTTCTCAACAAAAAAAAAATATATAAAAATTAGCTGGGTGTGGGGCATGTGTTTATAGTCCCAGCTGCTCAGGAGACTGAGGTGGGAGGATTAGTTGAGCCCAGGAGGTTGAGGCTGCAGTGAGTTGTGATCACACCACTGCACTCCAGCTTGGGCAACAGAGTGAGACCCTGTCTCAGAAAAAAGAAAAGTAAAAATAGACAAATGGGATTATATCAAGCTAAAATTTCTGCACAGCAAAGAAAACAACCAACAGAGAGAAAAGATAACCTACAGAATGGGAGAAAATATGTGTAAACTATCCATCTGCCAAAGGATTAATAACCAGAATATTAAGGAACTCAACTTAATAGTGAAATTAAAATAATCTGATTTAAAAATGGGCAAATGATCTGAATACATATTTCACAAAAGAAGACAAATAATCAATGTGTATATGGAAAAAATGTTCAACATCACTAATCATCAGGGAAATACAACTCAAAGCCAAAATGAGACACCATCCCACCCTAGTTTAAATGGCTATTATCAAAAAGAAAAAAAATAGCAAATGTTAGCAAAGGGGCAGAGGAAGGGAAATGCTAGCACGCTGTTGGTGAGAATGTAAATTAGTACAGACACTAGGAAAACCATGTGACGGTTCCTCAAAAAGTGAATCCAGCAATCTCACTGCTGGGTATACCTCTACAAGAAAGGAAATTCATATATCAAAGAGATATCTGCACTCTTGTGTTTATTGCAGCAGCATTCACAATAGCCAAGTTATGAAATCAACCTACGTGTCAATCAATGGATGAATGAATAAATAAAATGTGGCTTATACACAAGTGGAATTCTATTCACCTTTAAAAACAAGGAAATTCTGTCATTTGCAGTAACATAGATAGAACTGGAGGACATTATGTTAACTGATATAAGCAAGGCACAGAAAGACAAACATCACATGTTCTCAGTCACATATAGGAGCTAAAAACATTGAGCTCATGAAGGTAGAGAGTAGAATGATGATTACCAGAGGGTGAGAAGGAGAAGGGGAAGGAAGCAATTTTTAAAAGTCTGGTTAATGGGTACAAAATTCAATTACAACCAGGCGCAGTGTATATTGCCTGTAATCCCAGCACTCTGGGAGGCTGAAGTGGGAGAATTTCTGAGCCCAGGAGTTTGAGACCAGCATAGGCAATATAGCAAGACCTCGTCTCTGCAAAAAATAAAACTAAAAAGCTAGCCAGGCATGGTGTTACATGCCTGTAATCCTAGCTACTTGGAAGGCTGAGGCAGGAGGCAGGAAGGAGGATTGTTTGAGCCCAGGAGCTTAAGGCTGCAGTGAGCAATGATCATAATACTGCACTCACAGCCTGGGCAACAGAGTGAGACCCTGTCTCTAAAAAAAAGAAAAAATCAGTGGAGGGAGGTAGAAATTTTAAAAAGTAAAAATAGAAATTCAATTACATAGAAGGAAAAAGTTCTAGTGATCCATAGCACAGGAGGCTGACTAGAGTTCACAATTTTTTTTTTTAAGACGGAGTCTCACTCTGTTGCCAGCCTGGAGTGCAGTGGCACGATCTCGGCTCACTGCAACCTCTTCCTCCTGGGTTCAAGCGATTTTCTTGCCTCACCCTTCTGAGTATCTGTGATTACAGGCACACACCACCATACCCAGCTAATTTTTGTATTTTTTAGTAGAGACGGGGTTTCACCATGTTGGCCAGGATGGTCTCGATCTCTTGACCTCGTGATCCTCCCGCCTAGGCCTCCCAAAGTCCTGGGATTACAGGCATGAGCCACCAAGCCCAGCCCACAATAATTTATTGTACATTTTGAAACAGCTAGAAGAGAAGATCTGGAGTATTCTCAACACAGAGAAAGAATAAATGTTTGAGGTGATAGATATCCTATTACCCTCATTTGATCATTATACATTGCATGTATGTATCAAAATATCACATATAACCCTTAATTATGTATAATTATTATGTATAAATGAAAAACAAGAAAAATTTAGAAAATATCTCAAGACAAATGAAAACAAAAACACAACATATTAAAACTTATGGAATAAACCAAAAGCAATATGAAGAGGGAAGTTTATGGCAATAAATGTCTATAAAGCAATAAAAAAGAAGAAATATCTCAAATAAACAACCCAGCTTTACATTCAAGGAATTTGAAAAAGAAGAGCAAACTAAGCCCAAAGTTAGCAAAAGGAAGCAAACAATAAAGATGAAAACAGAAACAAATAAAATAGAGAATAGAAAAATACCAGACAAAAATTTAAAAGACTATGATTTGTTTTTTTAAAAAGATAAACAGAATCAACAAATCCTTGGCTAGACTAAGAAAAAAATAGAGAAGACTGAATAATATCAGAAAGAGGAGACATAAAAACTGATACCACAGAAATAAAAAGGGATCATAAGAGACTACTATGAACTGTTATATGCCAACCAATTTGATAACCTAGAAGAAAAGGATAAATTCCTAGGGACATAAAACCTAAGAAGACTGATATCAAGAAGAAATGGAAAGCCTGAACAGACCCATAGCAAACAAGGAGATTGAATCAGTAATAATAATAATTTGGAAAACCTTCCAACAAAGAAAAGCCCAGGACAAGACGGCTTCACAAATAAATTTTACCGAACAGTCAAAGAAGAACTAACCTCAATTCTTATTAAACTCCTTTTAAAAAAATGTAAGAAAAGGGAACACACTCAAATGCATTTTATGAGGCAAGCATCACCATGATTCCAGTGCAGACAAAGACAACACAAGAAAACAAAACTACAGGTCAATAGCATGTGAACATTGATGCAAAAAGTCTTCAACAAAATGTTGCCAAACTGAATTTAACTACATATTAAAAGGATCATACACCATAACCAAGTGAGATTTATCCCTGGGAGAAAAGGATGGCTCAACATATTCACATCAATCAATGTAATGTTGATTATTGACAAAATGAATGATAAAAATCACATGATTGTCTAAATAGATGCAGAAAAAACACTTTAAAAAATTCAACATTTTTCATGATATAAACCCTCAACAAATTAGGTATGGAAGGAACTTATCTCAACACAATAAAAGTTAGTTATGAAAAGTCTATAGCTAACATTATACTCAATGGTGAAATACTGAAAATTTTTCCAGTAAAATCTGGACCAGGCAAGGATGCCCACTCTTGCCACTCCTCTTAAACATAGTACAGAGAATTCCTAGCCAGAGCATTTAGGCAAATAAATAAATAAACGGCATCCAAATTTGAAAGGCAGAAGTAAAATTATCTCTGTTTGCAGATGGCATGACCTTATATGTGGAAAACCCTAATGATTACACACACACACACACACACACACGCACACACAGAAAAACTGTTGCAACCAATAAAGAAATTCAGTATACTTGAGAATATAAAATCAACATATAAAAATTAAGGCTAGGCACTATGGCTCATATCTGTAATCCCAGCATTTTGGGAGGCTGAGGTGGGCAGATAGCTTGAGTGCAGTTGTTTGAGACCAGCCTGGACTACATGACAAAACCTCATCTCTACAAAAAATACAAAAATTAGCTGGGTGTGGTGGCATCCACCTGTAGTCCCAACTACTTGGGAGGCTGAGGTGGGAGAATTGCTTGAGCCCAAGAGGTCGAGGCTGCAGTGAGCCATGATTGCACGATTATACTTTAGCCTTGGTGACAGAGTAAGACTCTGCCTCAAAAAAAAAAAAAATGCAATAGAGATGCAGAAAAAAAAATAGTTGCATTTCTATACACTAACAACAAACTATTCAGAAGGAAAATTGTATTAGTTTGTTCTCACACTGTTAATAAAGACATACCCAAGACTTGGTATTTTATCAACGAAAGAGGTTTAACTGACTTACAGTTCCACATGGCTGAGGAGACCTCAGGAAACTTACAATTATGGTGGAAGCCACCTCTTCCCAGGACAGCAGGAAGAGAGAATGAGTGCCGAACACAGGAGAAAGCCCCTTATAAAACCATCAAGTCTTGTGAGAACTCACTCACTAACATGAGAACAGCATGGGGGGAATCTGCCCCCATGATTCAATTACCTCCCACCAGGCCCCTCCCAAAACATGTGGGGATTATGGAATTACAATTCAAGATGAGATTTGGGTGGGGACACAAAGCCAAACCAGATTGGAAATTAAAGAAATGATCCTATTTGCAATAGCATTAAACAATAAGAATAAATTTAATCAAAGGGCTGAAAAACATGTACGCTAAAAACTATAAAACACTGATTAAAGAAATTAAAGCAGACGCAAATAAATGGAAATACACTTCATGTTCATAGACTGAATGATTAATACTGTTAAAATGTCCATATTACACAAAACTATCTCTATATTTAATACAATCTTTGTTTTTTTTTGTTTTTGTTTTCGTTTCTGTTTTTTTTTTGAGACAGAGTCTCACTCTGTCGCCCAGGCTGGAGTGCAGTGGTATGATATCGGCTCACTGCAACCTCCGCCTCCTGGGTTCAAACAATTCTTGTGCCTCAGCCTCCCAAGAAGCTGGGATTACAGTCATGTGCCACCATGCTTGGATATTTTATTGTTGTTGTTGTATTTTTAGCCGAGACAGAGCTTCATCATGTTGGCCAGGCTGATCTCGAACCCCTGGGCTCAAGTGATTCACCCACCTCAGCCTCTCAAAGTGCTGAATTACAGTCATAAGCCACTGCAATCAACCTGAAATCTTTATTAAAATCCCAATGTATGTTTTACAGAAATAGGAAAGGTAATTCTAAAATCATATGAATCATAAGCAAAGCAATTTAGAGCAAGAAGAACAAAACTGGAAATATCACATTACTTAATTTCAAAATATATTACAAAGCTGCAGTAATGAAAACAATATGGTACTAGGTTATAAAAAGAGATACAGACTAATGGAATAGAATAGAGAGTGCCAGAATAAATCCAGGCATGTACAGTCAACTGATCTTCCACAAGGATATAAGAATATACAATGGGGAAGTTGTAGGCTTTTCAACAAATGGTGTTGGAAAGACTGGTTACTCACATGAGAAAGAATGGAACTGGATTCTTATCTCATAATATACACAAAAATCAACTCAAAATAAACATTTAAATGTAAGATCTGAAACAGTAAAACTAGTGGAAGAAAACATAGGGTTTTAAAAAGCTTCTTGACATTGGCCTTGGCAATGATGTCTTGGATATGGCCACCAAAGCACAGGCAACAAAATCAAAAATGGACAAGTGAGATTACATCAAACTAAAAAACTTCTGCATAGCAAAGGAAACAACAAAATGGAAAGACAACCTACATAGTGAGAGAAAGTATTGCAAACCATGTATCTGATAAAGGGTTAGTGTCCAAAATACATAAGGAACTCCTACAACTTATTAGCAAAAATAAATAGATAAATAAATAACCCAATTAGAAAATGGGCAAAGAAATTGAGTAGACATTTCTCCAAAGACATACAAATGACTAACATATTGATGAAGATGTGTTCAACATAATAATCATCAAGGAAACGCAAATCAAAACCACAATGAGATCGCACCTATGAGGATGGCTACTATTAGAAAAACAAAAGATAAGTGTTGGTGAAAATGTGGGGAAGAGAGAATGCTTTTACATTGTTGATGGGAGTGTAAATTGGTGCAACCACTATGGAAAACAGTATGGAGGTTCCTCAAAAAATTAAAAGTAGAACTACTATGATTCTAAGTATATATCCAAATAAATTGAAAGCAGGATTTGGAAGAAGAAGGAAGGAACAGTAACCTGTTCATTGCAGCATTATCCATAATATTAAAAACATGGAAGCAACCTAAATGCTAAATGTCTGTAGACAGATGAAAGGGTGAAGAAAATGTGTGTGTGTGTGTGTAGTATGTATATATATATATATATATATATATATATATATACACACACAGTGTGTGTATACATATAGTGTATATATAAACATTGAATACCATATATATGGTGTTTAATATTTCGTCATATAATACACCATATATATGGTGTTTAATGTTTATATATATATATAGAGTGTGTGTGTATGTGTGTGTGTGTGTGTGTGTGTATGGTGAAATATTACTTAGCCTTTAAAAAGAAAGAATTTTTTCCTTATTGACAACATGGATCAACCCGGAAGACATTAAGCTAAGTGAAGTAAGCCAGACACCAAAGGACAAATTTACATGATACCACTTATACATGGAATCTAAAATAGCCGAAGTCATAGAAGCAGAGAGTAGCACGGTAGTTGCCAGGGGCTAGGGAGAGAAGAAAATGGGGAGATATGGGTCAAAGGGTACAAAATTTTGGTTGTGCGTGATGAATAAATCTTCCAGATCTACTATTCAGTAGTATATATTATACATAGTATAGTGTCTATGGTTAACAATAACATATTGTATACTTAAAAATTTACTAAGTGGGGCTGGGGGTGGTGGCCCATGCCTGTAATCCCCGCACTTTGTGAGGCCACGTGGGGAGGATGGCTTGAGCCCAGGAGTTGGAGACCAGCCTGGACAACATGGCAAAACTCTGTCTCTACAAAAAATAAAAAAGTAACCAGGCATGGTGGCAAACACCTTTGGTTCCAGCTTCTCAGAAGACTGAGGTGGGAGGAATTGCTTGAGCCTGAGAGGTTAAGGCTGCAGTGAGCCATATTCACGCCTCTGCACTCCAGCCTAGGCAGCAGAGAAAGACCCTGTCTCCAAAAAAAAAGAGAAAATTTACTAAGTGGGTAGATCTTATGTTAAGTGCTCTTATCACAAATAGTAATAATAATAATTAATAAACAGGGCAGGAGGAAACTTTTGGAGTTGGTAAATATGTTTATGGCATAAATTGTCATGATGATTTCATAGGTACATAATTATCTCCAAATTCATCAAGTTGTGTACAGTAAATTTGTACAGCTCTTTGTTTATCAGTCATACTTCTGTAAAGTGGCTTTTTAAAAGCAGAGAGAGAATTCTGATAGCCAACCATGGGATGGGAAAGAAGGGAGAGACAAGAGATGGAGGCACCAATGAAGGTGCTCATCTGTCTACAGATGCATGACGCAGCCTACATCTGTGGGCTGAGCATGTCCTTAAGCAAACCTGGTTCATGTACCAGTCTGCACAGGTGTAATTTCACAACAGAATCACTGCAGCCATGTCAGCTACAGGAATGAAACAGAGGCACTTCACCTTTTGTACTCTGCATGGGTAAAGCCTCTTCTGTGTTAATTTTGGTTGTCACATGTTAAAGGACATCAGCAAATCAGAACATTCAAGACAGCGAGAATACCCATCACTATGTCATAGAGGAGATGACTGAAAGAACTAGGCACATCCAGTCTGAAACAAAGAAAATGTCGTTAAATGATGGGAAAGGGTCTAGTGTGTATTACACTGCTGGTGCCTTATAAATATTCGTGAATTTTAGGAAAAAATAAAAGAGGGAACAGGACAGCTGCTTTCATACAGCTGAAGGACTTTCATAGAAAAGCAAATTAATACTAATGGTTAGATGGTGCTGGGATTCACAGATTGAGAGAGCTATTAACCTAGATGATTCTGAGATTCTCTGATTCCATCCAATCTCCCCAGAGTCCCCAGGGAATCAGCCTTACCTGGAGAATTGTGTTGGCTTTGAAGACTATGTTTAAAAAGGAATATTCACAAGCTGGAACAGGTCCAGAAAAGAGCATCATCTTATAACCAGCATTATTATATTCAGTTACATTTTAGCAGGTTGATAAGGTGCACTTTCTTCTTTCCTCCTTAAAAATAACATTTAATGCTTTACTTGATTATAAAAGTATTCATATCCTTTTAAGAATATTTAGAAGCAGTCTTGGCTGGGCGTGGTGGCTCAGGCCTGTAATCCCAGCACTTGGGGAGGCCGAGGTGGGCAGATCACAATGTCAGGAGATCGAGACCATCCTGGCCAACATAGCGAAACCCCATCTCTACTAAAAATACAAAAATTAGCCTGGCGTGGTGGTAGGTGCCTGTAATCCCAGCTACTCAGGAGGCAGAGGCAGGAGAATCCTGGTGACAGAGTGAGACTCCGTCTCAAAAAAAAGAAAGAAAAAATATTTAGAAGCAGTCTCACCATCCCAAAACAACAATTTTTAATATTTTAATATTCTAGTATATTGCCTTCTAAGTTTTTCTATGCACACAGGCAGATTTCTACTTTCGAATATAATAGAAAGAATAATACAAATCCCTAATCAAATCTTGCCTTTCAGACGCAACCTTCACAGTTTACTTCTGGCATTATGGACATCATCACTAATTCTGAATCTTTTCTCAACAATTGAGCTCACAGGTATGACTGCAGCTGACAGCCCACTTCAGATGTCCAACTTCATATTGTCACTGCCTTTGTGAGAATGACAAATCTTGCCACAGCACTTTCATAGTTCCATTCCCCTCTCCCTTTTATAAAATAATGACAAGATGTAATAGAAATATTCAGACAATTGCCCAAGCACAGCAATGATGCAGGTGCCAAAATTAAAACTTTGGCCAGCAAGCAGTTTCCTGGTAAGATTCCTCAAAATGCTGATCAGTTGATGTATAAAGTGCTCAATCAGCATGTGAAAGACAGATTGGGAGAATGAGTGCAAGTCAAACAGAACAAAATCAAGATCTCAATCTCTTTCGTCTCTAAGTGAAATGCATGTTGTGATTCAGGTTTTAGATCCCACTCTGTGCATATAACGTATTTCTGCCGCGTCATTAAACTTTCCTTGAACAGATTGGAAATGGTGTATAATGTCCACCCGATGAATTTACCTTAATAAATTTAACTATTCTCCTTTCATTAATACTTATGCTACGGGCAATTTTTATCATAAAAATTATCCTAAACTTAATATCCTTGTAGAGAAATTTTAATGTGCATTATTTTTGTAGGCAAAATGCTTAGAAGTAAAATATGACTTTAAAGGGTAAGCATTTGAATGATTCTTGATCCGTTTTGCCAAATTGCTCTCAAGAATGTGATCCTTTAATGATTACAGTCACACCAACAGGACGGAAAGCTACTGTTTTATCCTTCCTGCAAACTTTTTTTGTTTTTTTGTTTTTTTGAGTCTGAGTCTCGCTCTGTCGCCCAGGCTGGAGTGCAGTGGCGCGATCTCGGCTCACTGCAAGCTCCACCTCCCAGGTTCAAGCAGTTCTTCTGCCTCAGCCTTCAGAGTAGCTGGTACTACAAGCGTGCAACCACCAGGCCCAGCTGTATTTTTAGTAGAGACTGACTATTATCTCCTTTTTTCCTTCAGTCCTTGACAGTAGGCAAAATGCTATTTTTCTCATTTCCATTTCTATATTTGAAAGATAGAATCTCTTCATATTTATTAAGAGATTGTATTACTTTTGTGTGTGTGTTTCATTCACTTTTTATCCACCGATATTTAAAATATTCAGCATTACCCTTGTGTTTTGCTGGGATTTCTTGAATGAAACATATTCAAATTCTCCACCAATGGAGAAACCTGCTCAGAGCCAGCCAAGGTCCAGCACGGAGTTGGAGCTGACAAGCACGGCGGTGGGTGGGGAGCACCGCAAGTCAGGGTGCTGCAGAGCAGAGGCAGCGGGACTGCTGCGGGGCTCGGCGGGTGAGGAGAGGCACGGAACCCCAGGTGCCTGCGCACCGCTGCGCTCCCCAGTACCCCCATCATCAGCGGAGTGGGAGGGCTGGTCCCTGCTGGGAAAGGAGACGGAGGTTTTCATGCTTTTTGTTTTGTTTTTCTTCTGTTTTGTAGTTTTTTGTAGAGACGGGGTCTTGGTCTCACCATTTTGCCCAGCCTGGTCTCGAACTCCTGGGCCCAAGCGCTCCTCCCGCTTTGGCCTCCTAAAGTGCTTAGAGTCCAGGCGTGAGCCACCGCGCTCTGACAGGAGACAGAGGTTTTCAGACTTTCCTGTGTATCAGAATCACCTGGCCTGCTTCCTAAGACAAATGGCTGGGCCTCCCCACAGAGCCTGGGATTCAGTAGGTCTGGGGTGGGCCAGGAGAAGGAGCCTCCTAACCAGCGCGCAGGGAAAGGCCGCGCAGGGGCTGCGGCGAGGTGGGTCCCGGCGAGGTGGGTCCTGTGCACCTGCCGCGCGCGCACAGCCGCGCCTCGTTCCCTGCTTTCAGGGGCCTTCAAGCTACCCCTCAAGCGAAGAGGCAGTGCCTTCTGAGAAGGGTGTGGGTGCAGGCCATTGTGAGGTGTCAATTCTCTAAGTTCTTCATCTCCCTGCCCGACCCCCGCAGCTGGTTCACACGAAATCACCTTCCACAATGCCTCTCCATGTGACAAAAGCAGGGCTTGTGCCTGGCCCATCCCCAGTCTCAGAAAAGAGTGTAAAAGACAACCGTACCAAGAGACCCTTCTGAATAGAACCCCACGGTAGCTGATGAAACACCTTGCTCCTGCCAAGGCCTCCGCCTTCTGGCCCTGAATACTGTGCTGTCCCTATAAGCCCGGGCGTGGAACCGCCGGAATTCAGCATTGCTACAGTGCAGCTGCAAGAGTGACCTCACCCCTTCCAACCCACCTCCACTCCCCACAAATTACTCTCAAAGGACTCACAGATCCCGAGAGAAGGTCTTACCAGAGCACAGCAAAAAAAGTGTGGAATTCTAAAAATACCTTTTGTTCTTTCCTACTTCATTAGTAGAGATATCATTAGCTAGAAGGAAAAATCTCTCCAAAAAGCAGGAGCAGTGTAGGTTAATGGTGCAGATTCTTTTCGTTGTGAATGGAATGTTTTCTCAGGACCATCGAGATATACAAGACCTGCACATTAATATTTGGTGAGCTTTCCTTCAGATTTCATGTATCATTCAATAAGGAAATCAAACTCATGTGGTCAAATAAGGTTGTAAAATATTCCAATTGCATAAATCCTCACTTTTATTTGATCAGAGAAAATGTTCATTATGCTCTGCCTTTTGTTAATACAAAATAAAAAGTATACCCCAGGGGTTAGACCAAGGACAATTTTGGTCAATTATCTTTTTAAAATGAATTTTTTTTTTTGACATTAAAAAAAAAACTCTAATTATCCTTCAAGCCAAACCCTGGAATCCAGTGCATGCTTGCCTACACATTTACTGAAGTGATATCATGGCTTCTTCTATGCTTTCCACCCATGTACCTCAGTCTAGTTACGTGTAACATTTTATTGTTAGAAATTAAGTGTTGCTGACCAGCATTGTTATCTTGTTTTTACAATTCAATAGTATACATAATGGAATTATATCTCATCGCTATTGTTTTAATCTTGCTATTGGCACTCTTAAAAGACAGATTCGATAATTTATTTCTCAATGTTTTTTGTAATATTCCTCAAATTGCATGTTAACATTTATTTATGTATAAAAATTGTCTATTTTTTTTAACAGAAATTGACTAAGATGTGACAGATGGTTTGACTTTTCAGTGCAACATCTATAAAAGCTAACATGGGATGGATGTGATGCAGAACTGTACCGCCTTCTAACAGCAAGCAATGTTCATCCATGGATACATGAATTAATTGGGAAAGAATTCTCATCTGTTTCATTAAGTGATGCATTCCCAAAACAATTTTAATAATTTTAATAATGATTTTAATGCATTTGTTGTTTTGATCAGTTTATATATATATTATGTGACAGAGAGGTATGACAGAATAATCAATAAAAGACATCAAGAAAAAATCAATATTACAATAAAATTGTGTGGAAAAGTAGAAAAAATAAACATAGAAGGAAAAACAATTTACAGTTGTCAAAGGTTTTGTTTGTGTACTTTTTTTAAGGATGATAGTGTATTTCATATTACTAGAGCACTTATATTATATTGTATACATTTAGGGCATATACATTTACTATGTATGTAGAACATATATTAATATATGTGTTTTATATATATATACACACACATACACATACACACACAGACAGTAATATTGTTTCCAGTTTTCACTTTTAACAAAATTGAATCAAGTAGTCAGATTGAAAATAATTTGTAATGATGGATTATTACATAATTTGGGGCATATAACTCCAAACACACCTAAAGTATTGAATATCGTCATAACATATACGTTATATATACACACACAATTCATACAGTATATGTTATATATACATATATAGCTATATACATATATCACATATTGTGGTAACACATAATCTGTGTGTCTGTGTATATATATATAAAACATATACTGTATTAACGTATTCTATATGTATATATATTGTGTGTATATAAATATATATATAGTTAAAGGTCAATGTTTCCGATATACCAAAATTACATTCTTTTCAGATATTTAAACTTGGGGTGAAACATGTCAACAGCCATCTTTGCAATGTGCAAAAAGGTATACAGTTTTTCAGTGTACTTTTAGGAATTTGCGAGAAAAAGTTTGGAGAGCATTACTGTAACTATGGTGTTTAATTTGAATGGGCATGTTTTTCTGACATACAGAGGTGTACATCTTCTCTATGGTTGAATCCCATGTTTCTTTGTGCCATTACTTTTGCTGCCTTCATGCTTAGCTAGTTCTTCCTCATTCAGTTCTATCTTCTAGGGGTTTTAGTAGCTCCTTGGGAGTGTATTTTAACAGAACAATCTCTGACGTCTCTCACTGATCCCGTTTCCTAGTAACATCAGCACTTACCTTTCTGAGACATTTCTCAATGTCTTCCCACCACAGGCTGCAAGCCTTTGTCCTCTCACTCCTTAAGAGAGTGTCCTGTGACTGTATACCATCTAGCATATTTTTAAGTTGATATTTAACATTTTTATCATACATTGAAATAGTTTCAGCATATGGCATATGTTGACATTACAAAAATTACATGCTCTTTTAAATGTGTCCAGTGGAATCTAAACAGCCTGAAAATTATATACCCACCATCCCCCAAATTTAAAAATGTGTGAACATGGCTGGGCGTGGTGGCGCACGCTGGTTATCCCAGCACTCTGAGAGGCCGAGGTAGGAGGATTGCTTGAGCCCAGGGGCTCCAGAACAACCTCAGCAACACAGCAAGACCTTGTCTCTACAAAATTTGTTTTTTAATTAGCTGAGCATGGCAGAAGGTGCCTGTAGTCTTAGCTACTCAGGAGGCTGCGGTAGGAGGATCACTTGAGCCCAGGAGGTCAAGGAAGCAGTGAGCTGAGATCACATCACTGCACTCCAGCCTGGGTCATAGAGTGAGACCCTGTCTCAAAAAAAAAAAAATGTGTGTGAACAATCTCCTCCTTAAGTATCCA
This sequence comes from Homo sapiens, assembly GCF_000001405.40. NCBI lineage: Eukaryota > Metazoa > Chordata > Mammalia > Primates > Hominidae > Homo > Homo sapiens. Next base: position 25,906,357 of record NC_000015.10, on the reverse strand, counting down.
TTTTTTCTACTGCAACTCCTGTTTTCATTCCTCTTCCTCCACAGAATTTTATTATAACAATTTCTTATGCTTAAAACTCTTCTGTTCATCACACTATCAGGTTTCTTGCTACAAAAGCTATGTATAAAAACTTACAATTTTAATTTTCTTCAACATGTCTCTAAATGTTAAATAACTTTTTCCAGTTATTGTAAATGATGTATTCCAGTTATCATGGTTATTAACACTCAATTCATGAAGGTAAAATGACTACATTATAACTTGATAATTATTAATAGTGAAAATATACACTTATCAGAAACACATCTTATAACGAGATAAATGGTACTAAAACTGTTTTCAAATTACTTTATGTATCCATGGATGAATATTACTTATCGGTGGCATGACACATGATTCGGTATCAGTTGGATTCCTATTTTTTATATATGTAAGCATGGCGAAAAACGTTTTTACATGAGTAAATACATCTGAATGGAAAGTGTTTTGTTGTAAAGATTCCACTCCTTCTAAGTTATGTGCTGAAAATTACATGAAGATTGATCATAAAAAAATTTTTTTGAGATAGTCTTGCTTTGTCACCCAGGCTAGAGTGTAGTGGTACAATCATGGCTCACTGCAGCCTCAAACTCCTAAACTCAAGGGGTCCTCCCACCTCAGCCTCCTGAGTAGCCAGGATCACAGATGTGTGCCACCACGCCCGTTAATTTTTATTTTTAGTAGACGCGGGGTCTCACTATGTTGCCCAGGTTGGTCTTGAAATCCTGGGCTCAACCAGTCCTCCCACCTCAACCTCTCAAAGTGCTGGGATTACAGGCATGAGCCACTGCACCCGGCCTAAAAATTACTTTTAATGATCTAATCCATCAGTTTATAAATTGACTAGATCCTCTTTCAGTTCATGGAAAGCAAAGAACTAGAACAATCTGACTTGCCAGAAGATTAGTAACACAGCCATTAGTCACTCACTTTCTCACACTTTCCCAACACTGCAAATATCCTCTGGTGGGTGGGCTGTGGCCATGGCCAGGGAGGCCTTCCTCCTCTGGGCTGATGCAACATTGCCCTGGGTGGAAAGATCTGCTTGGGGAGGGAGCTGGGTGCTGTGGAGGAAGGCGGGGAAGAACTGCATCTCCATCAGGGCCTGCCCATGAAGATGGTGTTAGGTTCTGGAACACAGCTTGCTTAACACTGCCTGTGCCCTTGCAAACTTTGTGTCTTGCTGGGGCTTGTAGATCCCAGTTTGCAAATGGTGGCATTGTGTAAATCCCAACTCCCTCAGGCAAGGGCAAAAACACATCACCTCAAACTGTGTTTTGTGCTTTTTTTTTGGCAGGGGGACTAACGTTTTATAATTTATTTATTCATATATTTAGCAAACTGTTATGGAGGCTCCTGTACCACCTGACCCACCCTTCAGCTGAGAGCCCCACTCATGCTGGGTACCCAGGAAACTGCAGGCCTGGCCTGGAAGCTCAGCAGCTGAGTGGCACATTGCAGGGGATGAAAAGCCAGGAGGATAAGGCGGCCTGGGGGGACCCTGAGGGCAAGAACTATGAGATGTCCTCCAGGCGAGAGAGGAAGAAAGCCACTGCGGGGAGGATCGGCCTGGAACCCAGACTGACAGCTCTTCCTTTCCAAACACAGCCCCCAAGAGATGGAGAACCCAGATGGCCCCATTTCCAGACAAACAAATGCCACTGTTTTTGTTCTTTCACAAATCTGGTTCCCTTGACAATTAAAACCAAGTCATAGCTGGGTACAGTGGTGTGTGCCTCTAGTTCTAGCTACCCGGGATGCTGAGGTGGGAGGATCACTTGAGGCCAGAAGTTCAAGACCAGCCTGGGCAACATACTGAGACCCCCATGTCTATAAGAAAGAATAAAATTAGGTTATAGATCATATTTTAATAAACTTGTTTTCAGCACAATGTCTAATTTTAAAAATAAAAATGTGCTCTTAGTAGTCAGACTTGGACTATTGCTGTTGTTTAAAAAAATACACACACCTTTTTCTCAAAAAGAGATGATTCTGAAAGTTTTCCAGCAGGAAACATCTCTAATGTAACTGGAGTTAATGAATGATGACTTAGGTAAAAGACACTTTCTATCCATGCTGCCATGCCAGCCTCCTGGTCCGCCAGGGAGAGCTGTGGCCTGCAGCCCAGGGGTCATGAGGGTGAGCTGGCCCAGGAGGACCACGTGGAATGCTTCACAAGATTGCCTCAGATGGAAGGGCATGGTATAGAAGGCAAATCAGAGGAGGAGTGACATTTTCTGTGGTTATAAGGAAGACAGGTGAGGCCGAGAGCTTGAAGAAGGGCTTGCAGCTGTCCTGACATTAAAAGGCTTGTTCATTATGGGGGTCATGAAGCTGTTTCTCATCTTGCTTGGGCTCTTTGTGGAGGACAGATGTGACACCCTCACATCCTTGAGGCTGGCGTCTCAGATTTTTTGGTGGCGAGTCCCTGAGGCCCACTCGAGTGAGCCAAAGGCAGGAGCCCATGGGATACTTGGCCAGGACCCACATCCCTGGAACCTGGGCTGTGTGGGGCCCTAGACTAAGATCTCTCCTCGACCAACTGCCAGCCAGGCTCCTCTGAGTCCTCTTCTCAACAATACCTCCACGCTGGCCTATAAAGACTTCAGCTAACACTAACATGGCATCTAGCAACTCATGGCCACATCCCTAGGATGACACCAGCCCCCCTTATAGTCCCTACCTCAGGAAACTCAAGACCGCCAAAAAATACCCTGTTCCAGCCAATCCCTGCAGCTACGGCCCCTGTCTCCCGGCCTCTGTGGGACATCAGGAGCTAACTTCGACCAGAGCCAGTTAGCAGCCCAGTGGGGCCGGCCCCTCCTTCCTGGGCTTTGCAATTTCTCACTTCCTGACTCCAGCAAGCCTTCCCTCACCCCTCCCTCCTCCCTTGGAAAAATCCACTCACCTCTGTACACATCCAAGCTGACTTCAGTTCACACTGTAACCTCTTCCCCACTGCAACGGTTATTACTGTGAAAAATCTCTCCTGACCCTCTCACTACTGCCTGGCTTTGTTTGTCTTTGACACTCTGGGTTCAGGTAGGACAGGGTGTGCCCGGCCACAGCCCCCTCAGTAACTCCAGGCTGGCCCACTTCCTGCCGTGTGTGAGGTTTTGGAGTGGCAAGTTTGTTCTGCTTTGTTTCATGGTTTTCAGTCCCTCCCAATATCCCCTGGCCTGTGGTCACCACAGTCAGCCCAGGCCAGCAACTGACCCAGGCTGGAGGTTAACACCACGGAGCTGCCCACACGTGTGTGCCCGAGTCCCTGCCCATGCCTCAGCAATGGTCACAGGCTTCTCACCTCCATTCAGCCCCCCTATTTGGGGCCCTACCTTTAGCCAGCTAGCCAAGTGCTCATTGTAACCCAGTATTTGTATTCATTCACCATAGAAAATTTGTCAAATGGGTAATGCATTTCTTTTTACCCGCCTCTTAGTGACTGGGCTTATGATCAGAATCAAGTGCTATTTTGTGGCCACTGGCCCCTCATTGGCCCCTTCCTCAAACCCATGCTGGATCTGGAGTGAAATGCCCTCAGGTTGACCCCTGCTCGGAGCCCAGGCCAGGTGAGACCGGCTGGTGGGTGCACTTGGAGATCACACCCCAGCTGCTCAAGGGACACTTTGAGCTAGAGCAACATGCATCAGTGTGCACAGAGCCCTTCCTGTGCACCCGCACTGCAACTAGAGCTTTCTAAGAATTGTCTCACTCCATCCCCAAGAATTGTGTGGCTGGGGGGATATGCTCACCCACATTTTGCAGATGGCAGAGAGTCTTGCAGAGCTGCCAGCGTTCCTGAGGCTCACACAGCCAGCCATGTTGGGGCGGATGCTCCGGCCTCTCGTCTGGCTCCAGAGCGAGGCAGCGCCTTGCAGCACATTCCCAACAATTTCCTCATTGGGAGGCTTCCTAGGAAACCAGCCTCCCTGCATATGTGGACACTGCGATGCATCAGCCCTATGCCTGCTTCCTCCCAAGCTGAAGGCACCCACTCATGAACCGCCCTTGATATGCCAGGGCATCTTACGCTGCACTGGGTTCCTATTTATGTGTAACCACATTTCACTACCTAAACAATGCCTGTTTATTATCTCATGGTTCTGGTAGATCAGGACTGTAGACAGCCTTGAGCCGAGTCCTCTGCTGAGAGTCTCCCAGGCTGAAATCCAGGCATCAGCACAGGCTGCAGGCTCATCTGAGGCTGGGGATCCTCTTCCAGCTCACTGGTGCTTGGCAGGATCCAGCTGGGCTGTAACACTGAGGTCTGTATATTCTTGCTGGCTGTCAGCCAGGGGTCACTCCAAGCTCCTAGAGGCCACTCTCACATTTGGAGAGTGTCAATCAAAATATGACTGGGCAGCGGCTCACACCTGTTCTCCCGGTACTCATAGAGGCAGAGGCAGGAGGATCGCTTGAGCCAGGAATTCCGGACTTGCTTGGGTGGCATAGGGAGACTGTCTCTACAAAAGGAAAAAAAAAAAAAAAAGAGCAAAATATGGCAGCTGACTTCCTCAAGGCCAGAAGGAGGATGTCTATTGCTGCCTCTTGTCTCCTTTAAGGGATCACCCGATTAGGTCAAGCCCACTCAGGATAATCTCCTTTTTATTGACTCAAAGTGAACTGATCAGGGACCTTCACTACATTTGCAAAGTCCCTTTTTGCCTGTTCACACTGAAACCCTGTTGTCTTCACAGGAGTATCCCACACTCAAGGGGAGATGCTATTCAGAGTATGTACATGAGGGTGGGGACTTTGGGAACCATGTTACAACTCAGCCTACCGCACTCCCCATTATCAAATTCTCCCAGTCCCTCTTCCTGAGGCCAAACCTAATGCTGGAATTCCTCACCCCTCCCTGGACCTCAGAATAGTGAACTTCACTCTCACTTAAAAACAAGGACAACTAAATGACAGACCTGGTATTGTAGAAACTCAGGAGACTGTATTGCCTTCATGCACCAACTGGTGACAGGAATACGTGGATCTGTGAGTCAAAAGGGTACACTCCACTTAGACTCATGGAGGACGGGCACCTTCTCCCCACCCAGGCCCAGCTCCACATCGTTCTCACACTGTCACTGTCAGACTGACCTCTGCCCATTCAAAGCATTGCACATAAGCTTGGGCATAGCTTGCTTGCTTGTGAGGACTGAAGTTTGTCCAGACAGATGAGGCTTTGCTCAACACCTTGGCTCCAACCATGTCACATGGATCCTCCTCCACATTCAGCATTGCAGATTGGCTGAATTCCAAATGCCTCACAACTAGGGCAAAGGAAAGGCAGGCCTTCTGAGACAGAAGGGAGACAGTGAGTTATCACAGGGCAGCTCACGTAATAGGTATGAGCCATCCATGAGAGTGGTTGCCCACTCCTAGAGAACAGAGGGAAACGGTGAACAAGACCGGACTCCCAACTTGCACTATTCAACAAGAACCCACGAGAACTGTGCCGCGCTTAATTGAGTATTCCTGCCTCCCCGGCAGCCATCAGCTAGCATGCAACTTTAATCTGTCCTATTAACTGATGTCTGCATGTGGTGAAGGAAGAAATTCACATGGTTCAGAAGGGCCATCAGTGAAATCACAGGCCTTCTCACTCCACTGAGGTAACCACTGTCCGTAGCTTCTGGCTCCAGTTCTTCTGTGAGTTTCCATTTATGTCTTTTTCAAGTAAGTCCTGAGAGATTTCCCCAGCTTTAGCTTCCAGATTTGCAACTTGGTGTTCAGCCATTTCCAATTTATTATCCTGCTCTAACCTTTGGCTCATGTTTCATTTATCATGTTTCAAAATTCCAAGAACACATTATATTTCTCTAAAACTCCTTTTACACAGCAGTCCATTGTCATTTTAAGGCTGTATCTTCCTGTAGTGTGTGTGTGTGCGTGTGGTGTGTGCGTGTGTGTGTGTGTATACACAGTCACTTGTCACTTAACAACAGGGATACACTCTGAGAAATGCTCATTAAGTGATTCTGTCATCCTGCAAACTTCATAGATAAACCTGGATGGCATAGCATCCAACACCCCTAGGCTGTATGGGACGGCCTATTGCTCCTAGGCTACAAACCTATACAGCATGTTACTGTACTGAATACTGTAGGCAGTTATAACACAATGGTAAGTATTTGTCTATCCAAACATATCTAAACATAGAAAAGATACAGTAAAAATGTAGTGTAAAAGATGAAGAATGGGACACCCGGATAAGACAATTACCATGAATGGGGCTTGCAGGACAGGGAGTTACTCTGGATGAGTCAGTGAGTGAGTGGTGAGTGAATGTGAAGACCAGGACATTACTGTAGAATACTATAGACTTTAGAAACACTGTACACTTAGGCTGCATTAAATTTATAAAAAATATTTTTTTCTTCAGTAACAAACTAACCTTAGCTTTCTGTAACATTTTTACTTTACAAACTTTTAAATTTTTAAAAACTTTGGACTCTTGTAATAACACCTTAAAACACAAACACAAAATATGTTGTTTCTTTATATTCTAATACTCTAAGCTTTTTTTTCTATTTAAAAACTTTTTAAAAACCTTTTTAAACTCTCTCGTTAAAAGTTAAGACACAGCTAGGTATGCTGGCTCACACCTATAATCCCAGCACTTTGGGAGGCCAAGGCAGAAGGATAGTTTGAGTCCAGAAGTATGAGACCAGCTTGGGCAACATGGTGAAACCACATCTCTATAAAAAATACAAAAATTAGCCAGGTGTGGCAGTGTGCACCTGTGGTCCCAGCTATTCAGGAGGCTGAGATGGGAGGATTGCTTGAGCCCAGGAGGTGGAGGTTGCAGTGAGCTGAGCTAGCACCACTGCACTCCAGCCTGGGCAACAGGGCAAGAGCCTGTCTCAAAAAAAAAAAAAAAAAATGAAGACACAAACAGACACATTAGCTTAGGCCTACACAGACTCAGGATCATCGATATCACCACCTTTCACCTCCATATCTTGTCTACTGAAAGGTCTTCAGGGGCCATGACATGCATGAATCATGGCCGAGATCGCCCAATGCACTTCAACCTGGGCAACAGAGTGAGACCCTGTCCCAAAACATTAAAATATATATATATAAAAAATAAGGCCTTCTTCTGGAATACCTCCTAAGGGACTGCCTGAGGCTATTTTACAGTTAACTATTTTTTTTATAAGTAGAAGGAGTACATTCTAAAATAAAAAGTATAGTAAATACGTAAGCCAGTAACATAGTCTTTCTCAAGTACTTAGTCTTTACTATCAAGTACTTGGTACTGTATGTGATTGTATTGCTATACCTTTACGAGACTGGCAGTGCAGTAGGTTTACTTCCACCAGCATCACCACAAACACATGAGTAATTGCACTGCACTAAGACATTAGGATGAGTATAATGTCACTAGGAAACAGAAATCTTTTAGTGCCATTATAAACTTATAGGACCACGGCTGTGTTCATCACTGAACAAAATGTCATTATATGACATGACTCTGTGTGTGTGTATATATATATATATATATATATGAGTGTATATATATATATATATATGAGTGTATATATATATAGGGCATGTATATATACATGTAATATTAATATAAACAATTATATTACACACATGCACTCAATTAATATCTGTGTCCAGTGAAGTTTCCCCTGTTCTCTGGATTCCTTCTTGATCTTCCTCCCTTGTTTGTAGTTTTCCTCACTCTTCAGGTTTTCTTTTGAGGACTGCAGAGTTTGGTACAGGTGGTGAGGAGGGCGGAACCCTCTGGCAGTCAGGTCAGGCAAGGTGCGCTGGCGGAGGGTGGGCTGTGGGAGCCTTGTCCCCAGCGCAGTCAGCTCTGCCCCATCAGGACCAAGGGCAAAGGGTGGAAAGCAAGGACCCAGCACCTTCTGTGAGCCCACACAGTGATTCACCAGATCCCCCCACCACTCCTGCTCTTTGCCTTGAGAGACCTCAGCTTGTTTCTCATGTCTCCCAGGGAAAAACCCTGCTGACCTTCTTACATTCAGACTACAGTTTACCTCCTGCTCAAACACTCAACCCCACTCTCAAGGTCCTCTCACGATTTCCTCAAAATTCATGGCCCACGGATGCCCCTTTTCTGTGTTCCAGCATCTGTGTGTTTTCTTTCTTTTGAAAGTCTCTTTTCTGTCATTTCAGTGGGACTCCTGGAGGAGAGGACAGAGCTGCATGGGTCCTGCCCACTGTGGCCATCATTGTCTCTGCACCCACTGCCTCTACCCACCTTGTCTCTTCAGAGCTGGGGCTTGTGTGTTCACTGAGGGCTTAGACACCCTCTTGCATTCAATGGATGGAAACCCCATGCCTTCCCTGGGGAAGCAGAGACCATGGCCTGCATGAGGTTCTCAGTACTCAGAGTACCTATGGTGAACACAGAGGCCAGGCCCCACTTTCAGAGATGCTGATCCAAGAGGGTTAAGATGGACCTGGGACTTCAGCCAGGGTGCATGGTGATGCAATGGCAGGACTCTGACCACTGTCACACAAGGCTGTTCAGTAGCAAAGAGGCCCAGGTCTGATCCACCTCCATTACTTACTTACTGTGTGCCCTTGGGGGAATCTAGCTCAATCTCCAAGCTGTAGAAAGGAAAGTAGGGTGGTCCCTACCTTCTGGGTTTGACTGGATGATTAAATGGTAAAATGCAGCACAAGAAAGAACATAGCACATGGAATGTGCTAAGTGGATGCTAGCTATTAAAATTACCACCTACACAATTGCGTGCACCCCAAGGTTCCCATGCTTCGGGCTGGTTTTGGCAGGTTTCCCCAGGTATTGAGGTTGGAGGCCACTTCTAGGGTGTCCTCAGGAGCCAGTGGAGCGTGAAGGACAGTCTCTTCCTTCATGAAGGCCTCTGGCTCAATGCCGATGGACCCTTCCTGATGGCTCTTCCTGGTCTTTCAGACTCCTCCGTGGATGGCAGCCTGTCTGCAGTTAGTGCTCTTTTATTTTTATATTTTTGTAGAGGCGAGGTCTTACTATGTTGTCCCAGGCTGGTCTCAAATGTTTTTCCTCAAGGTACCCTCCTGTCTCAGCCTCCCAAAACGCTGGTATGACAGGTGCGAGCCACTGCACCCAACCAAGTCGTCAATTTCTGCAGTAGGCAGAATACTTCCCTCTAACTCTCTCGGATAATTTTTCTATTTCTCATCTATTATTCTTGGGAAGACTAAATGCCAAATATATTAGAATTTTGCCCAAATTAGAAGAAAAGGCAGAGTGGCTACTGAGTCCTTTATTGTATTGTATGATTGGATCAGGTGAATGTTGTGGTTGGGGCCACTCAGCCCTCATTCTTATCCCTGAGTGCACTCTCTTTTCTGGGTGACTTTGCAGGAGGATGTGCTCCAGAGAGTACCTTGCATCAACCCAGAACCAAATAAACAATTGTTCTGTTTCTTTTTGTTTTCTTTCTTTTTTTCTTTTCTTTTTTTTTTTTTTCCACTGCAATGGAGGCTTGCAATGAGGGAGAGAGACTGGACTTAATGACCAAATATTTTTTGTAAATATCTGTCCTTGGTAACAAGAGCTTTCATTTGCTGTGAGAAAAAAGAAATAAAAAGTCATGGTGTTAGGAACACTGATATACAACTAGAGATGTAAGGACATCTTCAACACAAGGAAGAGTTGGATAATAATTCCAAAGATTCCCAAACAGCCCATGATTGCTGGATTCAGAACTGGGCCCATGGAGAGAACAGAGATCAAGACCAGAGCTCTAGCTGCTGCCAAAATGAGCAACAGGAGTTTTCTCCACTTTGAAAAGATGTGAAGATATCAGCTGGTGATAAATCAGGTGATTGAGATAAAATGGAAAATTTTCCTTTCTAATCTAACAGGAGTGTCAATGGTTGGAAAAGAAAGCTGATATGGAATATCAATGTAGGTGGGTCAAAGTTCATCTTGATAAATATCAAAGGGAAAAATGACCTTGATTTAAATTGTTGGTACATAACACTTCAAAGGAGAAAGGTGGTTGCTTCAAAGTACCCCCTTTATTATTTTATCCTGCTGTGGAACTGAAAGATGAAAACATCATTGTAACAAAATAGATGTCAATTTAAATAATGTCTACTCTGGAAAACATGATCTTATCAAAGAAAAAGAAGGAGGGAGGGAGGAAGGGAGGAAAAGGAAACACTAAGCACAGTGATTCTGAGAATCAAGGAGATTATTTCCTTCTGGCACAAATGCAAAAACATGAGATTATTAAAAATTAGATTACTATGGAACAATTTGTTTCCAATTCATCTTTGCTGTTATCTCAGTTCATATTTTAATGACATTGCAGGGAAAATTGAGTGGTTTATCTCTCTTTTAAAAATTTTATGATGCACCCTCCCCGGTCCCATGTGAGTCTGACTTGGACGCAGCAGGGGCTTCCTCACATTGCAAGTCTACAAGGAACACAGAAGGAACTCTCCTTGGACCACAGAGCCCAGTGGTGCTGGCATGGCTTGCCGCCTATGTTATACCCGATGGCCACCTGGGGTTGGCTCTAGTATTGCAGACCATGGGCACCCTGGCTACCAAACACTCCTCCCCAGCAGCATTGAGATCAGGAATGCGGTTGCCACCTGGCAGTGAGACCAGGAGAGGCTGCCCTGTTAGGAGAGTTGAAGTAACTTTAGTTCAGATACTGAAAGTTTTTCAGAAGTCTTTTCCAAAAGAAACGACTTCTCAATATTTCTATCATTCTTACAAATGTGCTTTTGGATGCTGATTTAGAATCAAGCTTCCTTGCAATTATTTTGTTCTCAGCTCTACCATGTGTTGGACTCAATAGTACTCCCACCTGTTACATAGTTCACTTGAGCTATTGGTATGATGCTTATTAAACATAATAATAATAATATTCCTCTGACCCCAACAATGTTTAAAAAGAATTATATCCCACAGCCAAGTGGGATTTATCCCAGGTATGCAAGGCCACGTCAACATTTAAAAGTCAATTAATATAATCCATCACATCAACAGGCTAAGAAGAAAAATCTCATGATTGTATTATAGATGCAGAGAAAGTATTTGACAAAATCCAATACTCATTCATGATTTTAAAAAAACCCTCAGTATACTAGGAATAGAGAGGAACTTCCTCAACTTGGTAAATAATATCTACAAAAAGCCTACAACTAACATCATAGTTAATGGCAAGAAACAAGAAGTTTTTCCACTAAGTTCAGGAAAAAGGCAAGGATGTCCCCACTCACCACTGCTTTTCCGTATCATCCTGGAAGTCCTAGCTAATGCAATTAGACAAAAAAATAAAATAAAGGTATACACATTAGGAAAAAACTTCTGAGACTAGTGAGTGATTATAGCAAGGTTGCAGGATATAAGGTAAATGTACAAGTGGAATTTGAGATAATAACACTCTTTGTGATCATTTCAATTTGAATTCCCAGTGCTTAAATTAACATGCAACTTTTCTTTGTTTTCTAGTTGTAAAGTTTCATCTTTCTGTTTTCTTCAGCTGTTCTCTGACCCTGCCCTGTCTGCCATTCCAAGCCCAAGGCCCGGGAGCACAGTGAGCGAGCAGGTCCCTCTTCCTTGCCTGTCCCATCCTCATGGAGAGCACACATCACTCTGCAAGAGCTCCAGGCTGTGCTTAGCCAGTCACAGCTGCCCTGGGAAACAATTACAGGTAAAGCAATAATTTGCTTATAGTTTTTAGTGAAATGTATACTTCTGTGATTAATAAACAGAAAATGTGAGGGTCAAATGCAATAAACTCTTGTGGTTTGGAACACCATATTTCCTCTTGGGAGAGAAGGAAATTAAGAACTTTTTTTTCCTCTAATTACACAACAGTAAAAAATTGATTCCCTTTGTTGTAGTGAGGGTTGGTGGGGAGGGCAGCAGGGAAGGCAGGCTTTGAGAATTTTAAAGCATAAAAGATGACATTCCTATAAAGGATTGCCACTTTTTGTCACGTGATAACATAAACATAGCATTTGGAATTAATACAGTAACAAAACTATGTTAGTTGCACCTAGATCAGCTCACAAATTCTAATAGTATTACACTCCAATTCTCTAGAAGTGCTGCATGAAGAATCCAAGCTAGATATAAATTTACTAATTTAACTTTATTTTAAAGAACACCAGGGTGAGGTTTTCTACTTTGAACATGTACCAGGTTAACTTGGAGTATGAGGCTCTAAGGATCCCAAGTAGTTGGCGATGTTTTTAACATATTTTTAACTGAAATAATGAAGAATCACTTATTACAACTGAAATAAACTAATCCTAACTGTTTCTATATACATTAACTGTTACCGATGTTTATCTCCCTCCTGCCCCAAGATTTCAAAGACTCATTATTCCCATAGCTGTAAAAATCCCAAATGTCTTATGTTCTCCCATCTTCTGAGTCCAGCCCTCGTTTTCAGTCTCATTTCCTGTGGTGTCTATGGCACCCCCTTTCTACCCCAACATCATTTGTTCCAGCACCAAGACTCATCACTGTTCCACAGACCCATCACACGCCTCCTTGCCTTCTGCTCTTCACACATGGCATTCCCTGTCTGGCTTTTTCTCCTCCACACAGCCTCTTACAGCTACTAGAATCCGATAACTCTTCAACGCCAATCGCAAATGCCACCTCCTTGTCAAAAGCTTTGAATTCCAAGTGAACATCTTCTTCTTCTGTTCCCCCTTGAAATAGGATTCCAATCTAGCATTGATCACATTCATTCTTTTAATATAATTCAGCATTTTACTGGACCTTGGCAATGTATCTAGCTCCAGCACATATGTTTAGGCACATACTATTAAACAGTCCCTGCCCTCTAGTAACTTAGGGTTTCTTCCTTGTGTTGTAATACTTTGTGTTCATTCTTCATTAATTTTAAGGCTACCTAGGGCAGTACTTTTCAACTTAGCTTTATGCCTAGGTTATTGACCAACGGTAAAGGAAGTCAGGTATAAATGCAAATTAACTCACACCCAGGAGGCTGCTCTCTGCACCTGTGGGATTCCACACACTCTGCCTTCAGAAAGCAACCCAGTAATTATAGAAGACCTGAATGTACAAGTTGATCATAATGTTCATATGGAAATATAAACAAGTAAAAATCACCAGAAAAACTCTGGAAGAAATAACAAAGGACTAGCCCTGCCAGATATTAAAACATAGAATTCTTTCTTTTTTTTAGGTGATGCTCATTCATTTATTTCTCATTTTATCCTCATCACACTGGGCTGGGAGAGGAGGAGTCACGCACCAGTGTATAGATTGTGCTATTGCCTTGCTTTGAGGCAGAATTGAGATCCAGGTTCTAATTGTCTCCAAGTTTCTAGCTGGGACAACAGCAGGAAACAGGCAGGGGGCTGACCCTCAGGCTCATGTTCCAGGACTCCCATCTGGGTACCTGAGGATGCTCCACGGAAATCATGCATGGGGGCCGACAGCAGCCCCTTAAAGCAATGGGGATGACAGACCCGGAACTGATAACAGGAGTTGCAGGAACAACCACATATGCACAGAGAGGACCTGAAAAGACCTTGTCCTTCCATCTGTATCCCAGAATCCTGGCAGGGCCTCTCCATGAGGACAGGGCCAGGGCTGGCTCCTTGGCCCATGGCTGGTCTCATGAGTGGCCCAGAGTGAGTCCTGCTCTCTCCAGCATCTGTAGACTGTAGACATTGTTACCAGCTCCTGCTGGTGCCTCTCTGCTTGAGGTGCTGGGCAATTGTCTTGGACCATTCACGATCCTCTTCCTCAAATCTTCACACTCAAGAAATCTCCATTCTTTTAAGAAACACTGGATCTCCTGGTCACTCTAAGTTTTAACTGACTGCATCTGTTGGTTTTTCTGGTTCCTTGGTTTCTTTTTCCTTCTTTACTTCCTGGGGTTTTCTAGTAATTTCCGCCTGAATTCTCACTGTCTCCACTTTGATTCCTGAGTTTTTTTTGTGCAGCCACAGGGTCTAAAAGCACAGGCAGAGAGTTGGCACAGCCTGTGCTCTGCTGGAATTCAGGTGAGTCAGGAGTGCCTGAATGGAAAAATGTGTTTGCTCCTCTATACTCCCAGCCAGCTCTCTATGAAGCTTCCTTAATTAAAGGAGTGTGGTATTAGCAAATAAAAGGACGGCAGACCAGCGAAAGAATGTAAAGGCCTGAAATACAGCCAGGTACACATGGAGATAGAGCAAATGATACAGACCCTAAGTCAGCAAGTAAAAGATGGAACCCTCAAATAAATATTTTTGGGACAAATAGATAGCTATTTAGAAGTAACATTCAATCCATTCCTCACTCTCCACACTAGAATAGTATATGACAAATGTAACAAAAATCTAAATGTAGACCAGGTGCAGAGGCTCATGCCTGTAATCCCAGCACTTTGGGAGGCCGAAAAGGGAGGATCCCATGAGGGCAGGGGTTTGAGGCCAGCCTGGGCAAAAAAGTGAGACCCTGTCTCAATTTAATATATTTTTAAAAATCTAAATGTGGAATATTGAGACTATCTAAATTCTAGAAGAAAATATAAGTAAACTTCTTTATCATCCGGAGTAAGAAAATCTCCCTAAATATGGCTCAAAATTCGAACTTCCTAATTATGACTCAAAATTCAAAATGTATGAGCTTCAAGTCAGTGACAAGTAAGAAAAAAAATTGGAAATAAAGTAGAAATTCAAATTTTAGAAGCAATAAAAGACCAATAATAGAAAGATGGGCAAGACGTCTAAATAGAGAGTGAGCTCCCAGGGGGAAAAATGTAAATAGACCTTAAACATATGAAAATATGATCAATCTCAAACAAAATAGAAAAAAAAAACAAATTAAAACTAAACTGAGATACCATTTCTCACCTACCAGGTTGACAAAAATGCAAAACACTAATGACAAATGATGCTGAGAGGCCCTGGGAAGCAGGCATCCCCAGATATTGGGGGCGGCACTGCACAACGGTGAGCAAAACTGCATATACGCTTACTCATGACCCTGCAAACACACCTCCTGGAATCTAACTTCAAGCTACATTTGCAAAAATGTGAAAACATATAGGCAAAAGGGTGTCTACTCACTGCAGCCAAAGGCCAGCCAGAGACAGCCCACATGTCAAAACAGCAGGAAACTGATGGAATACATGACGTGGGCAATGCAATTGTAAAAAGGAAAGAGGAATCTGGGCAGGGGTTATGTTGGGGTTCTTATATTATTCTCTTGAGTTTTGTATTTCTTTTTTAAAAAAAGTATCAAAAAATGTTAAATTCTGCACCCAGCCCCCTACCCCAAGGGAGATGGGCCCTGATAGAAAGTCGGGGCATCTTTCATGAACACAGAGATCTGAGGATGGCCTGTGCCTCTTCAGGAGCTCACAGCAGCCTTCTACTTGAGGAGTGTTAATAGAGTTTCTAAAGTTTGAAAGTCACTGCTGTATAAGACTTATGCCTGGCTACTTTACAGAGCAATATTTAGTTGCCATCGCAATTCTTTTCCACTCTTCAAATTTATGAGCCTGGCTGCTCTTCAGACTTCCCCTGGCTGCATCCACTTCAGTTGGCATTGTCTCTGGCTGCCGGCATGCAACTGCAGTGAAATGCGTTGCTACAGCTTGCGTTACCTCTTGCCTTTTCAGTACTGCATAGTCCCAAAGTCTCTCTCTCTGAGCCCTTAGGAAGCACTGCTCATGGGAGCTAGGGCATTACTAGGACTGCTAGATGTCTTTCACAGCCAAAACACACAGCCTCCACAAAATCCCCACCCACTCGCCCCTGGCACTGTAAAGCAACCATGCAAATGAATATATGAAATGGGTAAAAGCTTTGTGTCCAGACAAACATGTGCACAGGGATGTTTATAGCAGCTTTATTCATAACTGCCAAAACTAGGAAGCAACCACCATGTCCTTCAGCAAGTGGATGGCCAAATAAACTGTGGTACATTCAGAGAATGCAATATTATTCAGTAGTAAAATGAAATGAGCTATCAAGCCATAGAAACACATGGAGGAAAGTGACACGTATGTCACAGAGTCAAAGAAGCCAATCTGAAGAGGCTACCCACTGCATGGTTCCAACTGAACGACATTCTGGAAAAGGCAGAACCATGGAGACAGGAAAGTGATCGGCATTTCCTGGGGGCTAGAGGAGAGAGAGGGATGGATAGGGGAGCACAGAGGATTTTTAGGGCAATGAAACTACTCTGTACAATACTGCAACGGCGGATACAGGGCATTATACATTGGTCCAAACCCACACAATACACAACACCAAGAGTGAAGCATAATGTAAGCTGTGGTCTCTGTGTAATAATGATGTATCAATGTGGCTTCATCAATCATAAAGAAATGTGCCACTCTGCTGGAAATATGGACGGTAGGGGAGGCTATGCTTGTGTGGGGGCGGAGAAGATGTTGGGACCCTCTGCTCATCTTGCTGTGAACCTAAAACTGCTGTAAAAAGATAAAATATTTTTTTAAAATGAGATTTTATTGATAAATAGAACGTGCTAGAGAAATTGTTATGTGCCCATTAAGTGGGAGGTATGTTATGCAGAAATGCCAGCCACATAATTTGACCCTCTCATGATTTCTTATTCCTGCAAAGACGGATGTGGCTCATAGCTTGGTCCACCCAGTGCAGGAACGATATGAATAAGTATTTCCATTCTAGCCTAAATGCCTTCCCCATAATGCTTCCAAATCCTTTATTTCCTTTCCCAACTCAAAAGCAGTAAATTGAAGGTAGCAATTTTAGGATCCTATCTGAATTTTCCACCTAACTAACTTTTCTTTTTTCTTAAATCTTGGCAGCTTATGAATCCGCACACATTCCTCTGCCTTGGAGACCTTAAAAAGATTCTAGCGGTCGGGTGCGGTGGCTCACGCCTGTAATCTCAGCACTTTGGGAGGCCAAGGCAGGTAGATCACGGGGTCAGGAGATAGAGACCATCCCGGCTAACATGGTGAAACCCTGTCTCTACTAAAAATACAAAAAATAAGCTGGGCGTGGTGGCAGGCGCCTGTAGTCCCAGCTACTCCAGAGGCTGAGGCAGGAGAATGGCGTGAACCCGGGAGGCGGAGCTTGCAGTGAGCCGAGATCCCGCCACTGCACTTCAGCCTGGGCAACAGAGCGAGACTCCGACTCAAAAAAAAAAACAAGATTCTAGTGACATAATAAATTCTGCCTTATTTCCACCCAAGATCAAAAGCTCTTTACACTTAGTTCCACAGGAATGTGGGGGCAGCAGGTGACCTTAGCGGTTGACGTGAATCTCTCAAAGGCTGGCCGCCTCAGAAGAGATCAAGCCTTAGATCTTCCTTCCCCTGCATGCGACTCTGCCGCCAAGTCTCAGGAGGGCATCTGTACTCACATTTGCAAAAGGTCAGCCGAGCGTGATGGCTTGCACCTATAGACCCAGCTACTCTGGAGACTGAGGCTGGGGGTCACATGAGACCAGGAGTTTGAGACCAGCCTAAGCCACACAGTGCGACCTGTCTCTAAAAAAAAAAAATTGTTTTAAATTAGCAAGCCATGGTGGCATCCATGCGCGTGTAGTCCCAGCTACTCAGAAGACTGAGGCGGGAGTTTGCTTGAGCCCAGGAGTTCAAGACTGTGGTGAGCTAGGATCAGGCCTCTGCACACCAGCCTGGGTGTCAGAGAGAGACCCTATCTCTAAAAACAAACAAACAAACAACAACAAAAAAAACTTGCAAAAAGTCAGGATGGGCATGGAGAGAAGGCACTGGCAAGGAGGTGGCTCCCTACAAGTTTCTTACATCTTCCCTTATACCCTAAATCCTGCCCTCTTTTCCTCCTACCTGGATAATGATTTTCTTCCTTTGGCCTCTCTGATGTACATCCCACCCTCAATATCTTCCCTTTAGTCTACTTTCCATTATGAAAACCTGGAAAGGAAAGAAGCTTCAAAGTCAAAATCCCCTAGTATTCAAAATTGTTTAGGAACCATGAAGTACCAATTTTCCCCATCAGATAAGCAAAAGAGACAGATGGATAGTATCTTATAGGTTTGGACGTAGGGAAATAGCTCACTCCATGCAGTGGCAGATACAAACTCCATGCAGTGGCACAGCATTTTGGAAGGGCTCTTTGGAAGGACTGCACCTATTCAAATTCAAATGCATGTTTCCTTGACTGAGATACCAGTTCTAGGAATCTAGCCTATATCAATTCAGTCAGTGCCAAAGGTATACGTGTAATGTATGTTTTGAGTCATATTGTTTGCAATAGAAAACCACTTATATGATCGAAATACTTATCAGTATGTCACTGGTCAAGAAGGTTTTGAAAACACTTTGCTAGAGAATGCAACAGAGCTACCACAAAGGGTAAGATCCAAACAGCCTGCAAAGAAAGATTTTCTATATTGTGCTTCTGCTGTTATACGATAAGCAAAGACCAGGGTCACATGTTTCTTTTGTAGTTTAGCCATATGGACTCCCAAGGTGTAAACACCACCCCCCATGGAGTCATGGCATCAGACTCCTCAGCAACCTCAAGGACAGGTTTCAGAGTAGCAACTGGACTGCGTCTCACATCCTTGCCTCAGCCCAGTAAAGGTCTTCCTGCAGAATCTTACCCTGGCTCACACCTCTTTTCATTCCAAAATACAAAGAAGATCCATGATTCCATCTCAGATCAAATCTAGAAAATAACAGTTATACATTGAGGCCAAAAAAAAGAAAGAAAGGATAAATATTTAAAAAACAAAAATATAGAGGACAGGCTAGATGCAGTGGCTCACGTCTGTAATCCCAGAACTTTGGGAGGCTGAGGCAGGAGAATTGCTTGAGATCAGGAGTTTGAGACCAGCCTGGACAAGAGAGCAAGACCCTGTCTCTAGAAAAAAAAAGAAAAAAGCCAGGTATGGTGGTGAGTGTCTGTGGTCTCAGCCATTCAGGAGGCTGAGGTAGGAAGATCTCTTGAGCCCAGGAGGTTGAGGCGGTAGTGAGCCAAGATCACACGACTTACTGCACTCCAGCCTGGGCAACAGAGAAAGACCTTGTCTGAAAAAGGAGGGATGGAAGGAAGGAAGGAAGGGAAGGCAAGGGAGGGGAGGGGAGGGGAGGGAGGGAAGGAAGGAAGGAATAAAGGAAAGGAAAGCTCACTAAGGAACCAATAATGAGGAAAGTGTGAGCACAGCTAACATTCAAGAACAACAGCCGTTTGGAAAAATGGCTGCAAGTAACAATTAAAACAAGCAAATAAAAAAGCAACAAAGTACAATTTTTACATAATAAGTCAACAAACATAATGATAAAAACCCTGGGCTCCAGAGGCTCTGTGGAATCTGGTGCACTGTGCATACAAGTGAAGTCCCCACACCCTTTCCCCTCCAAGACACACACTTCCCCAAGCCAGGCGTAAGCACCCAGATCTGCTGGCACAGAATGGGGAGGTTGGGCAAGTCTGCGTGGGAAGGGAACAGAGATGAGGGCCTGGGAGAAAGCACGGGTGACTTGACTAGAGGCCTTGAACTTCCCCTCTCACTGGTCTTTTTCTTTAAAACAAACCCATTCACCATCCCTCCACCCCTCCATGTTCCCTGCTGCTCCTGATTGATGCAAAAGAACAAACACATTCATTTCCTAACAAACACCCATGTGGTGAGATAACATGTTGATCTGAACCGACATGCTTATCATTCCGTCTTTCCCCATGGCCTCCTTCCATTTTGGCAGCAACTTGAGGTCTTGTCTTACCAGCTCTCGAATGTTGGCCGGGAGAGGAGAGGAGACCCAGTGTTGGAGCTCTCAGCCTTTGCATCCCAAAATAGACTTTTGAAACTTCATGTGGAGAAAGAGAGACCTCAGGGAAGCTCATGATGAAAAGGCATTTCTCTCACCCACTTCATCCCAGACTTGACAAAGACGTCAGAGTCCAGGGAAGGAGGAAAGGAGAAGACCAACACAGATAATTCTATATGGCAGGCGGCCTAGCGTCCTGTCCTGCACCCACAAGCCTGATTGAGGGAGAAGGGACAGAGGGAACCCCCTTTTCCTTTCCCTCTTACTTGGCCCAGTCCCTTCCTGGCTTCTGCCTACCCCTGTCTTTGTTGCCTTTGATTCAGTGTTTTGTTACATCCGCATTGGTTTCACTATCTTTCATCAGTCCTATAACCTCTCTTCCCAACTCCTCTGCCTCCCTTTTTCTCAAAATCTATGCCTTTTTTAGACTGACGGTTCCTGCCTTACGACGGTTTGACTTAGACTTTTCAAACTTACTGTGGTGTGAAAGCAATACACACTCAATAGAAACAGTACTTTGAGGCCAGGCATAGTGGCTCACATCTGTAATCCCACAAGTTTGGGAGGCTGAGATGGATGGATCCCTTCAGGCCAGGAGCTCGAGACCAGCCTGGGCAACGTGGTTAAACCTCGTTTCTACCAAAAATACAAAAATTAGCCAAGCATGGTGGCGGCGGGCACCTGTGGTCTCAGCTGCTGGGGAGGCTGAGGTAGGAAGACGGCTTGAGTCTGGGAGGTCAAGGCTGCCACAGAGCAAGAACCTTTCTCAAAAAAAAAAAAAAGAAAGAAAGAAAGAAAAGAAAAAAAAAGAAAAGAAATAGTAGCTGGAGAACCCACACAACTGTTCTGTTTTTCACTTTCAACCGTATTCAATAAACTATCTGAGATATTCAACACTTTATTATAAAATAAGCTTTGTGTGAGATGACTTTGCCCAACTGCAGGCAACTGCAGGCACTCTGAGCATGGGTGAGGTGGGTTAGGCTGAGCTAGGATATTCAGCAAGTCAGGTATATCACATGCACTTTCTACTTAAGATATTTTCCATTGACCACTGGTTCATTGTGACGTAATCCCGTCATAAGCCGAGGAGCATCTGTATTATTACTATTATTATTATTGTTATTATTATTATGGTGTGTGCACAACAAATGTTTATCAGCTTCTCATTCTCTTTTCCCAATTGTCTCATTTTTTCATTTTTCAAATATTTATGGACAATCTACTATGCGCCAGTCATTGTTGCAGGTACTGGAGCTACAGGAGAGGACAAAGTAAACACAATTTCTATCCTTTCCCTCTCATGGACTTTATATTCAAATAGGCTGGGGGCGATGTAGAAAATGATATCAACACATAGACTGTAACACCAGGTGGTGATGAGGGCTCTGAAGATAAGTAAGTCAGGAAGAAGGAAGCTGCCAAACACAACTGGAGTAGTGTCAAAAAGGTACATACCACTAATCTCAGCGCTTTGGGAGGCTGAGACAGGAGAATTGCTTGAGACCAGGAGTTTGAGACCAGCCTGGACAACATAATAAGACCCTGTCTCTACAAAAAAAAAAAAACTTAAAAATTAGTTCAGCATGGCGGTATGTGCTTGTAGTCCCAGCTACTCAGGAGGCGAGGCAGAAGTATTGCTTG
This sequence comes from Homo sapiens, assembly GCF_000001405.40. NCBI lineage: Eukaryota > Metazoa > Chordata > Mammalia > Primates > Hominidae > Homo > Homo sapiens. Next base: position 25,884,950 of record NC_000015.10, on the reverse strand, counting down.
AGCCCAGGAGTTTGAGGCTTCAGTGAGCTATGGTCATGCCACTGCACTCCAGCTGGGGTGAGAGAGAGACCCTGTCTCTAAAAAATAATAACAAAATGAAATAAAAAGGGACTGACTTGGATGTCAGTGCATTAGGAAAGGTCTTTGAGAAAGTTGACAGCCTAATGCAGTGACAGTGGCAGTTAGACAGGCATCGATTGCTCAGACTCACAGATCTGCAGATTATTATGAGGCGGAATCCAATATGCTGTGTACAGCAACCACATTAAAGTAAGGTTATGCATCACAGCCAAAGGGCGTCTCCCAATAAGGGGCCAAGAGAGGTCAGGGCAGGCTCCTCATGCTCCCTCTGAAAGCACTTGGCCAGATGCACCCTCTCTCAGATCAGGACCTAGGAGCTACAGAGGCATGCACTAAGCAGGCTGTTAAAGCTGAACCAAGAAGCAGAGCCAAACTGGGAAGGTGAGGTGCAAGGGACCACAGAGACTGAGTGCAGGGAGCAGAGGCAGGCAGCGGGTGTTTGCGTGCTTTTTGTAAGTATTTTGGTTCATCTTAGTGTGTCCACTTAATGGAGCTAGAATAAGTCAGCAATTTCCATGTGATAGTCCATAATTAAAAGAAATAATACCATGTTGTTATAAGGAAAAGAGAGTTGAATAAGAGGTTCTTGGCTTCATTAAGCCAATTAGATCAGTTTCCTTCTGGGAAAGGCACAATGATTCCTACCGCACCAGAGAATTCAAGTGAACCCTGACAGCTCTCAGGATTAGGAAGTATTTGCTCAAGCATGGAAGTCAAGCTTCAGGGGTGGCTAAAGAATGTCTGAGCCTGACTATGCAGATGCCACGCGTAACTAGACTGTGGGAGGATAGCATATATCGACAGTAAGTCATCCAAAGGGCTTCTAATTTTTGACTTATTATAAAAGCATACTGCACATTCCGGGAAGTGCACACATCATAATGTACAGTTAAAGGATTACCACAAAGTAAATACAGTCATGCCAAGAAGTAGAGCATTGCCAACACTCCAGAAGATCCCTTATGCTTTCCCCAGCCACTGACACCTTTCCTTCTTAAAGGTAACAACAAAAGTAAAAAGAAATGCAAAAACCCAGGCAACTGGCATTCTGTTCAGTTAATAGAATATTACAAAACCTCACAAAGTTCCCTTAAGACCCTTTCCAATCATTTTCCACCCCTCAATGCCAGAGGCAACCATTGTTTAGACTGTTTTCCAAGCTACATTAGTTTTGCCTATCCATGGACTTCATCTACATAGAATCAAACATTAGGGAGTCTTTCATCTCTGGCTTCTTTCACTCAGCATAATGTACTGTGATTCATCTATGTTCTTGAATGTATCCTTGATATTATTGAATAACAGTCCATCATATGGAAATAACACATTTTGTTTATCCATTCACTTGTCGATAGACATTGCAGTGGTTTCTAGTTTTTGGCTATTTTGAATAAAGCTGCAATGAACAACCATTTTATGTACATATATTTTCATTTATCTAGAGTACATGACTAGGACTAGAATTGCTGATCACAGATAAACATATTTCATTAAAACAGAAACTACCACACATAGTTCCATAGTGGTTGTGCTGATGCTGGACAGGCGAGCCCCCAAATTGGGGCTTAGCCTGGGAGGGCTCTTGGCTTCACCCAGGAAAGAATTCAAGGGTGAACCGGTGGTGTTAAACAGCAACTTTGATGGCAGCACAGTGCACAGCAGTAGCAGGGGGTACTGCTCCTTGTGAAGCGGGGCTAACCACAGGCAGTGTGCCCAGAGTAGCAGCTCAGGGGGGTTCCGCAGTCATTTCATACCCACTTTTAATCACAGGCAAATCAAGGGGTGGATTATACAGAAATTTCTAGAAAAAAGATGGTAACTTCTGGGTTGTCAGGTCATTGTCATGGAAAGGGGTGGTAACTTCTGGTGTTGCCATGGCAATGGTAAACTGACATGGCACTGGTGGGCATGTCTTATGGAGAGGTGCTTTTGCCTCTTCCCTGTTTCAGCTAGTCTTCAATCTGGTCTGGAGTCTGAGCCCCACCTCTGGAGTCAAGTCCCACCTCCCGCCTCAGTACCTGCTTTACACTTCCACCTGCAATGCCTGAGAGTTCCAGCTGCTTCACATTCTTTGCCAATATTTGGTGGTATTATTCCTTTTCACTTGAGCCATTCTAATCTGTGTGTAATTGTACCACCTGGGCCTGGAGTTTCCTTTATGGGAAGGACTTTGATTTTGTTTTTATTTCTATTTTTATTCATTTTAAATTTGAGATGGACATTTGGTCTGTTGCCCAGGCTGGAGTGCAGTGACACAATCATGATTCACTGCAACCTCGACCTCCCAGGCTCAAGCAGTCCTCCTGCCTCAGTCTCCCAGGAAGCTGGGACTAAAAGTGTTCACCACCATGCCTGGCTAATTTTTTAAATTTATTTTTAAGAGAGATGAGATCTCACTATGTTTCCCAGGCTAATCTTGAAATCCTGGGCTCAAGTGATCCTCCAGCCTAGGCCTCCCAGAGTGCTGGGATTACAGGCATGAGCTACTTACTGCACCTGGCCTAGGACTTAGATTTTGAATTTAATATCTTTAACTGATATAGAGCTATTCAAATTTTACCTTCATCTTGCACTGGTTTTGGTAAACTGTTTTTCAAAGAAATATCCTATAACATCTAATTTGTTGAATGTATTAGAAGTCCACTATGTTGACTTGTTGTTGTTTTAATAACTATATGTTGTAGTGTTGCAGTGAGAGTGCGATTTCATTTAACCTCCACTTTTTTGCTATCAGTGTCATATATTTTAAATTTGCATAAGTTAGAAACCTCACAATAGATTGGTATAATTTTTTGTTTAAACAATTGCTTGCTTTTCAAAGACATTCAGAAATTAAATATAATACAGTATCTTTTTTGGTTTATATTTACAATATCCAGTCTTCTCCACTTCTTTTCACCTGAAGAACTTTTAGCTTCTCCTCTAACTCAGGTCAGCTGGTAGTGAATTCTCTCAGCTTTTGTTTATCTTAAACTGTCCTTATTTCACACTGTCCTTATTTTTGACAGATATTTCTTCCTCGATATAGAATTATAGGTTGATGGGTTTTGATGAGAAGTAGCTGAATTTATATATAATTTCTCTCTATGTAACATGTCTGGTTTTATCTGGCTATTTTAAAGATTTTCTCCTCATCTTTGATTTTCAGCTGTTTGACTCTATTGGGCCTAGTTGTATTTTTGTTTTATTTATCCTGCCTGCAGTTTTCTGAGCTTCTTGGAGGCTTATGGAAGCTTATATTTTAAACAAATTTGGGAAATAATTGGCCATTATTTTCTCAAAACATTTTTCTGACTCATTCTCTTTCTGTTCTCCTCCTAAGACTCCATCTTTCCATATTGTAGACTATTGAATATTGTCCTACAGCTCAATGAATCTCTGCATACTTTTTCTCCCTAATATTAAGATTGGATAATTTGCATTTATCTATATGAATGTAAGCAGAGTATGCTTTGATCATCTTCAATCTACTGCTAGGGCCATCCAGTGAAATCTTCATTTCATACATTGTACTGTTCTAGAATATCCATTTAGTTCTTTTTACAGTTTCTATTTTTTCCACTGATGTCCCTTATATTAAAATTTATTATGACCATTGTGTATGCTAGGTTGCTGAGAGTCTTTTTCTTCTTGGTCTTCTTTTAGATCTGTGCGTTTTATTCTGGCAGCCAGTTAAGGTACTGGTGGTTCAGCTTGATCCAGCTAAGGCTTGCTTCTGGACTTTGATATTGACATTGTGGGTCTAAAGTAGCCCTTACTCTTTTTTTTTTTTTTTTTTTTTGAGGCAGAGTCTCACTCTGTCGCCCAGGTTGGATTGCAGTGGCGTAATCTTGACTCACTGCAACCTCTGCCTCCCAGGTTCAAGTGATTCTCCTGCCTCAGCCTTCCAAGTAGCTGGGATTACAGGCACGTGCCACTATGCCTGGCTAATTTTTGTATTTTCAGTAGAGACAGGGTTTCGTCGTGTTGGCCAGGCTGGTCTCAAACTCCTGACCTCAGGTGATCCATCCACTTTGGCCTCCCAAAGTGCTGGGATTACAGGCGTGAGCCATCGCCCCTGGCTGAATAGCCCTTACTCTGACTGATGTAGTCCTGTCCCTCAGACATGGCCTTGCTGTGGTCTCACTTGAATACTCAGAGTGTTCACCATTCTGTTTCTGGTGAGGCAGAACTCCTGTGTCTCCCAGCACTCCAAGCACTACACAGTCTCTGGAATTTCCATTCAATCTAGCAGCTGCTCACTGCCAGGCCTTGCAATTGACCAACGCAGAAGCATAGCTTAGTATCTAGCCAAAGACTTAAGCAGACACTGTGCAGACTTTTAAACTCCTTCTCTGCACAGTTCCCCATTCTTTCTGATACCCTGTCCTTCAAATTGCAGCTGCCTAAGCCACCCTGAGCTTCAAGCAAGGCCTCTATTACATGGTGAGACCATCAGTCATGCTCTGGGTGGATTCCACTTCCTCCCATCTCCAGCTGCAGTTTGGAAAATGCCCTCAGGTGGCAAACAGAGGCAATTTTGGTGCCCACCCTACACTCTCTTCCTCTTTCAGGGATCACAGTTCAATCTTGCTATTGCCTGGTGCTCAGAAACAATTACCTTGGCTGGACACCGTGGCTCATGCCTGTAATCCCAACACTTTGGGAGGCTGAGACAGGAGGATTGCTTGAGGCCAGGAGACCAGCCTGAGCAGCATAGTGAGGACTCCTCTCTATAAAGTAAATAACTAAATTAGGTGGGTATGCAGCACATACCTGTAGTCCCAGCTACTCTGGAAGCTGAGGTGGGAGGATTGCTTGAGCCCCAGAGGTCAAGGCTGCAGTGAGCTATGATCGTAACCACTGAACTCCAGCCCGAGCTACGGAGTGAAATCCTGTCTCAAAACAACAAAACTCCTCACCTATTTTGCCCATATTTATAGTTGTTGATGGTGGAAAGGTTAGTCTGGTATCAGTGACTCCATCATATGGCAAGAAATGAAAGTAAATTGCCAAGAGTTTCATTTTCTTTTTAAATTTGTACTTTAATGATTTATAAACATCATCATATACAGGTTATATTTTACAACATGTTGTCCAACCTTTAAAACAAACAAAGAAACTTCAACAAATGTAAAGTAAGGAAACAGATTTTTAAGTAGCTTGGTTTTCAAAAAATTCATTTTGAGGAAAGCGGAGCCATGGAAAGGTCTTCTGCTGACAATGCTGCTACGCTACCTTCCACCACGCCAGCAGAGTCCCTGGATGCTAGGATCTAAATGCATTTGGCAGACACAGCTGAGAAATAGATGTGTGACGTTAATAAAAGAAACAGTTTAAAAATGCATGCTTTACTCCAATCTGTACCTATATTTTTATATTTTTGTCTTCTGCAGCACTCTCATTTGCTTGGAGTTTATAAATTATTGCACTTGCCAGAGCCATCATTCTAATAATAAAAATGCTAAATTTAAACTTTCACTTTTTTGAACTAAAACTCTCAATTCTGCCTGTAATCTCAGCTACTTGGGAAGCTGAGGCAGGAGAATTGCTTGAACCCAGGAGGTGGAGATTGCAGTGAGCTGAGATCGTGCCATTGCACTCCAGCCTGGGTGAGTAAGACTCTGTCTCAAAAAACATACAAAAAAGAAAATAAACAAAAAATACCCTCTCAATTCTACTGGAAATATAACCTAAGGTTTTTTTTGTTTTTGTTTTTGTTTTGTTTGTTTGTTTGTTTTTTACTTTAAGTTCTGGGATACATGTGCAGAATGTGCAGGTTTGTTATGTAGGTATACATGTGCCATGGTGGTTTGCTGCACCTGTCAACCCATCATCTAGGTTTTAAGTCCCGCATGCATTAGGTATTCGTCCTTTTACTCTCCCTCCTCCTTCCCCCCACCCCACAACAGGCCCTGGTGTGTGACATTCCCCTCCCTGTGTCCATGTATTCTCATTGTTCAACTCCCATTCATGAGTGAGAACATGCTGTGTTTGGTTTTCTGTTCCTGTGTTAGTTTGCTGAGAATGATGGTTTCCAGCTTCATCCATGTCCCTGTGAAGGATATGAACTCATTTGTTTTTATTGCTGCATAGTATTCCATGGTGTATATGTGTCACATTTTCTTTATCCAGTCTATCATTAATGGGCATTTCAGTTGGTTCCAAGTCTTTGCTATTGTAAATAGTGCTGCAGTAAACATACGTGTGCATGTGTCTTTATGGCAGAATGATTTATGATCCTTTGTAACCCAAGTTTTATTTTAAAAAAAAGTTAAAGTTTCAACCAAGCCAGAAGATCATAACTACAGAGAAAGGAAAAGAACATGAAATATCCAGTTTTCTACATGGGTAGCTAAAGTATGTAATGTATGTGCATTACTTTTACTCAAAGTTGCTTTTTTCTTTTAGAGACAGACTCTTGCTCTGTTGCCCAGGCTGGAGTGGAGTGGAGTGGCATGATCATAGCTCACTGCAGCCTCCAACTCCTGGGCTCAAGCAATTCTCCTGCCTCAGCCTAAGTAGCTGGACTACAGATGTGTGCCACCATGCCTAGCTAATCTCTTTGCTTTTTAAAAATTTTTTTGTAGATACAGGTTCTCACTCTATTGCCCAGGCTGGTTTTGAATTCCTGGACTCAAGTGATCCTCCTGCCTCAGCCTCCCAAAATGTTGGGATTACAGGCATGAGCCACTGCACCCACGCTCAAAGTTGCCTTTGTGGTGTGGAAGCCATTTCTCTTTATTCTAACTGCCTCTAATGAGGCAAACATGTTTCATGTCTAGATTATCTGCAGCCAGATGGGGAAAGCGTTTAGGATCTAGAACTTGTCAGATAATATGTGTAAAATTATGTTTGGGTAGCTGAAGACCGAAGGAAGTTGGTAGAATCATGCAATGCCTCACCACATCTAGGATACAGAACTAACACACTGATATAACTCAAATAAGAGCCTCTTTTACCTGGCCCACTGCCTCCGTCTGTACTTATTCCTTACCACACCTAAATTCCAGACATACTGAAACTCTTGCGAAAATACTTGGTGATCTTATTCTTTGCTTCCACCACTCTCTCTGCTGCGCCTCCTTCTTGTTTCTGTGTGACAAGCTCCTACTCTCCTTTCACGACCCAGTCAAGGATGGCCTCTTGACTACCTCTCTCCAGGTAGATTTTTTTTTTTTTTTCTTTTTTGAGATGGAGTCTCGCTCTGTCGCCCAGGCCGGAGTGCAGTGGCGCCATCTTGGCTCACTGCAAGCTCCGCCTCCCAGGTTCACACCATTATCCTGTCTCAGCCTCCCTCGTAGCTGGGACTACAGGCGCCCGCCACCATGCCCGGCTAATTTTTTGTATTTTTAGTAGAGATGAGGTTTCACCATGTTAGCCAGGATGGTCTCGATCTCCTGACCTAGTGATCCACCCGCCTCGGCCTCCCAAAGTGCTGGCATTACAGGCGTGAGCCACTGCACCCAGCCCTCTCTGGGTAGTATTAACAGTTCTTTGACTTCCAGAGCCCTGCAGAGGTTTCTGTCATGGCACTTGGTGCCATGGTATCACATAGGGGCACTTGGTGTTTACAAGCGGAAGGAGGTAGGATTTAGAGAAGTTGATCTTGGTGACTGGAGCTTTCTATTAGTCATTTGGGAGAGAACGGATATAGGAGGCATAAAATGAGCAACAGCATGTTTTCAGGTTGCTTTATTTCCAAAATTTGCTCTTGGGAATCAAAAAGGAAGGGCTGAGGTGGTATATTACAGCAGAGATGGAAATGCAGTGGGAGGGAGAGTGAGACCACCGAAGACCACCCCGCGGCAGGGGGACTGGAGGAGGTGGCCTGGGCGGGGCCTCTGGCCTGTGAGCTGTTGGGGAAACCACAGCTGGCACTGAAAGCCTGCCTAGCTTCGCCCTACGTAGCTCCTGGGGGCGACACCTGACAGCCGTGGAGGCAGGCAGTGCCTGCAGACAGGCTGGAATTGGCTGGAGCCTCAAATGCTGCTCCACGTTCTGCCCTTTGCCTTGGCTTGCTACCCACAGTTGTCATCCTGAATTTTCCAACAGGGAATTCCTTTCCTGTGTTTAGATATGATGCTGAGCCTTCTCAGAACTGTCCTGGTAGACATTCTTTCCCGGGCAACGGCCCAGAACGCATCTCTGTCTTTCTAAAATGGAGATGGGCTCCTTGACACCTAGAGGAGCAACAGAGGGTGTGAAGGAAAAATTTCAGACTTAACACTTGAATGTGGCTGGGGAGGGTGATGTTTTGTCATAATACAAGTGTCTCCTCCGCTCAACATGTCTCCAGAGGGCAGAGACACAGCCCTGTTTAGCACGACTGAAGCAGCATATCCACCACTGTTTGTTGCTTGTCTGCAACAAGATAAGGAACTTCTCAGAACATAAAGCAAACACACTGCTTCCTTGCTTCCTTCCCTGAGAGTGTCTTTCCTAACAGGCAGTGCACGAGCCGTCTGCAGACCACACCTGAAGTAGCACTGACTCTGCATCCTTGCACTCCTGATTGTTACTACAGAGCATGGCACATAGTGGGTGCTTCGTGGTACTGTTTGTGAAATAGTTATTTTCATGAATGAGTTGAGCTTTAGAACAATCATTGGAGGACTCAGGCCTTTTTCGGGAGAGTGGACCTTCTCTCTCCTCAGCAGTAATCACTTTCCTCTCTTAATTCCTTCTTCAGTAAAATATAATAGCAAATTGCTCTCTCTTGCTATCGCCCTTTTTCTCTGTCTCCATCTGTCTTATACATCTAATAATATATTATTGGTCCAAATATGATTTGATTATTCTATAAGATAAAATTGAATGTCCCTTTTTTCTTCCTTGTCTTGCTATCCTCCTGTAGCTGGTCATAGCAACAGTGACTCAATGAATGACTTAATCAGTCTTGCTTCTTAGGGATTACTATGGATTCATCTATGTCCTTCTCAAATTTATATGTTGAAGTCCTAACCCCAAGTATCTTAGAATGTGACTTTATTTGGAAATAGGGCTGTTGCAGATGTAATTCATTAAGTTACAATGAGGTCATGCTGGAGCAGGTGGGCCCTAATCCAATGTGACTGGTGTCCTTACAAAAAGGGGGAACGTGGACACACACACGCACACACACACACACAGAGAGAGAATGTCATGTGACCATAGGAGAAGCTATTGCAGTGATGTCTCTGCAAGACAAGAAATGCCAAAGATGAGCAGCAAACCGCAGAAGCCAGGGGAGAGACCGAGAACAGAGTCTCCCTCCCGGTCCTCAGAACCGGCCAACTCTGCTGGCACCTGGATTTCAGACTTTCGGCCTCCAGACCTGTGAGACACCTCATTTCTGTTCATGCCATCTAGTTGGTGGTGCTTTGTACAGCAGCCCTAGTGAAAAATATAGGAGTGTATTCTACACACTTTGTTCATATCCCACAAATGGGGCCTAACACGTGACCACACCTATCCTTTTCAGTTGAACCCAGGAGGCTGAGGCTGCCGTGAGCTGAGATTATACCACCGCACCCTGGCCTGGGCAACAGAGCAGGATCCTGCCTCAAAAAAAAAAAAAAAAAAAAGAAATAAAAGCAAAAAGAATTTTAAAATGTTGTTTACCTTTAATATGATAATATGTTAGGCTTTCATGCTACAGAAATCGGAAGTTTTTATGTCGTTCATTTTGCTGTTTGTGGCTTCTGGGTTTTGTCCTTGTTTAGAAAATTCTTCCCCCTCTAACACAAATATAACACGTACTTCTCTGGTACTTCCCCTTGTTAAAATGTTTTAATAATAAACCCCCTAGGTTGTATTTTAGTTTATGATGTGAAATAAGGATTTGACTTTTCTGCCCAAATTGTCTATGTTTCCAATGCCATATACTACACAGTACTTTCCTCACTCCATTGATTTCAAACTCCACGTTTCATCACAGACTAAATTTCCACACACACAGAAATGTTGGTGAGTTCTTATTTTTGTCCCCAGTGTGCATTCCTGTGTGAAAGCCACCAGAAATAATATCTTTAATTGACAGAGTAGATCTCTCTCTCTCATGATTATATTTCAGTAGTGGAATTTACATTGTTTCTCTGTGTGTGTGTGTGTGTGTGTGTGTGTGTGTGTGTGCAGCCCACCTTTAAGATACATCATTTGGAATACAAACATTATATGTTAGACATATGCTAGTTATAAAGCATATGAATATACAAATATATTACAATGAGAAAATTAACATTAATAAAATTAATAAAATAATCTTGATTTTTTCAAGTAATATTTATACTATACTAAATGTTGATATATTTAAATAATTATAGTTAAATATATTTTATATCAAAATTTATTTAAAATATAAATATATAATTAAATAATAATTAATAATTAAAATTAATAAAATAATCAACTTTACTTAGATTTCACCATGTACTTTGTGTGTATTTATATTTGTTCTGTGCAATTTTTCCTGTGAACACCACTCTGATTCAACACAGAAAGAGTCCATCATAGGGATCTCTTCCACCACCCTTTTATAGCCACCGCCATCTCCCTCTCTCTCCCCTTTGTAAAAATTGGCACCACCAACTAATTTACCCTCCATCTCTGTTGTTTTGCTGTTTCAAGAATGCTACATTAGGCCAGGCACTGTGGCTCATGCTTGTAATCCCAGCACTTTGACAGGCCAAGGCAGGCAGATCACTTGAGCCCAGGAGTTTGAGAAAACCCTGGGCAACATGGCAAGACCCTGTCTCTACAAAAAATACAAAAATTAGCTGGGCATGGTGGTGTGTATCTGCAGTCCCAGACACTTGGGAGCCTGAGGTGGGAGGATCACTTGAGCCCAGGAAGTCCAGGCTGCAGTGAGCTGAGATCACTCCGCTGCACTCCAGCCTATACGACAGAGCGAAACCCTGTCTCAAAAAAAAAAAAACACAAAAAACAAAAAACAAAAAACAGAAAATAAAAAGAATGCTACATTAATGGAATTGTATGATATGTAGACTTTAGAGATTGGCTTTCTTCACTCAGCACAAGTCTCTCAAGATCCATCCAAGTTGTGTGCCTCAATAGACCATGTCTTTTTATTGCTGAGTAGTTAATACCACAGTGTGGATGCACTATAATTTGTTTATCCTTTCACCTTTTGGAGGCATTTAACTTGTTTCCGGTTTCTGACTATTATGAATAGAGCTGCTATAAACATTTACATACAAGTTTTGTGTGAATGAGTTTTAATTTCTCTAGGATGAATGCCTAAGAGTACAATTGCTGAGTTGTATGGTAAGCACATGTTTAGTTTCACAAGAAACTACTTTATCACATATATAAGTATGCTTAACAAGATTGTGCTTAATCTTGCTAGTAGTATTAGTGCTCTGCAAAAATAGTATTGTACTACACGTGGTCATCCGGGACTTACATCCAACATAGTGTTTCCAAGATTTCTCCATGTTGTTGTGTATAACACAACATAGTGAGACACAGTCTGTACTAAGCCCGGGAAGTCAAGACTGCAGTGAGCTGAGATCACACCACTGCACACCAGCCTGGGCGTCAGTGTGAGTCCTTGTGTCAAAAAAAAAAAAAAAAAAAGAACATGTTTGTGTGTATATATAAATATATCAAGCAAATGATATATCTGTTTTCTTTCCTCTCTCATTCCCTCATCATGTAACTATAAGATATATTGAGCCAGGTGCCTTGGCTCACGTCTGTAATCCTAACACTTTGGCAGATTGAGGCAGGAGAATAGCTTGAGGTCAGGAGTTTGAAACCAGCCTGGGCAACCTAGAGAGACCCCTATCTCTATTAAGAAAAAAAAATTTTGACTTTATATCAATATTTAAGTATTGCTAATTTTACATAATATCATTTAAATTATGGGATATTGGCTGGGCTCAATGGCTCATGCCTGTAATCCCAGCACTATAGGAGCCTGAGACAGGAAGATCTCTTGAGCCCAGGAGTTCAAGACCAGCACGGGCAACACAGTGAGTCTCTGTTTCTAGAAACATACGTACAAACATACATACATAAATGGATATAGGAGAAGAGTAAACATTACTCAAGGACTTTACCTCCTCTTCTGGAGAAGGGATGGTTTAAGGAAATGCATATGGGTGCTAAATTGACAAGGGGTAGATTTGTGAAGATTAATTTTAAATGTTAATTTGACTAGATTAAGGGATATCCACATAGCCGGAAAAGCATTATTTCTATTTTATTTTTATATGTTATGTTATGTTTTATGATTTTTGAGATAAGGTCTCACTCTGTCACTCAGGCTCGAGTGCAGTGGCGCAATCGTGGCTCACTGTGACCTCAAACTCCTGAGCTCAAGTGATCCTCCCGCCTCAGCCTCCTGATTAGTGTGGACCACAGGCGCATGCCACCACACCTGGTTAATTTTTTTACTTTTTGTGAAGATGGGTCTCGCTAAAATGTCCAGGCTGGTCTCAAACTCCTGGGCTCAAGTGATCCTCCTGCCTTGACCTCCCAAAGTGCTGGGATTACAGGCATGAACCATGACGCTCATGCAATTTCTGGGTCTGTTTAGTGAGAGTGTTTCCAGAAGAGACTAGCATTTGAATCAACGGACTGAGGAAGGAAGATCTGCCCTCATCTGATGTGGGTAGGCACCATCCAATCAACCGAGGGCCTGGATAGAACAAGAAGGCAGAGGAAAGGTGAACCACCTTCTTTTCTGGAGTGGACCATCCATCGTCTCCTGCCTTGGACATCAGCACTCCAGATTCTCTAGCCTTCACACACCAAGATTTACAGCTGTGGCCCACCGGGTTCTCAGGCCTTTGACCTTGGACTGAGAGTTAAACCTTTGGCTTCCCTGGCTCTCAGACCTCAGTATTTGGACTGAGCCACACCACCGGCTCCCTTCGTTCTCCAGCTTGCAGAGGGCACATCATGGGACTTCTCAGTCTCCATAATCCTTGTAGCCAATTCCCACAGTCAGTCCCCTCTCATCCATCCATCCATCTATCCGTCTATCTATCCATCTATCTATCATCTCTATCCATCATCATCTACCTATCTATCCCATCTATTTATCTATCATCTATCTGTCTACCTATCTATCCATCTATCTATCATCTATCTACCTATTATCTATCTAATCTATCCATCTATCATCTCTATCCATCCATCATCTATCATATCTATCTAATCTATCTATACATCTATCATCTCTATCCATCCATCTATCTACCATCTATCATATCTATCATTTCTCTATCTAATCTATCATCTATCATCTCTATCTATCCATCCATCTATCATCTATCATATCTATCTATCCATCCATCCATTTAAATATCTATCTATCTAATCTATCCCTCCATCTACCTGTCATCTCTGTCTATCCATCTATCATCTATCTATCTATCTATCTATCTATCTATCTATCTATCTATCTATCATCTATCTAGCTAGCTAGCTAATTATTTCTATCTTTCTATTAATATCTATCTTCTATTCTTGCTGTTTCTCTGGAGAATCCTGACTAATACAGCTATTTTATAGTTCATTTGTTGAGTTGAAAAAATAAATCCAGCTGGAATATTAGTTCGGAAAATGTATAAGATCAACTGGTTACTTTCAGAGTTCCAATCAGGGACATGGCATATTTTATATCTATTGAGATCTTCCTTTATCACATTCAGTAAAATTTTAAGTTGACTAGTCATGTGACAACATACTTCTCATCTATAATATTGGGATAAACATTCTCCTGTCTCAGTGAATGGCCAGGAGGGCGGAGAAAATGACTAGAAAATGAGAAGCACATGCCTGGCTGGTGTTACATGTGCTACACAGGCCAAATATTACTCCTGCTGTTGTTTGCTACAATTATTTGCAAACATCTTGAACTGGTTTTTGTTATTTTTCCTTAAATATTTTATTCTAAAAATGAGACCATTTTTGTTCATTTACTGCATTTTCTAATTGGCTATTGCTTGCATAGGAGTAACTTACTGATTTGTACATCTTTATTGTATAGTTAGCCTCATTACTAACTACTTCCCTGATAAAAACCACAGTTTATTACCTGGGCATAGTGGCATGCCTGTAGTCCCAGCTACTTGGAGGGCTGAGATGGGAGAACCACTTGAGCCCACGAGGTCGAGGCTGCAGTGAGCTGTAATTGCTCCACTGCACTCCAGCCTGGGTGACAAAGCTAGATCTTGTCTCAAAAAAAACCTCACAAAGTTGCAAATAGTGATAGATTTTGCCTTTACACCTATAAATATTACTATAGAATAAAAAAGAAAACTACAAATAAACTATTTTCCCTTGCAATTCTGCTATCCAGTTTTAATAGCAGGTTTTGCTAACCTTGCAGAATAAATTGAGAGGGTTTCAATATCTTTTTGTACTGCATTATAAATAAAATTGAGGAATAAACTATTTTGTAAACTTTGTCAAATATTCTCCATTGCGTGGTTTTGGAAGATGAGATTCTGAGGACCCGTTCAAGATCTTCCGGAGATTGTTAATCTATTCGAAATACGTGCTTATTCCTTATTAATTTATATTTTGTTTATTATATAAATACGTTAGCATGATATCAAGGTAAATACTTTTTCTTTCAGCACACAAGCACAAGTGTTGTCTCTCTGAGTCTTTGCTTGTCTGCAAATGCATTTAATTGTCAGGATCGTTGAATATCAATTTGACTAACAGAGAAGCTTATATTCAAAACCTACTTCTCAAAAAATTCTGTTGATGTTTTTCCATCACAGAATGAAGGTGAACATTCATCTACCGGATATTTAGTAAGAAGCCACCCTGCGCGGTGCTCTTCTAGGCACAGGGGCTACCTTGCAGCAGTGAAAGAGGCAGACACTGACTCCTGCCTTGTGGAGCTGAACGTCTTGCCACGAAGGAGAAGAGGCAGTCAGCTAACACGTGGGATGCCTATCGGTGCAAATTCAAATAGAGCTGGAAGGGGATGTGGAGCCCTGGGTGGGTTGTGTAGGAAGTGCCTGGAGAGTTGCAACCCAGCTGGGCTGAGCTCTCTGGTGTCTTCCTTCTGCCCGGTCTTGGTTTCATTATCTTAGTTGCCCTGTTAGTTCCCTGTGGCTTTAAAATACATTTTTTGTAAGCATTTTGTCCATCTTTCCTAGATGTCTCCTGAAGGGCTGTCCCAATTTTCTTGGTCTGCTACTGGCGCAGGCAAAAGTGAGAGGGATTTTTCTGGATCCACCCTCTCCCCAATATGACCATCTAGATTGTTAATGTTGCCACTTTGTGGGTTTTTTTTTAATGTGTTACCTGCTGTGCTTTCTACTTCCAAGAATTTTTGGCTGTTCCTCATTTACTTCCTTTCCATGGCAATTTTATAGATGGGCTGGTCTTCTGGATATCTAAGGACAATAACGGTGATTTCTAATGTTATTGTCTGTGTTCTGCATTGGCTCTTTTTCCTCAGAGAGGGGAAACTCACTTGGGTGAAGTTTGCTTTTTTTTTTTCATATTACCAGTTGTTCTAAAACAATCCAGTGACTCTTGACTGTAATATAGATTCATGCTTATCATTGCAGATATCGACCAGAGGTTCTTAAACCTGGCTGCAATTGGAATCACCCAAGAAGCTTTTAAAAAATCTGGGTGCTGGGGCCTGGTCCCCATGTGTACTGAGTCTGGAGCAAGGCTTGGGCATTGCTTGGGCATTAGTAGCTCATCAGGTAACCTTAAGGAGCAGCCGGTCTTAAGAGCAGCTACTTGAAATAACCAGCGTGGGACTTGCAGTGGCATCCTGGATGTAGCAACATGGCGGCCTCGTTATTTTCCCACCTGCGCCTCATCCTAGAATGGCCTGCTTTCTCTGATTTTGAGCCTTCTCAAGGGATCTACTGGAAAAACTCACTTTTTTAAAAAAAGTGTCCTTGCTTACTTAACTCTGTAATATGTTTTCTTTTTTCTTTTCTTTTTTTTTTGAGACTGAGTCTCGCACTGTCTCCCAGGCTGGAGTGCAGTGGCGGGATCTCAGCTCACTGCAACCTCCGCCTCCCAGGCTCAAGAGATTCTCCTGCCTCAGCCTCCCGAGTAGCTGGGATTACAGACGCGCGCCACCACGCCCTGCTAAGTTTTTGTATTTTTAGTAGAGACGGGGTTTCAACATGTTGGCCACGCTGGTCTGGAACTCCTGACCTTGTGATTCGCCCGCCTCGGCCTCCCAAAGTGCTGGGATTACAGGCATGAGCCACCGCGCGTGGACAATATGTTTTCTCATATGTGTTAGACTTTCCCGCTAATGTGTTCATCAGTTTTATGTATTCCTGACATCCCTCAATATCTTCTGAGATATCTTTTCGTCTTCTGAAGGTACTTTTTCCCAGCTCCCCAGCACAACTGTACATTTATCTTTTTGAAAAATATCATGTGTTTTGTAAAGGAAATTTAGTTTGGAAAAACGGAGAACAAATTATCTCAGGCAGGCATATCAAACTATGAATTCCTTAGAAATTATGGTATGTGGGATAAGGAAAAGCTTAAAAATAAAAAATATAAATTTTTGCTTCTCTCTCTAGAATATATTTTTTTTTTTTTGACGGAGTTCACTCTTGTTGCCCAGGCTGGAGTGCAATGGTACAACCTCGGCTCACTGCAACCTCCACCTCCCTGGTTCAAGCGATTCTCTTGCCTTAGCCTCCTGAGTAGCTGGGATTACAGGCATGTGCCACCACACCCGGCTAATTTTGTATTTTTAGTGGAGATTGGGTTTCTCTGTGTTGGTCAGGTGGGTCTCGAACTCCCGACCTCAGGTAATCCGCCTGTCTCGACCTCCCAAAGTGCTGGGATTACAGGCATGAGTCACTGTGCCCGGCCAGAATTTTGTATTTTTAGGATTATGTACATAATCATAGATTTAGCTTACTCAATCATTAGTCAATTACTTTTGTCCAAAATTTCACAGCTCTGTATTTTGGAAGTTTTTGGATGATGCTGAGGCCATATTAATTAATAGGTAGCATCTGTGCCTGGTTTTTCATATTACAAATTTCAGAATCTGGCTGGACCCAGGTGGGAGGATTGCTTGAGCCCAGGAGTTTGAGGCCACCCTGGGCAACATAGGGGGACCCTGTCTCTTTCTAAAAATTAAAAATAAAAATAGTTTATTTATTTTTGAGATGAAGTCTTGCTCTGTCACCCAGGAGTGCAGTGGCACAATCTCGGCTCACTGCAACCTCCACCTCCCAGGTTCAAGCAATTCTCCTTCCTTGACCTCCCAAGTGGCTGGAATTACAGGTGTGCATCACCATGCCCAGCTAATTTTTGCATTTTTAGTAGAGACGAGATTTCACCATGTTGTCTAGGCTGGTCTTGAACTCCTAACCTCAAGTGATCCTGCCCACCTCGTATCCTAAAGTGCTGGGATTACAGGAATGAACCACCACGCCCAGCCAAAAATTAAAAATATTTAAAATAAAAATTTTAAAAATGTCAGAATCTGTTATGCCTATTTGTAAGGGCAGTCACTAGAGTAAATATTAAACAATGCTGTCAGGTTAAAATGTTTTAGACTGTGATTCTTACTTATTCCATAATTATTTATTTCACCAGCCATTAGAGGTACTGATTCTTGGTATCTGAAAACTGGAAACAATCTTGATGATTGTCTCATTCAATTCTCTATACTTCTTAGTTGGAAAGTAACACCCAGAGTCTCTTTTTATGCCCTGTGTGCATCTCGCGCATCTAGGTGCGATCTCATCACATAGCTCTAACCCCCAGGTGTCTCCCAGCATCCCCCACAGCTGTGTCACCAGTGTGGACCTTTGCTGTCATGTCCGGTCTTCGATACGCCACTGCCCACTTGCCATCTCACACTTAACATGGCTTATGCTGAGCTTGCATTTTCTCCTTAAACCACTTCATTTATTTTTCTCACTGAAACATCCAACCTGTTGGCCAGTCACATTAGCTCTGCCTGGAAGACGTACTTCCAATTTGTCCATGTCTGTCTATCCAATGCCAGGTGTAAGCCACCTCTTAATTTACACCTCTCCTGCTCCAACTCTGCTCGGAATCAATTTTCTATCTATTAAAAGAGCATATAAGATCTTCTCATCTCACGCCTCTCTGCTTGGGGCAGCCCATGGCTCCCTATTGCAGTTGGAGCAAATCCAGAGACTTGTCCTTTCCAAAGGCTAGTGAAGCCCTAAATGCTGGCCACTCTGCTGCTCCTCATGGCTACCCTCTCCTGCATCCAGACCTGCTCTTGACCCCAGACTGACATCACCACTGCCAGCACGACTCCTGCTCCTGAGGGCTGGTGGGCACCTCCAGTTCTGCCTCATCTTCTGTCTTCCCAACTCACTAGATGAAACTTGGGTTTTTAGCTGTTGGGCCACCCTCACCTCCTCTCTTGCACATCCCACAACCATTCCAACAGCATGTCCCGCATGCTCTGAGGAGGCTATGTCCCACATCCACCATGGCCACCCAGCCTGAGCCACAGCACCTTTGCAGGATCACTGCAGTGGCCGCTCGCCACGACGTCTCCCTTCTTCTGCCCTGGCCCTCTACATTCTATTTACATTGCAGCAGGAGTGATCTCTGGAAACCTCGGTAAAGCCACTTGATGCCACTTCTCAAAATCCTCCCAAGCTTTCCCTCTCGCTCAAAAGCCAAAATCCTCACCGGGATCCACAAGGCCCCACATGACCTCACTCTCGGCCACGTCTCCAATCTCCCACTCAGCTCCAGCTACCCCGGCTTCCTTGCTGGGCCTGAAATCCCTGAACGCTCCCTATCCCGCCCCGTGCTTACCATTTCTTCCCTAGGTGCCTGCACAGCTTGTGTCCCTAGGCCTCCGCTCAGTGTTGCTTGAGAAGCCTCCTTGGACCGCCCAATTGACAGGAGCAAGAGCAGGATCCCACCCCTCCCAGCCCTGGTTTCAGGTGTCCCTTCATTTTCTGAGCCATCTTTGTTGGGATTCCCACGTGAGGACTTAGTGTTCCGGGGAGCAGAAACTTACTGTGTTTCCCAGGTGTCCCCATTGCCTAAAGCAGAAGCTGTGGGGTTGAAGGTTTTAGAATGAGTGTGAGGCAGAAGCCCCACCTGTTTCTTAAACACATTGAGATTTCTCCTTCTTTGGGACCTTTTGACAGAGCTGCCCCCTCTGTCTGGAAGCCTCTTCCACCTGATCTTGTCCCATTCAGGTTTCAACTCCAGTGCCTCTCTTCGAAAAGGCCATCCCTCATCCCTTCCAAAGCCCTCCGTGGGCTCTCATGGTTTTTCGTTCAGTTGCTGCAGCTCCATGACAACATCTTGTCCTCTCTAGCTCTCCGATGAATTCCTGTGCCTGGAACATTGCCGGGCATACAGCAGGGGATGAGTAAGTATTTGCCGAACAAGGACACTTACAGTGGTTCTCATGGCCTATAGCAGGCCCTTGTTAGAGCCCTGTGGTGCAGATGGCCAACCCAGAGTTGACCAGACCACATCAGAGCCTCATCCTCGCCCCAGCAGGCCAGGGTCTCAGAGTCCAGCTGGCAGAAGACACCTGAGCTCAAAACCCCTCCACGATTCCCCAGATCACACAGCTTGGAGACCTTTCCAGAGGTGAGCTGAGCTAGGCCTTCCTGGAAATCCTGACTTTGCACTGGGGAAGAGCAGGTGGAAAAAGATTCCAGACTTGAGGAGCATTGTGACTCACAGAATCTTGGAACCTTAGAGCGGAATGTGGATGGGATGAGTAAGGACTGTTCTGAGAAGGATAAGGAGACCTCTCACCTTGGGGCTGGGCCTGAACCAGGGAGGGGCTGAAGAAAATCAGCAAGCTGGTTCCCCTCAGGGCCTCAAGGGACCTCTGCCTGAGGAATCAGCATTTGGCTTTGTAAGCACCAGGAGTACTCCTGGAAGCTCCAGGGTAAGCAAATGGAATGAGGCGGTAATTACTTTGGCAACAGTGTGGACTGGCTGAAGCTGGGAGTCTGGTAGGCGCGGACACCCCTGGAGACTTTGGGCGAAGGGTCCACGGGGATGCCTGTGAAGACAGGAGGCCGAAGTGTAGGGAGGCCGAAGGCCTCGGGGGTCACCAGGTGGGCTGGTAGAGGAAAACACGGAGCCATGGGATGTGAGGCCTCAAGACTGCAGGCGCTGTGGGCCTTCATTTGCAGTTGATGCTCCGTTTGGGTTTCTGCTGGTTGACTGTGAGACCTGACTCCTTTCCCCAACAATGCAGACTTCAGCCAAACCTTTCCCTGATCTGGGCCTCTACATGTCAAAAGCCCACCCCTGTGACTGGGGGATGGGATTATTTTCTTCACACCTGTCACCACTCTACCTTCTAACACTGGGTTCTGGGCAACATTGTGGATGGTGGCAAAACTGGGCAGAGATGTAAGAATGTCATAACTGGAGCCGGGTAAGCCAGGGTGCTGGAGGGGAGGGCCTCCCCAAGCCAGGGTCCTGGCGAAGACGTGATTTGAGTCCATCCAGGGCAGTGCCTTGTTAGCAGGCACCCCCAGGAAGAGCCTGGGGCCACGGCCAACCGCCCAGCCACGGCCTCCTGGGCAAGAAATAACTGCTTCTCATCTCTGTACTTCTTGAGTGGGAGGCAAACAGTCACAGCCATGAAACATCTGTGGGGTCTCACTGCGGACGTGGGGGACTCCCAGCTCCTTTTTCCATGCCGTGCTTATTCTCCCACCCCTTCTCGGATGCCCCATGATGTGGAGGGGAGCCCTTCGCCCCACACTTCTGGGACACCCTCCTGACGCTCCCCTCTCCTCCCCACAACCATCCTCGCCTCCCCACAACCATCCTCGCCTCCCCCGCCGTCCGGGCCATGACAGCCACCTCAGAGCTACAGCGCACAAGGAGCGTTTCGGTCCTCATGATTTCCCAGGGAGGGAAACAGACACTCAAATACCTGCAAACCAAATTCTGTCTTTGCTATAGCGATATATTTCTCCTTTCCATGAAGAAAGAACAGAAAAAAGAAAAAGAATTTATTTAGGAGAGGAAGGAAAGGCAGTAATGATGATGGTGGAAAGGAAACGGTCTAGTTCGCCCAACAACGGAATCTGAAAGTGGTGGGGGCTGGGAAGTGGGGTAGGAAAGAAGTTCTTAGAGGCAACGCGGAATCGCCCTTCCCAGGGCTCCCCAGGAGCAGAGGTCCTGCGTAAAAAAGACTTAAAAATTGGAGCACTGGATGCCATGGATCCTTTGGATTTTGATTCCAGTTGATCCCTGGAGTAAGGTCCTAACCGGGGTCTCCCGAGGTCGTTTCGCCGTCCAGGATGGAGCAGGTCTGGCCCCTGGAAGGGCGCGCGGGCTGCTTGGGGACGGGGGCGCCTTTTCTCGCGCTTCGCGGTTTCCTCTCTCCTACTGCAGGCAGCGCGCGTTTGCAGCGTTTTGGGACCGAACTGATGCTTCTGGGAAACGAAACTAAACCTCTCTGAAGTTTCCAGCTCGGGCTTTTTTTGTTTCCCGCTATCCGGCGTGGCCCAGTCCGGGCGCGGAACGAGGGCGGGGCCGTGGCCACCGCGGCGGAAACGACCCGGGCCGGGGGCGGGCGGCGAGGACAAGGGGGCTCTGTGCGGCACCCGCCCAGCTTGCGCCCTGGGGACTGCGGCCGGGCGGCGGGGCTGGACGGGAGTGGACGGGGCTGGGCGCGGGCTGGGCGCGCTGGGCCGGCCAGGCGGCGCGCTGACCGCGGTCTCCGTGCGTCCCGCAGGCGGGGAGCTCGCACCGCCGCGCCCGGGCCGCGAGTGATGATAACCTAAGAGGCCGGCGCGGGCGGGCGTGAGCGGCGGAGGAGCCGGGCGCGGCGACACGCGGCCATGGAGCGGGAGCCGGCGGGGACCGAGGAGCCCGGGCCTCCGGGACGGCGGAGGCGCCGAGAGGGCAGGACGCGCACGGTGCGCTCCAACCTGCTGCCGCCCCCGGGCGCCGAGGACCCTGCGGCTGGCGCGGCCAAGGGCGAGCGGCGACGGCGGCGCGGGTGTGCCCAGCACCTGGCCGACAACCGGCTCAAGACTACCAAGTACACGCTGCTGTCCTTCCTGCCCAAGAACCTGTTCGAGCAGTTCCACCGCCCGGCCAACGTGTACTTTGTCTTCATCGCGCTGCTCAACTTCGTGCCGGCGGTGAACGCCTTCCAGCCCGGCCTGGCACTGGCGCCGGTGCTCTTCATCCTGGCCATCACGGCCTTCAGGGACCTGTGGGAGGACTACAGCCGCCACCGCTCCGACCACAAGATCAACCACCTGGGCTGCCTGGTCTTCAGCAGGTGAGTTGGGCGGGCGGGCGAGCGAGCGCGCGGTGGCGCAGGGCAGGGCGCCCCGGGAACTTGGTGTTGGGCACAGTGATTGGCAGGGGCTGGGTGCTTAGAAGGCAGCTCCACTCAGGGTGGAGGGCCCGGCTGCGCGGGACCCGGTGCCGACCGAAGCCACAGCGCCGCCAAGGCCTCTCTGTGCCTCCGCCGCAGCTAAAGGGGCGCCCTGGATGCGGGGACGCGTGGGGATCCCCTGTCACTCCGTGTCGGGGCCAGAATGATCCCAAGGCTAGAAACCGACGGCCGCTGGACATCCTCATCCACAGCCGCTCCCACCTGAAGTGAAAGGCAGGAAAAGCCAGCCTGGCCCCCTGGCCTGAAGTCCCTGCCTCAGTCTTCGGCCAGGCACAGTGGTCTCTGAACAGCCGGCACAGGACAGTAAAGCTCAGTCTGCTAACAGCTCGGCTCAGGACAGCAGCAAAGTGAAACTGCCGCCAAGTGCTGATATGTCTGGCACGGCCCAGGTACCAGGGCAGGGGAAATAACAGCAGTGTCCATCCTCCACTGTGAGCCATGAGCCGCGAGCCAGGCACCGCCCGGTAGCTGCCTGCCTAATTTTCTTCATCTTAACCTGCTTCCTGGGGGAAAGAGGCTGTGGGGTGTTTGTGAGCCCTGCCACGGGCAGTACCAGGGGTGACCCTGCGATGGACCACTCCTGCTCTTTTTCCCTCCCTGAGTTTTAGAGTCTCCGGCGGACCTGTCCAGAGGCCTGCGGCCTTTTCATCCTTTATGCTCTCCACCCCAGGAGAGCCCCTTGGTAGATCCATCTTGGAGCTGTGTCCAGCAGCCTGGACCACCTCAAGGCCCTGTCCCTGAGAAAGGTGGGTCGTCTTAGCTTTCCTCCAAAGCTCAGCCCATCGTTACCTCCTGCCTCACCTTGCTTGACCCCGGAACAGGGACTGAGATGGGCTTCTGAATAGAACATTAGCGGTATCTGGCTTCCATTATGCATGGGGAGACTCTAGGAAGCCCTATGCTCTCTTAGTGGCAGATTGTTCCCCTAAAAGAGGAGGGTCAGAGTGGCTCCTGCCTCTTAAACGTAGGCATTCACGAATGCCTTAGACACAGGCACTCATAGCTTGGATGAAGCCATGGATGCGTGCCTCTGTAGTTGAGTACCTTTCACCCTCCCAGCAACACTGCAGTGGTTATGCTCCATATTTTTGTAAACAGAGTAAACGGGTTCAGAGAGGTTAAGTAAACCTGCCCAGTGTCACACAGCAGCAAGGTCGTGGTACTGGGATTTGACCCAGGTCTTCCCGCCCGCACAGCTTTTTGAATATTTCTTTGCTCGTGCTTCTGAAACTTTTGTAAGAGTCACTGAAGGCGCTTGTTAAAATTACAGTTTTCCAAAGTGTCTCACTCAGCAGGCCTGGGATTGAGCCCAGGAATGTATTAGATTAGCGTGCACGTAACTCTTATATGATGGCCCACACTTTCAGAAACACCACTCTGCCTGCTCCCAAGCCTTGCTCTTTGGCCAGTCAGCAAGAGTGACTGTCATTAGACCGGGCTGTGGGATTTCCTGGCCCCTGTTCACCAGAAGCCTGAGCAGGGACAAGAGCGGCACCCCTTACACAAATGGCCTCCGTGTCCCCTGAGCGAGGCCTCCACCACATAGCCCTGGTGGGGCTCAACAGTTTTAAGCCTTTGCACAGATACCACTTCCTGTTATTACTGAGCCCGTAACTCCTGTAGCCTCCTTTTTAGAAATACTTATGCCTCAGGAGAAATACAGTTTATTTTCAGTTGGCAAAGTGCTTTGAATCCATTATGTCATTCGATCCTTATAGTAACTATCACACCCATCTTGCCGATGAGGAAACTGAGGTTGGGATCTAAAAGCTATTCTCTTGTCTCTGTGACCTTGTAAGGCTTCATGGGACTTTGAAACTTTAGCTTCCATTTGGACTACACCCATCTACGTTCCCCTCCCCTTCCACTCTGCCCTTGACTCCAGATATCTTAACTCTCCCTCAGACTCTGTCTTCTTCCTTACTGAAGGAACTGTCAGCATTTTTCATTCACTTCCCAGCTGCCTTGAGGACAGTGGGCGCAATGCCCTACTTCTGTTTATTGTTCCCTGGGAAGGCAGGTCAAATTCTTCCAGTCCCAGAAAGGCTGGAAGAGGTGGTGCCAGGCCCTGGGAATAGAAGGAGGAGGAGGCTGGTTTCACCCAGAGTTTACTGTAGGGACAGATGGCACCATAGGGCATGTCTACCAGGTGAAGTCCTGGGTGGGGCTCCCAGCCCCGGGATGCAGGCTCCATGTCTGGCGAGGCGTCCCAGTGCAGGACAAGAGTCTGGGACGGTGGTGTGAGGATCAGGAAAATGGTGCCAAGCAAGGTGGGGCAGAGAGTGGGTGCTGCAGTGAGAGATCGGGGGCGGGGGGTGGACAGGGTCATGGCACAGAGGTTGAGAACAGGTTCTAGGGTACACTGGGGTGAAGCATCGACATGAAGCCCTGGCTCTCAGGACCTGGCACCCAGACAGCACAGAGCAGCCAAGGAAATGACTTCTGTGTCAGGCCAAGGTCTGTGCAGTGCGTTTGGTTGACTGCAGAGAAGACCAGACGCACGACTGTGAACTGTCTAGGTCTGTTTTGTGTGGCGCTTCCTCCAAGTGTTGCTGCTCTAGCTGCTGTGCATAGGAGTGTCGGTCCAAGCGTGCAACACATTGTTCACGCAGAGTATGAGCAGACTTTAGCTGGAAGTCTTACCTGCTGCCACTGTCCCAGAAGTGACTTCTGGGACATTCCCTTGTATGTGGATGTGCAGCCTGTAGTGCGTCATCGTTTATGTTATTATTTATGTGCTGTTTTTCAGTGACACCATCCTTGGGCCCCTTTCTGTGAGAATCCCCTTAGAGCCTGTTAGAAATGTAGCTTCCTAGGCCAGGGTGTTTGAGAAGCAGTCCTGTTTCCTCCTTCTGAACCCATTTTCTCCTAATGGATTTCACACGCTATTTAGGAAAACCCTCTTGAGCCACGCTCAGCAGGTTGGGGGAGCACTGGGTGATTCTGGGGGGGTTAGGTCCTGCCTGTGGCGCCTGCAGGGGGGAAGGGCCACCCACCCAGCGTCACTAAGCTGTGGTCCACTGTGATGGGAGGGTGTGGGAAGCCCCTCTGATCATATGGACCTCGGTGCTGGCTAAGGCTGTTCAGAGAAGCCATCTTCCCACAGCCCCGGGTGGGAAGAAAGGGGCTGCCTGCGCTTGAGACCCTGCCACTCAGTGAGCCCTGGTGAGAGTCGAGGGGGATGTGGCCTCCGGCTTTCATTTGAGGCTTGGACTTCCCTTTAGCTGACATCGGTCTCCAACACTGAGTGTCCAGCTGGAACAGGGTGGGCATCCCTCGGGGCCGAGAGCTGAGGGGGCAGCAGAGCAACCTCAGGGGTCCTGCTGGGCAGGGCTGGAGGAGGAGAGGGGAAGAGAAGGGCAAAGGGACTCAGCCCAGGCTGGGAGAGTGGCGGGCAGTTCTGCAGGCAGGAAGCAGAGATCTCCTATCAGAAGAAGACTTTGTGCCTTGCAGAAAGCTTTCTCATCCACCTCTTCCACAGCAGGGGTGAGGGGGGAAACCTTAAATCAGCAGACCTGGAGCCCTGCTCCCAGAAATGGAGTGTGCCTTGCAAGGGTGCTGCTGGAGGAGGACCTGGGCCAGTGATTTCATCTGTCCCCCAAAGCCTGCCTAGGCTATTGTTATCTTTTTTTTTTCTCCCTTTTGCTTCTATGTACTTTGTGATGACTTGAATATAATCTTATTGACACCTTTCAGTGTCTGTCTCCAGGATGATGTAACCAGCAGTATTTCTGCAGGAAATAACCGGAGGCGACTTTTCCCTGAATCTTCTGGGCTCTGTGCTTGGGTCTGAGGGCAGCATCTCAGTGTCTTTCCGTCATCTTTTGGGAAACAGGTAGTCAGGAGGTGCTCTCTGCTTATTTTGGAATTGCCCTACTTTTGGTCTCTTCCCCTCACTTTGATTTTCGCTCCATTTTCCCAGCCCACCAGGGTTATTTCTCCAACCCGTGTCCCCTGCCCTTCATGCTTTGTTGTTTTGGAAGAGCTGAGCAGATGAGAAGGTGAGCTTCTCACTCAACAAAGTCCTCCTTTTGTTTTCTTTTCTGCCAGGGCTTTTGTTTCTCTTGTCTCCCCTCTCCTACTCCTTCTCCGTGCCTCTTTCCCTTCCCTTCCAGGTGAGCCTCATCTCTTCCTCTGTGGCACCCTTGGCTCTTTCATGGCATATTCCCTCCATCCCTCCCTCTTAATGCAACAAGACAGCAGTCAACACATCTTTCCCCTGGGAAGCACAGCATCTCTGTCATTTGGGTAAAAGGTTTGCAAAAGCAGAGACACCAGGACAAGACCCAGGAGTTAAGAATGCGCAGGGACCACGCCAGTTCTTCTTAAGCAGGGTTGACATCCCTGTAGGTAGGTTAGGGCACTGGACGCTTGCGGAATATTATTTCCACATTGCCATTCACATGTTTGTTGGAAATAATTTTTCGGTACCTGTTACATATCATATATTACTGGGCTCATGAGGTCAAGTTGCAGTGGAAAAAGAACGTTTCTTTTCCTAAAACCTTGGTTGTCATCCAAAGGCAGGCTTGTTCATGAGGCAGTTCCTTTTTTACTTGTTAATATGAGCCAAATGTTCTATATGCACAATTCCATTTTATCCTCCCAACGATCATATCATTTCCACATCCCCATTCCACAGATGAGGAAACTGAGGCTTCAAGACTCAATAGCTTGCCTAAGGTCACACTGTTAGGAGATGGCAGTACCGTGATTTGAGCCCAGATCTACCCTGCTCTGACCCCGTGTTCACAGTTATTACCTTACTTGGTATTCCCACCCCAAGAACAACAGGCCTCTTTAAAATAATTATTCTAGAAAATTTCACATACATAGAAATGTGCACATGTGACAAACTGCCATGTACCATTGTCCAGTTTCAACAATTAGCAACTCATGGCTAACATTATTTTATCTGTATTCCCACCTACTCCCTTCTCCTCTGTCATTCTGATGCAAACTCCAGACATCATGACGTTTCACCTGTAAATGTGTCAGTATTTGTCTTTAGAAAAGCATGACTCTTCTTAAAACTAAACTATAAATACCATTATCATACCTAAAAAAAATTATTATTTTTTAAGACAGAGTCTTGCCCTGTTGCCTAGGCTGGAGTACAGTGGCATGATCACGGTTCACTGCAGCTTCCATCTCTTGGCCTCAAGTGATCCTCCTGCCTCAGCCTCCTGAGTAGCTGGGACCACGGGTGCACGCCACCACACCTGGCTAATTTTTCTTAAAAATTTCATAGAGATAAGGTCTCACTATGTTGCCCAGGCTGGTCTCCAACTCCTGGGCTCCAGCTGTCTTCCTTCCTTGACCTCCCAAAGTGCTGGGATGACAAGCCTGAGCCAGTGTGCCCAGCCTAATTTCCTAATACTGTTAAATACCCAGTGTGTGTTCAGATTTCCACTTATCTCATAAATGGGATGTGTACTTTTCAATATGTATGCTTGAATTAGCTATAAATGAGGCCTACTCAGCAGGTGGCTGATAAATCTTTTAAGTCACTTTTAGTCTATAGATTTTCCCCCAGAAAACTCTATTCTCTTTCTTTTTTTCCCTTGCAATTTATTTTGAAGAAATTGGGTTATTTGTCCTATGGGGTTTTCCAGGGCCTGAATACTGCTGATTACTTCTGTGTGGTTTCAGGTAACATGTTTTTTTTCTATTGTAATTCCTGTGGATTGGTAGGAGGGTCTGCACACTTCCTCAGTGTTTCATCAGGCTCAGGTTTGAATTTTTGTTGTTGTTGTTGTTGTTGTCGTTGTTTTGGTCTCCACATTCCTAGGTGGTGTTCTGCACTTCCATTAGGAGACACGTGTGCTTACTTGTCTTTTTGTGATGTTGACAGCCATTGATGATCATTGCCTATATCCATTGATTTGTTAGAGGTTGCCAAATGGTGGTGTCCTAATTTATTATAGGAAATACTTTTATAAAGAGACACTTCCCCTCATCTACTCCCTGGTTTCCCAGTGGTCCAGCCTGTATAGTAAAAGAGAAATAAGTGCTTGATATTGGATCACTAACATCTAACGCTAACTCTATTAGTCCATTCTCAGGCTGCTATGAAGAAATACCCAAGACTGGGTAATTTATAAAGAAAACAGGTTTAATTGACTCACAGTTCTGCATGGCTGGGGAGGCCTCAGGAAACTTACAATAATGACAGAAGGCACCTCTTTACAAGGTAGCAGGAGAGAGAATGAGTGCAAGCAGGGGAAATGCCAGACGCTTGTAAAACCATCAGATCTCGTGAGACTCACTCATTAGCACGAGAACAGCATGGAGGAAACCGCCTCCATGATTCAGTTACCTCAACCTGGTCCTGCCCTTGACACGTGGGGATTATTACAATTCAAGGTGAGATTTGGGTGGGGACAGAGAGCCAACCCATATCAGTAACCAGTTAGCTTTCTAAAATTCTTAAGCTTTTTACTTTGAAATCATTTTAGACTTAACAGAGAAGTTGCAAAAATAGTACAGATGCATACCCCTTACCCACCTTCTTTTAATTTTAACATTTAACTGCACTATAATTTTCAAAAACCAAGAAAATAACATTAGTACAAAGCTATTCACTAAGTCACATTCTTTATTTAGATCTAAACAGTTTTCCATTAATGCATTAATAAGTTTTGGTCAGTATGTTTACATGTTGATCTTGTGTCCTGCCACCTGGCTGACTCACTTATTATATCTAATAATTGTTTTGTGGCTTCCTTAGTCTTTTCCATATAGAACCATTCATCAGTAAGCAGAGATAGTTTTACTTATTCCCTTTCAACTTGATACCTTACATTTCTTTTTCTTGCCTGATTGCCCTGGCTAGAAGCTCCAGTATAATGTTGAATAGAAATGGCAAAAATGGATGTCCTTCTCTTGCTCCTGATCTTAGGGGGAACGCATGCTTTTTTGCCATTAAGTATGATGCTAGCTGTTTGCATGTATGTGTGTGTGTGTGTGTGTGTGTGTGTGTGTGTTTTAACCAATACTGAGATTTCAAGCTGTGGGGTTTTATAGATGCTCTTTATCAGGTTGAGGAATTTCCCTTTTGTTCCTACTTTGTTGAGTGTTTTTGCATCAAGAAAGAATTTTGGATTTTGTCAAAGGCTTTTTCTACGTCTGTTGAAATGATCATGTAGCTTTTATGTGTAGTTCAATTAATATGACATATACTCATTAATTGATTTTCAAATGTTAAACCAATCTTGCATTCCTGGGATAAAACTTACTTGGTCATGGTGTACAATCCATTGTTATATTTTGCTGGATACCATTGACTAGAATGTGTTGGAGAATTTTGCATTTGAATTCATATGCAATATTTGGGATTGGGGGCCGTATGTGTGTCTTTGTCTGGTTTTGATATCAGAAAAGTACTATACTGGTCTCATAGAATGAGTTGGGGAGTGTTTCCATGTTTCCACTATTTTCTTTTTTTCTGTTTTTTTTTTTTTTTTGTGAGACGGAGTTTCACTCTTGTTGCCCAGGCTGGAGTGCAATGGGGCGATCTCAGCTCACTGCAACCTCCGCCTCCCAGGTTCAAGCGATTCTCCTGCCTCAGCCTCCGAATAGCTGGGATTACAGGCAGGCATCACAATGCCTGGCTAATTTTTGTATTTTTCTAGTAGAGACTGGGTTTCACCATGTTGATGAGGCTGGCCTCGAACTCCTGACTTCAGATGATCCATCCTCCTTGGCCTCCCAAAGTGCTGGGATTACAAGCGTGAGCCACTGCGCCCGGCCTGTTTTCTTTTTTGGAAGATTTTGTGAAGATTTGGTATTAATCCTTCATTAAATCCTTGGAAGAATTCAACATGGAAGACAACTTCAGTCTGAGCCTGGGCTTTTCTTTGTGCGGAGTTGTAAAGATTACTATTGCAACCCATTTACTTGTTATGACTCCTTTCAGATTTACTATTTCTTCTCAAGTCAGTTGTGATAGTTGTATCTTTCTAGGAAGTTGTCCATTTCTTTGAGTCACATAATTTGTTGTCATATGCACTTGGTATGCACTTGTAATCCTTTCTATTTCCATGAAGTCTGTAGTAATTATTGTAGTGTGGTCTAATAGGGATTTTCTTTCCCCCTATTCCTTCTCTATTGATGAACTAGAATTCTTAGAACAGCTGTTTTTCTTTCTTATTGATTTGTATACTCCATGACTGATGTCATTGTAGTCTACTGGAAATTTGTTTTATTCTGGGGATGATCAGTGGATATTAATGTAATTGATCCTTTTGCTCACACTGTTCCAGGCTGTGGCTTTTGGGAGCTCTTTCAAGCTGGCTGTCCTGTCCTTCACAGGCCCCAGGCTTTCTTCTTTCTGAACTCTCCCTTACTCTCTGACTACATGGGCTGTTCCAGGCTCATCTATTTTGGCTGGCCCAGCTCTAGAACCAACCACTTCTCCTGAGGGCTATATAACTTTTCTAAAAAATATATTATTATGAATTTGTGGATTTAAATATAATTTATTGATTTTAGTTCATTGCAGTTATTACTGTAATTGATTTCTTTGGTCAGTAGGAACCAATCAAGTTGTCTCCTGAGTCTTTTTTTTTTTTTCTTTTTTTTTCTGAGACAGGGTCTAACTCTGTTGCCCAGGCCGGAGCGCACTGGTGCAATCATAGCTCATTGGAACCACAAGTGGTCTTGTTTTTGGTTGTTTTGTTTTGTTTTGTTTTAGCTGATTCTTTTGGATTCCACCAGGTCTTGCCATTTTTAATGCAGTTCTTCTGTACCTTTCAGTGGCCTTTGAAGCCCCACCTGCCTGTTCCTGGGTGCTATGCCATGGCCTGCATGGTGCTCATTTAATGGTCATTCATTGTGGTGATTGTCAATTCTCAGGTTCCATCCTTCCTGCAAGTAAGGGGTCAGGGGTCTCATCTGGGGGGGAGTACTTCCTTCCCGACGTGTTGGTAGACATTTAACAATCACAGTGACTGGCAGTGTCCCTGGCACTGGTACTCACAACCGGGGTTACTGGCTGACATGTGATGGCCCCACCTGCCCAGGAAGGTCCTGCCCCATTGACTACCCTTTCCCAAAGGCCAGTCAGGCCTTCACTGAGAAGCATGTTTGGAAGAACCTTTTAAAGACAGGGCTTCCCCACGTTTTGGGAAGGTTGAAAAGGGGCTGGGTGACTGTTAGACTCCTGCTGGTCACAACATGGTGCTTCAGCTTCTTGTTGAACTCCTGCAGCAGGGGAGCCCACTGTGCACATTTGTACAAGACTCACCTTGCCATATTTAGCACACTGACAGAACTTACAGGAAGCATGAAGAGCTATTTTGATTTCTGCTTTTTTAGAAGACTCTTAGCCTGACTTTCTATGTTTACTTGTTTTGCATTTTCCCGGAGTGCAGTTTGTATGAATTACCCTGCACATACCTTGTGGTTATTTTTCCACTGGGGATACTGTATTTTGGAACATTTTGCCTACCAAACTATTTTTATTAGGCAATTAAGAATTTTTGTCCTCATTTTAAGTTAGAGACAATTAAAACGCCCTTGTAGGGGCTAGAGGAAAACTTCTCCTTTGCCCTCTGAAAGTTTGCTGGAAATCAACTGACAAAGGGCAGATTAACAGGAGAAAAGGCAAGCACATTTATTAACATGCATAGCACAGAAGAACTGTGGGAGAATGATTGCCCAATCTCAGTGGAGTACGCAGGGTTATATACCCTCCTTCTCAAGGGAAAGGGAGATGGGAAGTGGGGATGATTGTACAGGGGTAGTAAATGAGTTTTAGGGGAATTCACTGTGCTTGAAGAACACACCATAGTCTGGGCCACAGTCTTTGAGGCCTGCATAACAGACAGTGGTTTGTGACAAAAGCCTGTCCAGCTGTGTTGACAGACTTCAGTTTTTCTTCCCACAATATGAATTCAGTTAATAAAAACCTGTTTTCCTCTTTGGAGTGTCTGGATTTTAGGTTTAGGGAGAGAAGGGAACTTCGGAGGAGTTCATCTTGGGCTTTGGGTGAGACAGAGGATTGAGAGGTGAGGTTGGGGGGCGGTTAGAGAGACGCTGAGGGTTCTACAGTTCAGCGCATCAAAGTGCCATATTTTGCGATATTGGTTCCTGAGCCCCAACACCCTCAATGAGGTCAGACCCTTGCCAGCAGTTAGATGCTAGGCAGAATGCATTTCTCTTCATCCCAGTGTTCTTATTTAAATTGGAGGGAAGATGGCATTCAATAGGAGGGAGTATAACATTACTTTGGAGGGAGGATGGCATTTAACAGGAGGGAGGATGGCATTCAATAGGAGGGAGGATGGCACTTAACAGGAGGGAGGATAGAGGGAGGATGGCATCAAATTGGAGAGAGGATAACATTAAATTGGAAGGAGGGTGGCATTCAATAGGAGGGAGGATGGCATTAAATTGGAGGGAGGGGAAGAGAGAAGATAGCAGCTTCTGGTGTGCTGTGAGGAATACATGAAATAATGCAGAGAGGGTGGGCTACAGTGCCAGGCAGGCAGGCAGGTAAGAATTTGAAAAGTTTAGTTGCAACTCATTAGTATTCCTGTTACAACTGCTGTCATTATTGCTATTAAGATCTTTTGATCAAAATAAACTTCCTCAGTTTTTTTAAATTTCTAAAACAGTTTTATTTTTAGAGATGAGGTCTTGCAGTGTCGCCCATGCTGGTCTCGAACTCCTGGCCTCAAGCAATCATCCCACCTCAGCTCCCAAAATACTGAGACCGCACCTGGCCTGTCCACATTGCTAAGACACTGAATTGTGCCTCCAAGCCCAAAGAATTTTAGGTGTCATTTAGCTGTATACTTGTACCATGAGGAAATGGACAGCTTTTGGAAAGAATTTTGAAATATTGGGAATAGATCCGATCCCCACTGAGAATTTTGAGGACCACTAAGGATCCAGAGATACCCTCTGTTGGCTCAAATGTCTTCTGAAAAATGTACCTCACTAGAAGAAGCATTCTGGGGAAATGGTAACATGAAAGCATTCTTTGTTTAAATGGCAATGTGGCGTATATTGTAAATGAAATTGGATTTGGTAATAACCTTTTAGGGGGAAGGTTTGTTTTGAAAACATAAAATGAAGTAAATTCATTGGCCCATTTAACGATGTCTTTGATTGATTTTTGCTTATCAACAGTTATAACAATAATAATTAAAAAAAAAAACCTAAAGTAAGTCTTGGTTTTCAAAAGGAAACTCAACCTAGGCCACGAATGGAGAGCCTTGGAACAGAGCCCTCCATGCAAGTCTTCTCAGAAAGGTGCTTAGTAGGTGCTTTGGAGGCCCGTGAGCTCTTGCATAGTAGGGAACTTTAGATCCGCTCAGAGACCTGCCTTATTTCTGTTTCAGCATCAGATCTGCCTGTTGTATAGTAATCTAGGACTTTTCTAGAAAGGTCCTGGGGTGCGAACGGACCTCAGCGTGGGCCAGGCCAGACTTGACAAGGCTCCCTCCCCAAGTTCGGCGGAGTCCCCGAGATCCCCACTCACCCCTCCCCAGCCTCTGTTTGCTTTGCTTCCCCCAAGAAGTGATGTCTGGCATGGAAACCACTGCTTCTAAAAGAATCCAGTACACGAGGGGTTAACGAAATGGCAGGAAACCCAGGCTGTCACCGCACATTTGAACTGAGTCATTTGTAGAGTTTAAAGCATTTCACTACTTTTATGTCCTGCCTTTTGTTTTTGTATACTTCTAATAACAGTTTAAAAAGTCAGGGGCAGGAAAGGTAAATGTAAGTTCCAAGTTCCATCCTTTGTTCAGATGTGATCTTTGGGCCCTTAGGTGCTCTGTGCAGGAGGGGAGGTGAGCGCGGCCAGGTCTTGGGGGGTGGTGGGCGTGGTCTCGCCCTGCCCGGGCCGCGGAGTGAGTCACCGGGGCTGGGGGGGGAGGGAGGGAGGGAGAATGGAGCAGCGCTGGGTCCGCTGCCGCCGGACGCTCTACACAGTTCCAGTTCTCCAAAACTGGCCGCGTAGAATGGCGCCTGGGGACTCGCCTCGCCTGTGGGCTGGCCCCCAGGGTGTGGCCACATCCCTTTTTCTGGGCCTTTCCCTTCAGGGCTCGGCTGAGGCGGTACCAGACACAGCCGGGGCCTCTCCTGTTGCTTTTTGCCAAGTTGGAAATCAGTTTTGTTCCCCGTACAAAACGCATCCACGCTGTCTGTCTCGGTCATCTCCAGTGCTGCACCTTGGCCCAGGAGCATGGTTGACTCAGAAAACCGAGAGCATTGTGAGAGGAAAGACGAGGCAGGGAGAGAGCGAGCTGGGGAGGCCCCTGTTCCTGCTGGGTGCTCCCCACTGACTCTCTCTCTCTGAACAAGCCAACCATTTTTGAACATAAGTCAAAGCGATATTTTCCAGAATGTCTCATACACATAATGGGCTACAATTGTTCACCTCCACTGAACAGTTTCAAAATATACGTGGCATGTAATTATTTTCTCAAAAAGGGTAATCTTATCGACCTGCGTGATTTAATTATATTTAGTTATGTATGTCTTGTCCCTCATAATTAATTGGTAGAAACCTAGGTAATGGCATTTCATAGTGCCATCGTGTCATTGTCATTATTTTATTTATTCGTGTTGCCAGGACAGACTTTAGTCAAATCAGATGTGTGTGTCTTTTTTAACTCTCATTGTGACTTGCATTGTAATATTTTCCATGTACACATTTATTTTTTTTTTTGGAAAGAAAATCATTGCTTTTAAGCAGGATGGAAAGTTTGATTCATTCCATAGAAATCTGGCTGCTGCCTGTGGTCTTTCACATCCATGGGGAGCATGTCTGGGGGCCAGGAGGCCATGCTGACAGAGACCCTCAGGTTCTCTCTGGCATGGAGGTGAGAGCCAGAGTTGAGCTCAGTCCTGCAGCTGCGCCGTGCTCCTCCTTGATCACGGTTAAATTCCTCCGTTTCTGGTCTTTTCTCTTTTTCTCCTTTCAGTTTCCTATCCTGTGTTAATTCCTCTGTAAAGCGTCTGGCCAGACTTAATGGGAATTCCTTCATAATGCGCCCTTGGGACTTGGAGAAGGCGTAGAAGGAGGGAGGGTGGTGTCTGTAATTCTTGGCTCTGTTCCCAACTACTGCATGCAGTGACATCTAAACTCAGTTCCTGCTTATTCAGTCCTGTACTAAGGATGTCTTT
The DNA here is from genome assembly GCF_000001405.40 of Homo sapiens. Lineage (NCBI taxonomy): Eukaryota > Metazoa > Chordata > Mammalia > Primates > Hominidae > Homo > Homo sapiens. Next base: position 25,849,387 of record NC_000015.10, on the reverse strand, counting down.
TTATTTTCTCTTGTCTGGTGCTTTGACATCTGGAGCCTTGCTGCCTCCGGAGGGACAGGCCCTCCCAGGGCTAGATAATTCCTAGAGATAGCAAACAGCATTGCTGCAGCATGCCTTACGTGTGCAAGCCACCCAATCCAACGTCCACACCCTCGGCCCCCTCTGTGTTTCATCCACTGTGCACCTGCTCTCATCACCCCAGGTCCAGCCACCAAGCAGCTAGGGACAGCCCTTTGTCCCAGGGTCCACCGAGGTTATTCAAACTAATGGATTCTAAACCTGCTTACCCCGCCTCTCCTGTTCTTTCCCATGGAAGGCACAGAAAAGACTCTCCCTCCTCTCACCAAGGTCTCTGCCTCCTAGGACGCTGGTCTCCCCTATGTTCCCCCTCCCACAGCGGTAGGTGTGGCGAGCTCCTTCTCTGGAGGACTCTGAGTAACAAATCCTCTTTTCAATGGCAGTCCTCTCCTGACCTGTCAGCCCCATAGTGCTTGAATAATAATAGAACTTAAATTGTAAAACATCCCTGGAGCTACTGCCCTCCCTTAGGTCCCATGAGAAAGGGGAATGAAAGTTGGCTGCAGTTAAGGTGGCTAATCAGCTGATGGTGCCACCTTAACTGCAGCCAATTCTAATTCCCCTTTCTCTTGGAAAAAGATGGGGAGATTATTCTGGAGTGAATTGTGGGCCCAGTGTAATCACAAGTCTGTAAAAGTGGAAGAAAAGCGGGCAGAGAGATCCGATATGAATACTACTTAATTTGCCATTGTTGGCTTTGAAAGTGGAGGACCTAGAGTCAAGGAGTGTGGGCGGCCTCTAGGAGCTGGAAAAGGCAAGGAAACATTCTCTCCCGCCGCCCTGCCGAAACCATCGTTTTGACCCAGTAAGATCCATGTCAGATTGACCTCCAGAATTGTGAAATGACAGATTTGTTTAGCCGGTGCAGTGGCACAAGCCTGTAGTCCCAGGTCCTCAGGAGGCTGAGGCAGGAGGATCACTTGAGACCAGGAGACTGGGGTTGCACTGGGCTGTGATTATGCTACTGCACTCCAGCCTGGGCAAGACCCCATCTCTATAAAATGAAATAAATAAAATAAAACTCCCCAAATTTGTGTTACTTCAAGCCACCAAGTTGTCATAATTTGTTGCCGCAGCGGGAAGCTAATACATGTGTTCATTGCAGAGTTTAACAAACAGATACCATGTTTATTTTTTTGTTTGTTTTGCATCCTCATTTTACAGATGATTAAAAAAAAAAAACACTTTTTAGAGGCCAGGTCTTGCTGTGTTGCCAGGCTGGTCTTGAACTTCTGGGCCTCACACAGTCCTGCCTCAGCCTCCCAAGTAGCTGGAAATACAGGCTCTATCTGCCATGCCTGGCAGAAACCACCTTCTTAACTACAGCTTTTTGTGTGTTAATATTGATTAAGATGATTTCCGTTAAAAAATGGCTGTAGGCCAGGTGTGGTGGCTCACATCTGTAATCCCAGCACTTTGGGAGGCCAAGGTGGGTGGATTGCTTGAGCTCAGGAGTTGGATACCAGCCTGGAAAACATGGCAAAACCTCATCCCTACAAAAAATACGAAAAATTAGCTGGGCATGGTGGTGCATGCCTGTAGTCCCAGCTGCTTGCGGGGCTGAGATTGTTTGAGCACAGAAGGTTAAGAGTGCTGTGAGACGTGATTATGATTGCACTACTGCACTCCAGCCCAGGTGACAGAGTGAGACTCTATCTCAAAAAAAAAAAAAAAAAAAAAAAAAAAAAAAAAAAAAAAAAGGCTGTAGCTGTTTGAATTAGCTAGGAATATATGGAATAGCTCCAAATTGCTTAGTGGGATCATGAAGACCCCGTGACCCGCAAAGATCATGATACGGTGGAAAAAAGGTGCTTTTTAAAATTGTTGTTCAAATACTTAGTGATAAAACTTCACGTATTTCTCTAGCACCATATACTTGCCTGAATTTTTATGAATTTGTATGGTACCATTCTTAGCTAGCTCTGTGAAGAGCTTATAAATTCTTCATTGTTCCTGTGAGGAAATGGGAGCCCAGAGAGGGAGGTTTCAGTCCAAAAGGGGCAGAGCCTGGGAGCAGAACAGGTGGCCCTGGGGCTCTGGGGTCCCAAGAGATGTTACTCAGGGCCACTGGCTGAGTGCCTGCGCGTGCTGCTCAGTCAGAGCCTCCTGTGTCCCTTTGATCTTTGATGTGTGTGGATGAGATCAAGTTGTTTAAATATTTCTGGCTTTTGAGAAAGTGTCTAACACCAGATAGTTATCCTGATAAAAGCCAATACCCAGAATTTAACAAGGATAGCTGACAAAGATGCTCTATGGATGCTTTTTAGAAAAATGTATATGTTATTGATCCTTTTTAGTGTAGCTGGTTCATTACAGCCACAGTCTTCAGATGTTTTTGATCTCACACCTCTATCAGTAAAAAGTGGGCATGTGCACCCAAAGTGGGGGTGTGTGTATTTATTTATAAATTACCGGCATGTAATGCATAAATATCTTATATCTATTGAAACATACAAAATATAAATGAAAATAAAATAAACCACAATTACAAACAAAGGTGGTAGTGTTTTTCTGCACTCCTGTGATGGTGTATGTTTTTGTGTGTGGGCATCACTTTAGGCACCACTACCCAGAACATCTTCCAGGAGCTTTATGTTGTGATGTCATTTTAGATCACTGAAGGAACATTGCACGTGTCAGGCACGTGTCCGGCACATGTCAGGCTAGGTGATTCTCATGCTGTCTCTTTTATCCAGGGATGTTTAGGAAGGCTTGAAGAACGCTCAGCAGTGTGGGACCACCACCATGGTCTACCCTCATGCCCAGGGGTGGCCCTTCTGCGCTGAGCATGTCAGTTCTGAAGGTTGAGGCATGAGGGGTGGGGCGCTCTGACTCCTCCACTTCCTGGAAGTGGACCACGTGCTAACTTGGGGCTTGTCACTGTCACACTGAGCAGCTGAGCTGTGCTCCACTGGCACACACAGCCTTATAACCTTAAGCGTGTTCTATCTTGTGCTTTACTTTTAAAAAATTGTTTTATTATGGTGAAATATACATAACATAAAATTAGCCATTTAACCCTTTTAAGTGTGCAGTTCCGTGGAATTCAATACCTTCACATTGTTGTGAGCATCACCGCCGCCCTCCTCTCCAACACTTTTTATCCTCCCAAACGGAAACTTTGTGCCCGTGAAACACTAACTCCCCCTTCCCCCATGCCCAGCCCCTGGCAACAACCGTTCTGCATTCAGCCTCTACGAAGTGGACTGCCCTGGGTGTCTCACGTGAGCGGAATCACACAGTACTTGTCCTTTAGTGACCGGCTTATTTCACTCAGCATCGTGTCCTCAAGGCTCATCTGTGTTGGAGCATGTGCCAGAGCCTCCTTTCTGAGGCGGACACCATTCCATTGCATGAACCCACCACCACATCTTGTTTATCCATTCATCTGTTAAGGGACCCTTGGGCGCTTCCACCTTTTGGCTGTTGTAAACAGTGCTGCTGTGAACATGGGGGTACCAGTGTCTGTTTGAGTGTCTTGCCTTTTTCGTCCGTGGAGACATTCTGCATGGATTCCGGGACGGCTTTGTTGGGGTGGTGCCTAGGGCAGCATGCACCCTGGGGACCCTCCCACGGTAGCATTTGTGCTGCTCTCAGGACCTCTAGGGAGGTGGCCCCTTAACTCACTATGCTGCTGCTGCCAGTGGAGAGGTGTCGGGCCCTGGCTGGGTGTTTACTCCCCTCCCTGTAGTCCTTTGGCCAGGGAGCCCAGGAGAGTTGCTGTCAGCATGGGTGGGGTCGGGTGCCCTGTCTGTGGTCTTGTTGCCTAGATGTCATCCCACACTTTCTCTCAACCTTGACACTTCTTGTAAGGCCCTGCTCTCTGGTAACAGGGACATGACTGTGAGCTCGAGGCAGAGTATGCAAAACAGTTCCGGGGAGGCTCAGTGTGTATGTTGGTGGAGGTGGCCGGGCCTTATCACAGTTAACTTCGGCCATCACCCAGGTGGCCTGACACACACACACACACACACACACACACACACAAACACACAAACGGTCCGTGCTGATTTCCTGATTTTGAAGGCTTCACTTGGTCTTCTTGGCCTTTTGTTGAATATGTCACTGCCACCTTCGTTAATACATTCAGTCTGTGTCCCTTGTGCGTGCCCAGATTCCTGGCAGTCAGCAGTGAGAAGCTGCCTGCCAGCGCTCCCCGCAGTTCCCAAGAGGCACCAGCCAGAGGGGCTCTGTGAGAGGCGAGGTCTTGCTTGGTGAGTGTCCACCTCATCACACACTTTCTCCTGGTGTTTGGGGGGGATTTGTGGAGAACCACTTTCTCCGGGTATTTGGTAGGAGTTTATGGAAAACCTTTTCATTCATCCCTTTGCTATGGCCCTTGTTCAGGCCTGTGCCCCTTGGATAAAATCAGAAGCACACAGTGACTGGGGATGGGAGGGACAGGGAGAACAGCCATGCCTGAAACCTGTCATTTAAGACAAGCTGAAGCCACCTCATGTGCCGGTGCAGGCTGCCAGCCCCTCCTTGTCTCATTTTGCAGACAGGGGCTAAGCATGTCCCCAGACGGCAAGCCACAGGGTCCACAAGTGCTGGCTGTTTGGCAGCTCGTGCACAGCCAGGTCTGCCCTCCTCACTGCTCGCCCACCGCAGCCTCTCAGGGTGGTCCAGCCAGGAGGGGCAGGAGCCCTCTTCTTCCTTTGCCACTCAGGGTGCATGGGGCGGGCAGGAGGATCAGGTTGGGGGGCTGCACCCTGAGTAAGTGCTTGTTCTCCCTACATTTTAAAAGCTCACAGGAAAATGGAGAGTTTTTCCTGAAAGAAAACAATTTCAATTATTTGGTTTACTTTTGATTACCTGGACAATTAATATCCCTTTATTTTAAAATATGACATCATAAAATCAAATGGACTAGGAACATGGTGATAAAATAGAAAAATATCTCTTAAACTTCCTCAGTTTAGGAAGACCCATAAAATTCCCTTTTACTTGCCTCATAATTTAACTTGAGGTTGCAGTTTATGAGTCCTCCCTTTCGTAGAGGCTCCAGCTGGCAAAGACGTGCCGTGGAGAGAAACGCACCACCTGTTCCCTCAGGGTCCCTTCTACTGAATGGCAGATTCTCCCCTCGTCTTTATGAAAATGTTCAAATTGCAGTGTTGTGACACATACCCCTTGTAAATAACAAATATGCGAGCAAAGTGTATGACAGAGGTATGTTTTAATACCGTGTGCTTTGTGGCCTTGTATCATTAGTTTCTGAAATTTTGACTCCTTCATGTTCTTGGGGTGACAGTAAAATCAGGTGATCTCTCTATTCGATTTGTCTTGAACACAGGTATCCACTGTGGTGGGCGCTGTCTCAGTTTTGGCGGTGGGTGATAGTGTCATTTCAGACAAGCACTCTAAAACAGCTCCGCGAGACCATGGGAAGCAGGAAATCGGCTAAAAGGGAGACTCCAGCCCTTCCAGTGCCTGGTCCGTGTTCTTGAACTTAGTTTCTTGTGTTAACCGGAAAGTGCATCCAAAAATAGCTTCTAGAGTTAGTGGGGTCTGCGACGGGAGCTGTGGGCATGGCATGATTTTCCCAGATAGCTCAGATGGGAGTTTCCCTGTGGCAGCCGTGCGTCTGTCTTTCTACAGGGGACCAGTTTTCCTTGAATATCCCCAAAGGACCTTTTCTACTCTGGATGCCTGGATAAACTCTGAGTAGATGGAGTCTGGGAGGGATGTTTATAAGAAGCTGTATTCACTCATAGGTGTCTAAGAGGGCTCTAAGCCTCTGTGCCTGCTTTTGCTGTGATGCGGGATGCAAATGATGAATTCCTGCACAGAGAGGAGTAACTCTTTTCTGCACCAAGTCTGGGCTCTGGTTTGGGAAAATCTATCATCCTGTCTATACAGAGGCACAGTTCAGCCAGATTCTTGGTGAATTTATGATGCTCCCCACTCCCCGTTTAAATCACATCTGTCTCTCTCCACTTGCACTGAGGAGTTTCCTTCCATCTCTGAACTTTGACATATGTGGAGCTGTGCTCCTGGGAGCCTCTGCACACACTGATGTGGGTTTGGGTGGTGATAGGTGGAGTGCCGAGATCACACCCCGGGACGGTGGGGGTGGGGGGTGGGGGGTGGAGGGTGGGCCTGCGTCTCCTAGGGTTCATGGCAGCCCTCTGGTGCCAGGGAGGAGGCACATGGCGTGACTGCGCTGGACATGAGTTTAGCTTAATTTCGTGCCAACTGTTGGCACCTCCTGGCAGCCACTCAGAACAATAGGTTTTGAAATTCTGGATAATGGAGGGTGATCATTTTGATATTTAAGTAAGCCTGCTTGGCCAGGCACCATGGCTTGTGCCTGGAATCCTAGCACTTTGGGAGGCTGAGATAGGAGGATTGCTTGAGGCCAGAAGTTTGAGACCAGCTTGGGCAACATAGTGAGATTCCGTTTCTATAAAATGTATACATACATAAATAGCCAGTTGTGGTGATGTGCATCTGTAGTCCCAGCGACTTGGGAGGCTGAGGTGGGAGGACCGCTTGAGCCCAGGAGTTCAAGGTTGCAGTGAGCTATGATTGTGCCACTGAACTGTGAGTGACAGAGTGAAATTCTATCTCAAAAAAAAAAAGTCTGCTTGATTATGGAGTCAAAGACGTTTACCTATCTATACAATCAGAGATAATGTTTATGACTGAGACCTAAAAGACTGTTGACATATTCATTCTATTCATCCTAGTATGAAAATCATTTGGCTCCTATAGAAATATCCCCCAAAATACAAGGAAATGAAACCCAGTGTTTTATTTTCTAGGCAGTGCACTGAAACACGGTAGAAAACTTTAAAAACAGGGGCTTCTGGTTTTAGAACAAGATGGCGTAGATTCATTTTTCCCTGCTCCTCCCCGTGATTACAAGTAAATAATTTAACAAGAAACAGTAAAAGGACGCTGGAAACTAAAAGCAGGCAGACTGACTGGGGCCTCAGGACATGAGGGGGTAGCAACACCATGAGACCCTGGACTTCTGTTTTATCTCCTGTATCCTTCCAGTGTGGGCACAGGAAGGCCTGTAACCAGAACCGCCAACAGGTATAGAGAAAACAAAATAAAGCAAAACCAAAAGGCTCTGTCAGGCCAAAGGGGAAGCTCAGTGAGACCTAGTGGGAGCCCAAGGCCCGCTCCACACCCAAGCCACCAGTGGACAGCCTGATGCTGCTGTGTGGACCACTCCCTATCCGGTGGCTCCAGGAGACCCAGACCCAGGGGCTTTTGCCCATCCACCCACACAACAGCAACAGGTGGCCCAGGGAACTGCCTTCCACTCCTTTATACAGAGCATTTACAAAAAACCTACAACCAATTTCACAGTTGAGGATGAAAGACTGATTCTACAAAACCCAAAACAAAACCTCTTACAACTGAAAAATGAGCTCATTACAATGACAGGATACAAGATCCGTGGCTATGAATTGACTGCATTTCTGTATCCCCACAATGGACTAGTGAAAACTGAAATCACAAACATAATACCATTTACAGTTGCACCAAGAAAATAAAATACTTACATATAAGTTTCACAATGCTCATACAGGATGCAGGATGAACATTACAAAATGCTGATGAAAAATATCAAGGAACATCTGAATAAATGGAGAGACTTCCCATGTTCATGGATCGGAAAATGAACATAATAGTGAGTCAGTTTTCTCTATAATTATCTATAGATTTAACGTAACTCCTATCAAAACCTCAGCAATGTTTTTTTTTTTTGTAGACATACACAAGCTTATTCTACGTGGAAAAACACAGGTCCAAAAATGTCCACAAGATTTCTCAAAAAGAATAATAAAGTGGAAGCACTCACTTCTCCCAATATTAATGCTTACTGTGGAGCTGCAAAGTGTGGTATCAGCAAAGGGATGGCACATATGTAATGAACCAGAGTGAAGAACCCAGAAATAAGTCCCAACAGATATGCCCAATTAGTTTTTGACAATCAGTTCAGTGGAGGAAGTATATAGTTTTCCAATAAACGGTGTGGGAGCAATTAGACATCCATTAGAAAAAAAAAAAAACCCTAAACCTCACATACCTCATATAAAAATTAACTTGTTAAAGATTATAGATTTAAATGTAAAACGATAAAACTTCTAAAAGAAAACATAAAACATTTTTGGGATCTAAGACTAGACAAAGAATTCATAGACTTGACACCAAAAGCATTATCCTTTGCTGTGGGAAAGATCCAATGAAAAAGAGCAGAGAAATTCCAGACGAGAGAGAATATTTGCAAATCACATACCCAACAAAGCACTAATATCTAGAATACGTAAAGAACTCTCAAAATTGAACATTAACAAAACAATGAATCCTGTTTAAAAATGGGCAAGACATGAGACATTCACTGAAGAAGGTATGCAGATGGCAAGTAAGCACATGAAAAGATGTTCAACATCTTTACAAAACAGGGAAATGCAAATTAAAGCCACTCAGAGATACCACTGCGCATCTATCAGAATGGCACAAATAAAAAGAGTGATACCACCAAACGCTGCTGAGGGTGTGAGAAATGGGATCTCTCCTACGTTGCTGTGGGAATGTAAAACATACCCACTCTGGAAAATAGTCCCTTCACAAAACTAAAAATAGAATTGTCATATAATCCACCAGTTGCACTCCTGGGCATTTACCCCAGATAAATGAGAACTTACATTCACAGAGAAGCTTTGCAGAAATGTTCATCGCAGCATTTTTTTTTAAATAATAACCCAACACTGGAAATAACCTAGATGTTCCTCAAAAGGTAAGTGGTTAAAGAAACTGTGATCCCTCCATACGGTGGAATACTAGTCAGTAGTAAAAAGGAACAGACTGTTGATAAACACAGCAACTTGCATGGGCCTCAGGGAGATTTTGGTGAATGGAAAAAGCCTGGGAGCTAAATGATGAGAATTATGAACAGAAAGAAGGGAACAACAGACACTGGAGTCTACCTGAGGGTGGAGGGTGAGAGGAGAAAGAGAAGCAGAAAAGATAACTGTTGGGTACTAGGCTTAATACCTGGGTGATGAAATAATCTGTACACAAACCCCTATAACGTGAGTTTACCAATGTAACAAACCTTCACATGTGCATAGGTTTGTTACCTGTGTAACAAACCCCCAAACCTAAAATAAAAGTTAGGAAAACCTAATTTCAAAAGGATATATGCTGCGTGATCCCATTTATAGAACATTTGTGAAATAACATTCTTAGGGGGATGAGGGACAAGTTAGTGTTTGCCAGGGGTTAGGGATGCAGGAGGGGGTGAACGTGGCCCCAGAGAGGTAGCATGAGGGGTCTTGTCCCATTGGCGCCATCTTGATTGTGTGTGGGTACTATTTCGGTTGTGGTTGAGAAACTGCACAGATGCACATGCGCACACACACGCACACGAATGCACTTAAAGCTAGAGAAATCTGAATAAGCTTTGTCGGCTGTACCAATGCCAATTTCCCGGTTTTGATTTTGTCCTCTGGTTTTGGGGCATGGTGGCCTTAGGGGAGGCTGGGTGAAGGGTGCATGGGACCTCCCTGTACATTTCTTTGCAACTTCCTATGAATCTGTAATTATTCCGAAATAAAAAGCTTAAAATATGACCATTGAGTTATTAATGGTAAGGAGTCAGCATAAGAAGAAGACATGGAAATTTGGTGTGCCCAGTACACATGTTGCCCAGGTGGGGCTCCTGCCAACGGAGTGCCCAGTGGTGGGAATGTGAGGTTTTCAGGACCCAGCATGCTCTGCAGAGCGGGAGAGAGGACGAGCCTGCCGCCTTGCTAAGGAGGGCTAGTGTAGATTTACCCTCTTTCCAGCAGAGATGAAGATCTTGGTCAACGGCATCTCTCACGGGTACGGAGATAAGCATTAAGATTTATGAGTAACTTGAGGGAGAGTGGGAGAATGTTGCTTTTTTTCCCCCAGACCTGGCCTCTAAGGAGACTTGGCTGTCTAGTTATAAAGGGTACATAAAATGCTCTGGAAGATGAGATTACATTAACTCCTGGAAATACCAAAAGTACTTTATTTTAATGTACTTGTTCTTGTAGTTATGAGCAATTTGGATAATTACAGTTGGCAGGGATGCGCCGACGCACATACGCTGGAGTTACATATTATCCCAGCCTTGATCCTGGGAATATCACAGCCCTTCACCTGTGACACTGGAGTTTAAACTGGAGCTAAGGTGTAGCCAGTGTCTTCTAAACAGAATGGGTATTGGATACAAGCCCGCTGTTAAGTCATTGCTGTCACCTAGGTAAACACGCCTTTGTAACACAGTTATGAGAAATGGACACCAAAGAGAAATAAATACTATACTGCTATGGGATATTCCTGAATGACCCAGCTTGTGGTTAGACGCATTGCTCCACCAGACAAGTTTACAGTGAACTCGGGGCAGGTGTCTTGCAGTTATATGGGAAGACAAGGAAGCTCTCAATAGGAAATGCTTCTGCAAACACACTGCTCGCTCACCATAAAGAAAGGCTGCTTCTAACATTGCAGTAGTACCCTGGAGTAAAGCCCGTCCTTTCCCCATTTTCTCAGGGGAAATAAGTACTAAGGAAGTGCCACATGCGATATTATCATCAAGCGCCACAACTCTCAAAGGGCTGCTTCTCTTAAAAAGCCCCGAGGGACTCTGTTGCATAGTGAGTTTAAAGATGCAGAAAATCAAAACTTCATCTGCACTTGAGTAATAACACTCCGTTGCTGGATTACTAAAATATGATTCTAGGATGGAGATTAAAGGGCGACACCTCAGCTCCCAGCCAAGCCCTGAGGTTGTAATTCTATGGTGGGAGAGGCCCCTTAGGCTTTCATATTAACAGTGTGGTTAGGGAGGTTGCCAAGGGTGGCTTTGCTGGGGATGTGAAGGTGTCACTGTCACCTTGCTGGGCATAGACAAGGCACTTGGAATGGACAGCTCCAGGGCTTTCACTCCTATCTCCCTAAAGGAATCTAAGGGTTGGGCAGACACCTAGCGTGCCAGGTGCAGGCAAGTCACCTGGGTGAGATGGGCAGTATATTCCAAAGTGTTAGGCCTCTTAGGCTCTTATTTCTGAGTAATAAGCACTTTTTTGAGTGTGTTGGCTTCACATTTGATTGAAACATCAAAGCATCACAGTTTCTGTTATGTTCAAATTGGGTCAAACAAGTGCCATCCAGACAGGGTATGGACTTTCATACCTTTCATCATCATTGCTCTACACGTTGGATGCTGGTTCATGTTTAATGAAATGTATTAAAGTTGAAATCCCAGGATGCCCTAGTTTTACTAAAACAGTGAATCTTGTACATTAATCTGTGCAAACTAGCTCCATGGCCCGGAGCCCTGGCAGCTCAGCTGTCCCTCTTCCATCCTCCACACTGCCAAGGGGCAGTGAGAGGCTCCAGCATACCTTCCTTCCAAGAGCACTGTCACCAGTTCCCCCTCCCCACCCGTCTTCCCCACTGCCTGGCTCCCCTTCCACCTGAGCCTGCCACGTGCTCCTGAGCAGTTTCCCCTTCCGTTAGCCCAGAGCCTTCCCCATGCCCTCGAGCTGTTTCCCAGGACCCTGCCAGCCAGCGCAAAGCAGGAAGGTGCCTTTCGGGCAGTTTGCTGTTTGTGGACGTGCTTGCCTTCTGGTCCATTACCCAGTGGCGCTCGTTCATGTTAGATGGGAAATCCTCTGAGGGCTGAAAGACACTTTCGGCTTTGATCTTCAGGTCAGCAGGACCAGTCAGCATCAACATCTACTACATGGAAAGCCCTAGGTTTATGCGTCCTGCAGCCTTGAAACTTCCTGCCCTGTGACTACCGTCTCCGCATTTCTCCCACTCCCTGCGCCGGGAGCCTCCTTTCTACTCTGTCCGTGTGTTTGAGATTGTTTGTTAGCGTGAGATCACACAGCATCTCTGTGTCTGGCTTATTTCACTTCAGGTCCCTCAGGTTCATCCACATCGTTGCAAATGGCAGGATTTCCTTCTTTTAAAAGGCTGCATAGTATTGAATTGTGTGTATATACAATTTTCTTTATCCATTCATTCCTCAGTGGACACTTAGGTTGCTTCTGTATCCTGGTTCTTTTGAATAATGCTGTTGTGAACCCTGTTGAGGGGCAGGTAGGAAAAATAAGCCTCAAGGTCTAATGCACAGCATGAGGACTGAAGCTAATATGGTAGTTACTCTTGTATTATATACCGGAAATTGGCTAAAAGAGTAGATTTTGGGTGTTTTCACCGAAAAAAAATGAGGTAACTGTGTGAAATGATGGATATGTGAATTTGCTTGACTGTGGTGATCATTTCTCTATGTATTTCACTACGTTATATGTATATCAAAATATAATGTTTTGTACCTTATATGTATATAATAATTTTTTTTAAGAAAAGAGAGCCCCATGGCAGGTGGTGTGTGGACCTGAAGGTAAATACTGGGTCTTGCCTTCGAGAGACTTGCAGGCCAGGGAGAGGGACAGCACATGCATAGACGGTCTTGCTGGATCGGAGACTTTTGCAAGTGACTTCAGCCCTCATCTCCTACTGTGAACCGACAGTAACGATAGTGCCCACTTCCTAGGGTTGCTATGGGCACTGGTGCCCATGAGCCAATAGCTGCAAAGGATTCAGGATGGCTCCTGGCACATGGTTGGCACTGTGTGTGTGTTTGCTAGAGGTAGGGACAAAGCTGCCTGAGGGAACAGGGAGGCTGCTCAGCTCTGGCCGCGCTGCCTGGAAGACACCCTTCAGAAGGTGCTGGGCCTGTCCAGCCTTGATGTTCACTTGGGTAGACAGGAGTTTGATGAAATCGACGTGCGTGATTGCCTGGCTTTGGTGTTCAGCCTGCACCGTGAGCCTTAAATGCTTCTCATTTTGCAGCCAGTGTTGCCACTCTGTTGTTGGGTGTGTTTCTCTTGCCAAGCTGGACCTGTAGGATGGTTGGTTCAGACAACCCGCGGAAAGGAAGTTGGAAAGAGAAGAGAATTAGCAAAGAGGAAAGGTTAGAAAGAGAGAGTTGAAGTTATATAGCTGGGAAAAGAGGAGCAGGAATAGCATAGCAACTAAGAGGAAGAAAAAGTAGAATACTCCCAGGCTGGGGGCCCACACCTGTAATCCCAGTACTTTGGGAGGCCGAGGCAAGATGATCACTCGAGGTGAGGAGTTCAAGATCAGCCTGGCCAACATAGTGAGATCTTGTCTCTACTAAAAATTGAAAAATTAGGCCAGGCGCTTTGGCTCATGCCTGTAATCCCAGCACTTTGGGAGCCCGAGGTGGGCGGATCACGAGGTCAGGAGATCGAGACCATCCTGGCTAACACGGTGAAACCCCATCTCTACTAAAAATACACAAAATTAGCCGGCCGTGGTGGCAGGCACCTGTGGTCCCAGCTACTCGGGAGGCTGAGGCGGGAGAATGGCGTGAGCCCCGGAGGCAGAGCTGGCAGTGAGCCGAGATTGCACCACTGCACTCTAGCCTTGGCGACAGAGTGAGACTCCGTCTCAAAAATAAATAGATAAATAAATAAAATAAAAAATTAGCTGGGCGTGGTGGCACGAGCTTGTAATTCCAGCTACTTGGGAGGCTGAGGTGGGAGGACCGCTTGAGCCCGGGAGTTTGGGGTTCAGTGAGCAATGATAGTACCACTGCACTCCAGCCTGGGTGACAGAATATGACCCAGTCTCTTAAAGAAAATATAAAAGTGGAATACTGATTGGGAGGGAGGAGGCTGTGCCCAAGGATGAAGTTTCCTATGGCCGGCCTTGTTGTGTGCAAAGGGCCAGGCTTGGGACCCTGTTCAGGACAATTGGCAAAAACTGTGCTGACCCCATAGTCAGGAAAGCAGCTATGGTCCCTGCCCTCACTGCGACCAGGGAGGGAGCTGCTTCCGTGGGCTGCTGCTCCTGCGGGGGCTTTATTGAGACCCACTTCACGTACCATACAATTCACCCAGTTAAAGTATACAATTCAGTAGCTTTTTAATATATTTGAGTATCTGGGAGAGTTTTGCATCCATTGCCACAATCAACTTTAGAACATTTTAAATTAACTGATTAATTTTTAAGAGATAAGGTCTCACTCTATTGCTCAGGCTGGAGTGCAGGGGCATGATCATCACTTATTGGAACCTGGAACCCCTGGGTTCAAGTGATCCTCTCACCTCAGCCTCCCAGGTATAGCTGGAAGCACAAGCTCATGCCATCATGCCCAGCTAATTTTTGTTTTTAAAATTTTGGTAGAGACTGGGTCTCACTGTGTTGCCCAGGCTGGTCTCAAACTTCTGCCCTCAAGTGATCATCCTGCCTCGGCCTCCCAAAGTGCTGGGATTACAGGTGTGAGCAACTGCACCTGGCCTAGCACATTTTTAGCAGAAAAATGAGCCCCATATTCCTTAGCTGTCACCTCCTAATCCTCCACAGATTTACCTAGTCTGCGCATTTCACAAAAATGGATCATGTGTAATACATGGTCCTTTGTAACTGGTTTCGTTCACATAGCATGTTTGCAGGCTCATTCATATTGTAGCCTGTATCAGTACTTGATTTTTGTTCATTGTTAAATGGTATCCCATTGTATGGATGTACCACATCTTGTTTATCCATTTGTCATTGATGGACATTTGGGCTGTTTCTACTTTTGGCTACTATGAATAATGCTGCTGTGAACATTTGTGTACAAGTTAGTGTATAGACGTGTGTTTTCATTTCTCTTGTGTATGTCCCTAGGAGGAGACTTGCTGGAGCACACGATACCCCTGAGGTTTAACTGGAGAGCTGTTTGCATTCCCACCAGCAGTTCTCCGAGGGTTCCACTTTCTCCACATCCTCCAATGCTTACCTGTCTGTTTCAGACTCTAGCCATCTATCGGGTGTGAAGTCACATCTTATTGTGGTTTGGATTTGCATTTTCCAGATGGCTACTGATGTTAAGTACATGATGTTTGATGTGTTTATTGGCCACTTATGTATCATCTTTGGGGAATTGTCTAGTCAAATCTTTCACCCATTTTTAAATTCAGCCTTTTATTATTTAGTTGCAGTTTTTAGTAGATACAAGTTCCAGTCAGATAATAGGACTTGCAAAAACTTTTCCCCATTCTGCAGGTTGTCTCTTTGCTTCCTTGATTATGCCCTTTGAAGCACAGACTTTTTAAATTATTATTTTTAATTGACAAAAAATTGTGTATATTTATGGTGTAAAACATGATGTTTTGAAATATATATACATTGTGGAGTAATGAATAGTTAATAACACACATAGTTAGTAGTTAATAGCATATAATAGCATAATAATAAATAATGACAATGTATTGTATACTTGCTGAGAGAGTAGTTTGTTTTTTTTTTGTTTGTTCGTTTTTTTTGAGACACAGTCTCCCTCTGTTGCCCAGGCTGGAGTGCAGTGGCGCCATCTGGGCTCACTGCAAGCTCCGCCTCCCGGGTTCACTCCTTTCTCCTGCCTCAGCCTCCCAAGTAGCTGGGACCACAGGTGCCCACCACCACGCCCGGCTTATTTTTTGTATTTTTAGTAGAGATGGGGTTTCACCGTATTAGCCAGGATGGTCTCAATCTCGTGATCTGTCCGCCTCAGCCTCCCAAAGTGTTGGGATTACAGGCGTGAGCCACGGCACCCGGCTGAGAGTAGATTTTAAGTGTTCTTAGCACAAAAAAATTAAGTCCATGAAGTATGCAGGAGTAACATAGGAACTGAGAGGAAGAAAAAATGGAATACTGCCCGGCGCATGTTAATTAGCTTGATTTAGCCATTCCACTGTGATCCATTTTGTAATAATTTTTCACTCCAGAGTGAAGAGAAGTGTGGTAGGGGTACTCTACTGTCAAACTGCTCTTTAAATAAATAAAAGTGAGGGTTATCACAAGAAATTCATGGTGAGCAGGCCTCAGACCAGTCATCTTCGGCTCTGCGGGGCTGGACTTCTCTGGCTGTTTAGAGACCTCAGTGTTGCTTTTCAGTGAGGTCTTTTGGGGAGAATGGCCAGCAGGCATTCATGCTTTTTATTCTTTCAATTAAAGATAAAAATAAAAAAATATGGGCCCGGCGCAGTGGCTCACACCTGTAATCCCAGCACTTTGGGAGGTCAAGGTGGGTGGATTGCCTGAGGCCAGCAGTTCGAAACCAGCCCAGCCAACATGGTGAAAACCCGTCTTTACTAAAAATGCAAAAATCACCCACTTGTGGTAATGTCCGCCTCTAATCCCAGCTACTTGGGAGGCTGAGGCACAAGAATCACTTGAAGCCAGGAGGCGGAGGTTGCAGTGAGCCGAGATCACACCACTGCACTCCAACCTGGGCAACAGAGTGAGACTCTGTCTCAAAAAAAAAAAAAAAAAAAGAATAAAATAGATTAAAAAAATGTAATTGACACATAACAATTATACACATTTGTGGAGCACAGAGTGATATTGCCTATGTATACGGTTTGTAATGATCAAATTGTGATAATCAGCATGTCTATCACCTCAAATACTTATTTCTTTTTATTGGGAGCATTCAAAATCCTCTCTTCTAGCTATTGGAAAATACACACTAAATTACTGTTAACTATAGTCCCCCTGCAGTGCTGCGGAATGCCACAACTTATCCCTCCTCTCCAGCTGTAGTTTAGTATCCAGTAACATACTCTTTTCATTTCCTTTCTTTGGGCAGAAGGCTAGATGTTGCCTGTTTTTGTTTTATTTTTCTGCTTCACATATAGCGCACGAAAGCAGAGTGTATTCAAAAAAGGAAATGTGTTTGAAAAAAAAAAAAGGAAACGAATTTACATAGGACCTGTAAGCATAAGACAAAAAATGGAATCTGGTCATTGACAACCTTAAATATAAAGATGCCAATTTTAGACTGCGACAATGGTCCAGAACATGACAGATCTTTGTGATGACTTTGCCTTGCCCGGCACACTCACAGGCAGCTGCCTTTGCTGAAATGAGGCCTTGTGTCTGCTAGGAGAGTAGCACTCAGATTTTCCACCCATTGCTGAATGAGTTTCCTGAGGCTTCTATAACAGATTACCATACACCAGGTGGCTTAAACCAACAGAAGTGTATTCTCTTACAGTTCTGAGGCTTCAAGGCTGAGACCAGCGTGTGGGCAGGGCCGTGCTCCTGTGGAAAGCTCTAGAGAAAAATCCTTCTTTGCCTCTTCCTGCGTCTGTGGTGGCCGCCAGTCCTTACGTCCCCTGTCTTGCAGCCACGTTGATCTGATTTCTGTCTCTGTCTTCACATGGCTGTCTTCTCTGTCATGAGTCTCTGTGTCTCTGTTTTCTCTGCTTATAAGGATACCAGTCATTGGGTTAGGGCCCGCCATACTCCAGTATAACCTTATCTTAACTAACTATATCTGCAAGGATCGTATTTCCAAATAAAGTGACATTCAGAGGTTCCAGATGGACATGAATTTTGGGGGACACTATTCATTCAACACAGTGTAATCGCCAAAGTCACGTACTGGCACTGTCCTACTGGCACTGGAGGGTTTTTGTTTGCTTGTTTATTTTAAGCATTCCATTTTGCTCATGAATAATGAGTTATTAACAGCAGGAGGTTCAGAAGGTTGTGTGGCTCTTTGGAAATATATGACAATGCTATCTTCTAGATCCCCTCACCTGGGTCAGGCAGTGAGGTGTTGCCCATAGGAGCCTCTATAGGTGCAGGTTCCCCTTGGTACCATGCTTTGCACATCGTGTGAGCTCAGAGTTTGTGGACAGATAGAAACTCAGGAAACACAAAATATCGATCCATATGGTATTTAGCTGAATCTGTGAAGACTGTCATTGATTGCCAAGAATTATGAGGATATTGCTAAGTCAGTGGCAGTCATTTACACTCCACAAAAAGCCATTTTCACATCTCGACACACTGAACATGTATTTTTAGAGAATGACTAAATGCAGTTCCATCCCCTATTAGGAATTCCCTGCTCGCAGCATTCTCCAGGAAAATGTTGTCAAGGAGATTAACTGTCCACATGGGTGAGTCCAGCATTTTTCTGAGGTAGCACAAACACACAGAGCCCATTACAGTTCCAGGACTTGCCCAACAATGTGTAATTGCAGCGGGGAGAGAATCTCATACGGGGTGGAGCCCCCGAGGCCCCCGAGCCACACACAGCTTTGGAATGAGGTGGGAGAGGGTATGGGCAGCGGTCCTAGACATCCAGACACTGTGGAGGGTGCTGGGTATGCACGGGGTCCAGCCTGTCTGCTGAGGAGCGGGCAGGGCATGGTGGGGAAGGTGGGGTGAGTGGCTGGGACTTTTGTTTGCATTTCATTGCAGACTCATCATTTGCCCCAAATATAATTTTGGCTTTGAATCATGTAGCGAAGCAGCCAGATGAAGGGAGGCCCGGCACAGCCAAAGCTCTGAAGCCTGGGAAGTATTGCCGTCCCACTCTGAGAACATAGTTCAGTGAATCATTTTCCTGGCTTCCTTTCAAAGTCTGAGGAAATGAAGTCCTTAGGTTTGAAACAGTGATTCCCAGGAGCAGGTAAGTGCTGAAAGCCTCATCAGGTGGCACGTTTACTAAAGCCACTTGTTTCTTTTGAAACAGGTTTAATATAGACCATCTTAAAATGTCATGACCTCATGGGACAATGCAGGGGGACAGAAATAAGTTGTCACCTCTGAGTTTGGGACTGAAGATCCCAGAGCCACAGTGAGGGAAGACGGAAGGGGGCCGTGGCGAACTGGGCTGTTAAGAGATCATGTGGCCAGTGCAGGGACACAGGACCCCCCCGGAGAGAAAGGGTCTGGGTCTCCTCCTGAGAGCCTGTTCAGGAATCTCCAAATTCTTGAACTTGTGGCGTGGTTTTCTTTGGAAAGGAAGGAAGGTGTAAAGAAGCCCAAGTCAGTTTCTCACTTGAGAAATGCTGTTGCAAAGGGGCAGTGTGGTGGGAATTTTAACCTTTGCCACTCCCTCTAGCAGAACTGTGTGGTTTTGGACAGGCTGGCCGCTAGTTTCAGGGCACAATAGAGGGACACTTCCACCCCTTTCAGTGACTTCCCAAGGTGGCTCTGCAGAGCACCCCTTAGGAGAGTGGAGCCTGGCCTCTGAGGCCATTCTGAATGAGGGGAAGGTGGGGATGACCCAGGAAGGCCAGCGCTGCATGGCTGCACCCCCTCTCCTGCATTTACCCCCAGGTGCCTGTGCTGGCAGCGGCACATCACCAGGCCTCCTCCTCTCCGTGGCTCCATTCACAGCTCCTGCTGGCTGAGGCCTTGGACCTGGCTGCCCACCGCACTTCTCCCCGCCTGAACCACCTCCATCTCCCTCCAGATGGTGACCGAGGCCTCCTAGCTTACCCTAACCACCTCCTGCCTCCACCCCGGCCCCTAGCACACACCTGAGCATCCTCCACCCAATGGCCAAAGTGATTCCTTACAATAGAAAGCAGACTGGGGCCCTCCTCTTCTTGGAAGCCTCACTGTCTTCCCTTCCCTGGGAGTGAGATCCAAAGTCTTTGCTTGACCCACAGGGTCCTGTACCTGGTGGCCCACTGTGTCCCTCCCCCGTACCCTCACTCTCCGCCTCCCATCCCACTACGCCTTGGCCTCTTGGGACTCCAGAGCGAGCCGTGCCTTAGAGCCCTGGGCTGCTGCCCCTTCCCCCAGCTCTCTCCTGGCTCCTGCCTAGTTCAGGCACCTTTCCCAGTGTCACACTCCCAGGGAGATCCTCCCTAAATGCCTCATCTCTGTCCCTACTCTGTTTATCTTACTACAGTCTGACCCACGTATGGATTTGGGCATTTAGATGTTTCTCTACCCACCCTCCTCCGCATTAGAATGTTAACTCTTGGGAGCAAGAGCTTTGTTTTCTGTGTGGCGGCATGCTTGGTTCCTGCTCAAGAAAAAAAAATTTTTTTGAAAGAACAAATAACATCAACACTCAATACTCATTTATTCACATATTTAAGACATTTTTCCTGGGTATCCCATTTTAATTCATCCTTAAAATGGAACTGATCTTGCCTCCTTAGCCTAAGTTCAGGGGAAATGGATGCAAAGCTCTGAAAGTCACTGATCTGGGTGCTGTGAGGTGACATCATCACAGGTGACATCACCAGCCAGCCATGGAGAGGTTTGAACGAACCTTCCCCCTTTCTCCCAGACAGATGTGACCAGGCTTTATGAAAATTTGTCTGTAAAGAGGCACTTTTCACCACATTATTTTAATACACTTGTGTTATTACCAGAAAAATGGGAAAGAAGGAAATAAAATTTGCATCGACTTTCCGCCTCCTTACTCCACGTTGGTTCTTGCAAACAGACTGGAGTTGTGTGTCTGTTACCCCCTCCTTTCTCGCACATGTTCCAGCGTTATGCATGATGTGGAGCAAAGCTTTATTAATAAGGTTGCCAGGAATCACCAGCCATAGAAATGCCTACCTTTTTGAGTGAACAATTCCATTTCTATAAATCTATCCTGGGAAGATAATCTTTGATGCAGTCAAAGATCACAGTGCCCGAGGATAGTCAGTTTTTACAACAGCACATGTAAAACACAGCATGAGTGCTGCCAAATCCATATAATAATTAGATATCATGGTTCACTTACTGGAATACTGTGTATTTATTAAATTATATTTTAAGATACTTTCTGGTTACATGGAAATGCTTATGACTGGATAAAGCAATACAAATGATAACAAATACGGGATGTTAAATTTCCCTCTAAGCCCTGCTTTAGCTGCATCCCGTATGTTTTGGTGTGTTGGATTTTTGTTTGCGTTCATCTCAAAGTATTTCCTAATTTCCGTGTGATTTCCCCTGTGATCCATTGGTTATTTAAGAGTGGATTGTTTAATGTCCACGTATGTATGTCTTTCTCAAATTTGCTTCAGTTATTGATTTCATTTCTAAGTTCATTCCAAGAGCCTACTTAGTATGGTATCGATCCTTTAAACTTACTGAGTTTTGTTCTATGGCTTAGCTTATGGTCTGTACTACAGGACACGCCACGTGCACTTAAGAAGAAAGTTTATTCTACTGTTGCTGGGCAGAGTATTCTACAGTTGTCTGTCAGGTCTAGTTCATTTATAATATTTTTCAAGTCTTCTATTTCCTTGTTAATTTCTGCTAGTTCTATTTATTGTTGAAAGTGGGGCACTGGATTCTCTGTTATTGTTAAATTGTCTATTTCATCCTTCAGTTCTGTCATTTTCTGCTTCATTTGTTTTGGGAACTTACAGTTAGCTTCATTTTTGCTTATAATTGTTATGGCCTTCTGATGGATTGACCTTTTTTTCATCATAAAATGTCTTTCTTGATTTGTACTATCATTTTTTTGTTTTAAAGTCTATTTTTTGTTCTAATACTAACATAGCCAATTCAGCTCTTTTGGTTACTTTTTGCACAGTGTAACTTTTTTCATCCTTTTACTTTCAACCTATTTGTATTTTTTAATCTAAAGTGTGTCTCTTACAGATCACATATAGATGGATTGTGCTTTTTAAAAAATCTATTCTGTCAGTTCTGCCTCTTAATTGGAGAACTTGACCATTTACATTTAATGTACTTACTGAGTTGGTAGGATTTAAGTCTGCCATATTGCTATTTGCAGTCTTTATGTCTTAGGTATTTTTATTTGTCTGTTCCTCCATTACTGCCGCCTTTTTTGTCAAATAGATATTTGCTTGTGTGCCATTTTTATCTCCTTGTCATTTATTTTATCACTTTGGGGGTTATTTCCTTAGTAATCACCTTGTGGGTTTTAATTAGCATCTAAATTTCCAGCAATGTAGGTCAGATTAATACCACCTTAATTACAGTGCCATGAAAACTTTGTTCATATGTAGCCCCACCATCCTCCCTCCACTGTGCTGGTGTTGTCAAGTCCTGTCAATTACATCTTGTATACCTTGTATGCCCATCAACATAGATTTGTAAATGTTGCTTTATGTCTTTTAAATCAAGGGGAAAAAAGAGTTACAAAGAAAAACTACCTTTGCATTTTATATTTACTTAGTAGATACTTTTACTGGTGCTCTTTATTTCTTCTGATCTATTCAAGTTACAGTCTAGTGTGCTTTCATTTCAGCCTGAAGGACTCTGTTTATTGTTTCTTGTAGGAGAGGGGTCTGCTAGTGGTGACTTCTCTGTTTTTGTTTATCTGGGAATGTCCAATTTCACCTATGTATTTTGTGTAGTTTTTGCTGAATATAGAATTAGCGACTGGCAGTCTTTATTTCAGCACTTTGAAGATGTCACCTGACTCCATTTTGTCCTTCACGTCCTTCATGATTTCTGATCAGAAGTCAGCTGTTAAACTTACTGAAGGTCCCTTGTATGACTTGCATCACTTTTTTCTTTCTTTCTTCCAGATTCTTTCTGTTCATTACCGAATGTAGGGTTTTGGGCTTTTGACAGTTTGATTATGATGTGTATAAGTTTAGATCTCTTTTGAGTTTATCTAACTAGGAATTGTTTATTTAGCTTCTTACATGTGCAGATAGATGATTTTCATCAAGTTTGGGAAGTTTTCAGCCATTATCATTATCATCATTATTATTATTACTTCTTTTTCTTGAGACAGAGTCTTGTTCTGTTGCCCAGGCTGGAGTACAGTGGCACGATCTAGGCCCACTGCAGCCTCTGCCTCCTGGGTTCAAATGATTCTCGTGCTTCAGCCTCCCATGTAGCTGAGATTACAGGTGTGCACCACCACATCTGGCTAATTTTTATATTTTTGGCAGAGATGGGGTTTTACCATGTTGGCCAGGCTGGTCGTAAACTCCTGACCTCAGGTGATTCCACTTTTTGAGACAAAGTCTGGCTCTGTTGCCTAGGCTGGAGTGCGGTGGTGCAATATCGGCTCACTGCAACCTCCACCTCTTGGGTGCAAGCCATCTTCCCACCTCAGCCTCTCAAGTAGCTGGGACTACAGGTGCACCTTCGCACCTGGCTGATGTTTGTATTTTTATTTTGTAGAGATGGGATTTTGCCATGTTGCTCAGGTTGGTCTCAAACTCATGAGCTCAAGCGATCCACCCACCTAGGCCTCCCAAAGTGCTGGGATTACAGGCATGAGCCACCGTACCCAACCCAGTCATTATTTTTTCAACTGTACTTTCTTCTTTTTGTCTCTCTTTTTTCTTTCTGGGACTCCCATTATTCATACATCTGTTTGCTTGATGATGTCCTACGGGACTCTGAGACTGTTGCTATTTCTTCATTTTTTTTCTGTCTGTTTATCATACTGAGCAATCTCAATTGACCTATTCTCAAGTTTGCTGATTGTTTTTTCTGTTTGCTCAGAAATCTGCTGTTGAGATCTTCAAATTTTTATTTCATTTATTGTACTTTTCAACTCCAGAATTTGTATTTGGTTCTTTTTTGCAATATCTCTTTATTGATATTCTCTATTTCATGAGACATTATTATCATACTTTTCTGTAGACATGGTTTTCTTTAATTTTTTGGAAATATTTATTTTTTCTAGTAACTCCAACATCTGAGCTTGCTTGGGGACAATTTTTCCTGTGTGCATGGACTTTCTTTTCTTATTTGTTGGCATGTCTCATAATTTTTTTGTTGTTGAAAATGGCATTTAAAATAAAACAATGTGGAAACTTTGGAAATTGAATTCTTTTTTTCTCCCCAGGGTTTGTTGTTGCTGTTTGTTGCTATTGTTGTTTATTTATTGACTTTTATGAACCAGCTCTGTAAGGTCTGTATTCTTTGTCCTGTGGTAGCCACTGAAGACTGTGCTTGATTATCTTAGTGGTCAAATAATGATGGACAGAGTCTCCTAATCTTTGCTGATGTTATGTGTGCATGTTTTGGGCACACCTTCAACTCTGAGCCAGGTGGTTACCTCTCTGTCTTAGCCTTCATTCCTGCTTGTGCAGAACCTCATGTCTGCCAAAGCTGAGGGCTCATGGCCCTCTCATGTCCCTTCTGAGTGTATGCATAGCTCTGAGCATGTTTATATTCCTACACATGGGTGTGGTCTTAGAGATTCCCAGGAATATGCTGGAGTTTCAAAGCCCTCTGTTAATATCTCATTCCTCAGGCTTTCTTTTTAAGATTTTGATCTGCTTGTTGTTTGCCCCACCTCATAGCCACCATCTCAGATGTTCTAAACAACTGCCTCTAATTTGACAAATGTCAAGTGAAAACGCTTTTCCTAATGGGTGAGTTCCAAGTCAGGTTAAATAAACACAGACTTGTGAATGGGATTTTCCAGGGAAAAGCAGCCTGGTCAACTAATGATAGTTCTCTGGTATGGGCTTTGAAGGAGCTCCAACCTCGAATTTTGCCCTTCGGTAGCTGGTTTCTTGTTTTGTTTTGTTTTGTTTTTCCCAGAGTGAAGGTGTCGTTCTATCACCTGGGCTGGAGTGCAGTGGTGCTCACTGCAACCTCAGACTCCTGGGCTTAAGCGAACCTCCTGCCTTAGCCTTCCAAAGCACTGGGATTACAGGCATGAACCACAGCACCTGGCCTAGTGGCTGGTTTTAAAGGCTACCTTGGAGCTGCAGTGAGGAGAGTAGGAAATACGGAAACGTAAAACGCTACAAAGCTCACTGTTCTTACTGAGTTTCAGCCATTTTTCTTGAATAAATGTTTTTGGATTGTTGCTAATATTTGATTAATTTTCAGAGACCTGAAAAAAGTTGATTTTGACGGTATTTTGCCATTGTTCTCTCTCACTGCTTTTATGAAGGAGATAATTTTTGGAGGTCCTTCACTCCACCATCTTCACTGACTTCCTAAACATAGGATATTAAATGTGTTTCGTTAAAATGCAAAAAAAAAAAAAAACACACACAAAAAGTGAGAATGTTAAAAATGTAAGGAAGAGGAATGAGTTGAGAAATGTTTTTTCTTTTTTCTATTTTTTTTTTTTTGAGACAGGGTCTTGCTCCCTTGTCCAGGCTGGAGTGCAGTGGTGTGATCACAGCTCTCTGTAGCCTCAACCACCTGGGCTCAAGCAACCCTTCTGCTTCCACATCCCTAGAAGCTGGGACCACAAGTGTACACCATCACACCCAGCATTTCTTTGTATTTTTTTAATAGAGGTCTCACTGTGTTGTCCAGTCTAGTCTGGAACTCCTGGGCTCAAGTAATCCTCCTGCCATGGCCTCTGAAAGTGGTGGGATTACAGGCATGAGCCACCTTGCCAGGCTGAGAAATGTTTTTTTCAATTACTATGTTTAGTGAAATATTTTTTTTCTCTTTAATAGTAGGAAGTGTAATCTATAAATGTTATATTCATATACAAGTAAGTTTGCCTTGTAGCAAATTTTTAGTAAGTGGTGGGGGTTGGTAAACTACAGCCCCCATTTTCGTAAATCCAGTCTTAACTGGCATGTAGGCATGCTGTTCTGCTAATGCACTGCCCGTGGCTGCATCTGTGCTGTAGTTGCAGAGGTGCATAGGTGCAAAAGAACGCACATGACCTGCAGAGCCTAATATGTTTACTCTCTGGCTCCTTACAGAAATAGTTTGCCAACCCCTCGTGCATAGGAAAGTAAGTAGCTATTTTATTTTAAATATAGTAATGAATTGGGAAATGTGTTAACTTTAAGTTTGCTTATTACTACATGGTTATTTTAAAAGCTCTAATGTCAAGAATGAATTTATGAGAACATTTTGGTTGTGGGCAATGTTATGCTATGAAAATTTTTTGCTTGCCTTATAGAAATTAAAGATCAACAATAGTTGAGTTAATTCAAGTAATGCTTTTGGTGCTGTGAATAAATTGTACCGTAACTTCCTTGGAAGACTTCTATTTAGAAACAATTTGGTCCAGTCACTTAAATCTTAGCATTTGAAATACAACATAGTGGGTATCTGACTCAAAAGCAGGAGGAATGCCTGTGTAAGGGCACTGACCCCACAGAAGGGCACCTGGGGGACGTCCTCAAGTTTTCAGTTGTTATTTGAACTTGTGCAGGCCACTTTGTTTTTCTGGTCTCAATTTTATCCTCTATTAAATGGGTGTAATATAACTCTTCTGAAAACATTGTATGAATTAAATGAGGTTGTGTGTGAATATTCCTCATGATCTATAAGAGTTGAACAATTGTCTGTACTATTACTATCATCGATACTGTTGCTAATGTGTAATCAAGATGCAGAAGAGGTTTTTTTCTGTTGCTAATGCCATTAGCCATACCATTGAAGCCAGATTCTTTAAAATATTAAACCCTCCATTAATTTAAAAACACTGTGTGCTTTCCAAGCCCAAACCCCAGTTTCTGTTTCACTCTTGAGATTTTTTTCAAAAACAATAAAAGTTTAATTTAAAAAATGTTGCTTCTTTGAATAGTTAATTTCTGAAAGTTTGTACATTGCAGAAGCATCAATAGTTCTTATTTTTTTCATGTCCTTGAAAAAAAAAGAGTTGTTATTTAGATTAAATGACTCACAATTTAGTGAAGGTAGAATTTACAATCCTAGATGGAAAGTCTAAGAAAAAATATTACATAGGAATCTAGCTTGTTTTTATTTTAGGTTGAAATTAGCAATTCTATTTGGCTAAAACTTTGACTTACTGCAGTTAAACATTGATTCAACGGTGAATTGATGATATACTGCTTTGTATAAGGTATAAAAGGTGAGGGGAAATAGTTATCTCTAAGGTAATTTTCTCTAATAATTATTTTCTAAGCAGCAGGTTCTGTATGTGTGTGAGAGAGAGAGGGGTACAGAGGGTATGTGACTAGGTTTGTCCTTGGAGTGAGACAGGTCAGGGTTTTGTTTCCACTCTGCTTAGAAGCTCATTGTGTCAATTTGGGTGCGACACTTAGGCCTTGTGCTCCTCTGTAAACTGGGAGTATTACTTGCCTCATGTAGCCTTATTGTGCGATAGGCAAAGGTGTGTCAGGACCCTGGGGCCTGCCTGCCACTCTGATCATTAGGCCAGCAGAAATGGGAGGGCAAAGCATAGGTCAGATCAATAAAATTCACACCTGTCCCAAAGTTACATATCCAGTCTAGAATGTTAATGAAATGCTGAAAAAACATAGGTTATTATTTACCATTATTTGTGTTTTCAGAAGTACTACCGAACAACTTGGCATCCTACAACATATATTTGTAAATAACACACACAGCCAGCCCTCCGTATCCATGGGTTCTGCATCCCTGGATTCAGATCTAAAAGTATTAAAGACAAAAATCACTGGGTCTATACTGAACACATACAGACCTTTTTTTCTTGTCGTCATTCTCTAAACAATACAATATAATAACTATTTACGTGGCATTTCCATTGTATTAGGTATTATAAGCATCTAGAGATGATTGAAAGTCTGTGGGAGGATGTGTATAGATTATATGCAAACACTATGCCATTTTAGATCAGAAACTTCCGCATCTGTGAATTTTGGTATGGGGGACTCCTAGAACCAGTTTCCCACAGGATTCCGTACTGGAGGGTTGACTGAATTTTCATAATTCTAAAAGGTACACAGTATTTCCTGTAGATCATTTGGACCCTAGAGTAATGTGGAAGAAAACAGCCATCATTTGCAGGATTCTTTGCCATTCAGAGCTGTTACCAATTTGGCATAGCTGTAGTTTTGTGTCCCATGTTTGTCCCAACAGTATTATGTTTCCTACGCCATGAAATATTCTGCAAAAATATGATTTCTAAAGACTACAATGTTTCTGCTCTAAAGAGTGTGACCATTGACTTCATTATTTGTTTTGACCTGGGCATAGATCCTTGTAGACAAATTTGTGCACTCTTCCAGTGATTTCAAGCAAAACCCCTTCCAAAATTGGATGCCACAGTTGAAATGCTCACCCAGAGAGGCCCCTCCCCAACTCTCACTGACACTGGGCCACCCCCTTAAATTTGATCTTTCCTTTAAGGCAGGCAAAAATGACATCTTTTTGTTTCCAGTTTTTATCTATTCAATGTTGTTTCTGTAAGGTCACTAGCCATATGCTTTTTTTGTTTGTTTTTTTTTTTGTTTTTTTTGAGACAGGGTCTTACTCTGTCACCCAGGCTGGAGTGCAGTGGTGAGAACACAGCTCTCATTGCAGCCTCGATCTCCCGGGCTGCAGTGATCCTCCCACCTCAGCTTCCTGAGTAGCTGGGACCACAGGCTCATGCCATGACACCCAGGTAACTTTTTTTGTAGGGGTCTAGCTATGTAGCCCAGGCTGGTCTTGAACTCCTGGGCTCAAAGGATCCACGTGTCTTAGCTTCCAAGCACGCTGGGATTGTAGGCATGAGCCATTTGTGCCCAGTCTGCTGCTTCTTTAAATTGCCTGTTTCTTTGCCAGTTTTTCTAAAAATTAAGGTTTTTTAAATTAAAAAGTTTATAGGATATATTGATATGACTGTAATGTATGTTTATTTTTATCTGTCAAGTATTTTTCCCACTTTATCATTACTTTCAATTTTGTTTAGAGTGTTTTTGACACATAAAGTGGAAAACTTGCATACCTTCCAATATATCAACCTTTTCCCTTTTAAGTACTTTTTAACTTAAAAAGTTCTTTTGAACCCTGAAATATGCAAATATTTGCCTACATTTATTTCTGTTTGCCTTATGGTTTTATGTTTTAATTTATCTGGAACTTTTAAATATGTATTCTGTTTGGGTACAGGTGTTGTTTTTCCCCTTCATATAATAAATTTTCCCAAGCAGCATTTTTGAATTTTCTCTTCTTTACCACATAAAATTCGACCTTTATTGTACTCTTTTTAAAACATTTTTTCCCAGACCACTGCTATTATCTTGCACACTATGCCGAACATTTATAAACATTTCAACACATAGTGGTGAAAACCCACCTCTGAAATTGTTTTCTTGTGTGTTTTCACCTATTTATTTTTCCATGTAAGTTTTAGAATTATTGTCAGGTTCTCTCCTCGACTTTGGAGTTTTAGTTGGGATTGCTCTTCTGTCAGGAGAATCAACATCAGTATGGTATACTGTGTTTCTGTTTAAGACACGGTATGTCTTTGTATTAGCCCAGTTTTCCTTTTTAAGTCTTTCAGAAAGTACTGCCATTTTCTCCATAGACATTCTGTCCATTAATTTTGAAATTTACTTCTTTAACTTTTGTAATTTTTGTGTTATGGTGAATGGACCTACCTTCCGTGGACAAACCCCTTTTCCCAGATTTTTGAGCTAGTTATTGCTGATGCAGATTGTTCATGTGAAGCTGGCTTATTTATTGAAGGTTTAAAATTATGATCCTGTAGTTCTATCATATTTTTATTTATCTATATGTATTTCTATTTCTATCTATAATACAATGTATTCCTTCCTTTAGTGCTGTTTTTAATTTTTAAATGTTTAAAAATTTGTATAAATTGAAGGGGTACAAGCGTATTTTGCCTGGGGGTGAAGCCTGGGCTTTTAATGTATCTACCACATGTATATAATGCACATTAAGTAACTTCTCATCCCTCACCTCCTTCCGCCCTCCCCCCTTTTTAAGTCTCCAATATTATCATTTTACACTCTATATCCTTGTGTTCATGTTATTTAGCTCCCACTGATAAGTGAGAATATGTGGTATCTGACTTTCTGTTTCTTAGTTGTTTCACTTAAGATAACAACCTCCAGTTCCATTTATGTCACTGCAAAAGACATGATTTCATTCTTTTTATGGCTGAATAGTATTCCAGTGTATATATGCCACATTTTCTTTATCCAGTTATCCTTTGATGGACACTTAGGTTGATTCCACATCTTTGCTACTATGAATAGTGCAGTGATAACAATACAGGTGCAGGTGTGTCTTTTTGATATAATGATTTTTTTTTTCATTTGGGTACATACCCTATCGTGGGATTGCTGGGTCAAATGGCAGTTCCATTTCTAGTTCTTTGAGAAATCTCCATATTGTTTTCCATAGATTTGTACTAATTTACATTTCCACCACCAGTGTTTAAGCGTTCCCTTTTCTCTGCAGTCTCACCAGCACCTGTTATTTGTTAACTTTTTAATAATTGCCATTCTGGTTGGTGTAAGGAGGTATCGCATTGGGGTTTCAATTTGCATCTCTTTGATGATTAGTGACGTTGAGCATTTTTCACTTGCTTGTTGGCCATTTATATGTCTAGTTTTGAAAAATGTCTATTCATGTTCTTTGCCCACTTTTTAATGGAGTTACTTGGTTTTTGTAAATTTGTTTGAGTTCCTTGTAAATTCTGGATGTTAATCCCCTGTCAGCGGCATAGTTTGCAAATGTCTTCTCTTATTCTGCAGGCTGTCTATTCACTCTGTTGATTATTTCTTTTGCTGTGCAGAAGCTTTTTTAGTTTAAGTCCCATTTCTCTATTTTTGTTTTCGTTGCTTGTGCTTTTGAGGTCTTCGTCATGAATTCTTTGCCTAGACCAACGTCCAGCAGTCTTCCCTCGGGTTTCTTCTAATACTTTTATAGTTTCAGGTCTTAGAGTTAAGTCTTTAATCTATCTTGATTTGTGTATAGAGTGAGAGATAGGGGTCCCAGATCATTCTTCTGCATGTAGCAATCCAATTTCCCCAGCACCATTTATTGAAAAGGGTGTCCTTTTTCCTGGTGTTACGTTTTTGTCGACTTTGTGAGATCAGTTGAATGTATCAGTGTTCTCTTCCATTCCATTGGTCTGTGTGTCTATTTTTGTACCAATATTGTGCTGTTTTGATTACTAAAGGCTTCACATATAATTTGAAGTCAGATAATGTGATGCCCCGGCTTTGTTCTTTTTGCTTAGGACTGTTTTGGCTATTCAGGCTCACTTTTGGGTTCATATGAATTTTAGGATGGTTTTTTTCTAATTTTGTGAAAAGTGATATTAGTATTTTGATAGGGATTGCTTTGAATCTGTAGATGGCTTTGGGCAGTATGGTCATTGTAATGATACTAATTATTCTGGTCCACGAACATGGAACATGGAATGTTTTCCATGTTTGTGTCATCTACAGTTTATTTTATTAATGTTTTGTAGTTTTCTAAAAATACTTGTTTAATATGAACTTACTACCTTTCTTTAACCTTTTTTTGTATATTTGGCTTATAATATATTTTTCGTATTAAAAACTTATTCTAGATTTAACTTGCATTAGGAGTATCTCCTATAAAGAGCAAATATTTTGACTTTTACATAGTTTGCATAAAAATCAAGTTAAATTGAAAATTCAAGTTTCCTTAGAGATCACTTTAGTGGGATTTAAGTTCAAATAAATAATAGTATGAGATATTTATGTGTTTCTAGGTTTTTTTAATATATTAGTGAATTTATATCCCAGATGTTTCAAACAATTTCCATGCAAATTGCTTTTTTTAAAAATAATTTTTTAAAAGCTAGTAAAATTTAGCAGTGGGGGGATTGTATAGTGACAGCAATGTTAATAAGTTCTGATAACCCACTACCATCTGACCAGCCAAAAATTAACTAGAATACTAAAACTAATTTCTAGTGAAAACCAAAAATGAATACAACTTTGTATATTCTCTTTAAAGGAATGTACATTGCAAACAGAATTTTATCATCATCATATTATTACATGTAATCTTTCAAATTCTTTAAACCGTTTCATCTTCACAAGAGCCCCGTGTTGTATTGTTCCCATTTTAGAGACAAGAAATCTGACCCCAGGAAAGGTTAAATAATGTGTAGAGGTGGATATCCATGTATTGAGCTGAACTGACAATTGAACCTTGTTATTTCTTTTGAACCATGGTGATGATCAGTGTCCTCCCAGCTATAATCAGAGTAGACTAGAGATTTGGGGGAAAGGAAAGAATAATTTGTGTGCATTTGAGCAGTTGTTTTCTGCACTTCTGTAAATTATTTTATCAATCTTATTTAGACCCTTTCATAGGATTAAATATGCTAAGTGAAGTTGTATTTCCCCATATTGCTAATATTTGCATTTCAGTTGTCTTTATACTATCCAAATTGGAAATTGATTTATTAAACTGATCTAATTTAAATAAGAACCTCACCTTCTAGTTGGATACAAACCACATTGTTAGAGAGAGAGGCTGGGTGCGGTGGCTCACGCCTGCAATCCCAGCACTTTGGGAGGCTGAGGTGGGAGGATCACCCAAAGTTAGGAGTTTGAGACCAGCCTGACCAACATGGTGAAACCCTGTCTCTACCAAAAATACAAAAATTAGCCAGGCATGGTGGCGGGCGCCTGTAATCCCAGCTATTTGGGAGGCTGAGGCAGGAGAACTGCTTGAACCTGGGAGGCAGAGGTTGCAGTGAGCCAAGATTGCACCATTGTACTCCAGCCTGGGTGACAGAGCGAGACTCTGTCTCAAGAAAAAAACAAAAACAAAACAAAACCAAAAAACAGAGAGAGAGAAAGACAGAGAAAGTTGCATTATAGATAGTATATTATATAGACTAGCTAAATTGTAAAATTCAGGTAGGATTTTTTTTTCCTACACATTAACAAATTTTAGGTTAGAGGCCCACACCGTTTATAGCCAAGAGTGTAAGATACAACAGAATTTTTTTTGTTTGTTTTACAATTGGATTTTTAAGATCCATTTTTATGCCAGATTTTTCTTTGTAAGCCTCTTCTTTCCCTAACAAGGAGAATAATACATTAAAAGTGGAGATCTTAGATCTTTTCACTTTGCAGATAGGTCATACCTTAAAAAATAATGTGACTAAGACAAAAAAATTATGTTTTCTTCTTATTTGTTAATTCTTTACAATATCATACCGTCTCAGAATTGAATAGCATTATCACCGACATTGCAAGGTTAGGGAAAGAAGTACACAAATCTTTCGCATGGTGGATTGTTACTTTTTAAAGAGGTATGAAAGGAATGGCAGTACTTGTGAAAATATTTTTTAAAAAGCTCTCTAAAAATTGCACAGAATTCTGTATTTCATATTTTTACTGTACCCATCACTTAACACAAACTTGAATTTATATCATATGTAGAACCAATTTTATTATTTAGGGACCGTCAGAAAGGAAAAAGTTTTTCATTTGGTTTTCCATATTTTTCCACTTTTAATTTTAAAAACTGAACTAGAAAAGCAGCTGGATGTGGTGGCTTACATCTGTAATCCCAGCACTTTGGGAGGCCAAGGTGGGAAGATAGCTTGAGGCCAGAAGTTTGAGACCAGCCTGGTCAACAAAGTGAGACCCCTCATCAAAAAAAACAAAGCAAAATAAAACAAAACCCAGAGAAGCAACATAAGATCTTTCATTTCACTTATAATAATTTTTATTGTTCTCGAAGTTCTGTTTACCAACTTAAAATATTTTAAATTCTAAGTTTCAAATATTATTGATAGTAAATAAGCAAGTATATCTCACTTTAAAAAATATTCTTAATTTTCCTATAAGTCAATTATTACTGGCATTCTAGATCTTCTACCGTGGAAATCTTTGATTTAAAAATATCTAAGTAATTTCTTCTTTTCTTAAAACTTTCCACCCTACACAATTGTCAGATTAACCCTTAGATTATTAGCATAGAGTTAGGCAAAATTTCCTTACATTTGCAAGAGTTGGAACCAAAATAAGTCAATTAAAACACAAAGATACTCTATATAAAGCAAAAATGTGTTATTCTAAGCAGGCGAGCTAGTTGCTTAATAAAGTTAGCTTTTCTCCTAAAATGGCTAACAAATAGAAACAGTCTTTTAACATTTCCAACATTTTATTTTCGTGGAAAAAGCAGTTTTTCACATGTGCAGAAAATGGAATGATTAAATAAGCTTAACAAATTTTTTTGCAGAATTCATTTTTGGGTTTGGTTTTAGTCTGTGTGATGGGTAACAGTTGCGAGAGGTGAACTCTTAAGTTTCTTTGCTCTTTAGGATTCTGCAACTTGCAGAACATCTGCTAAAAAGTAGCAAAGCTGATGCATTTAAGTTTTCCATCACTGGTTGGCATCTCGACACCCCCATGAAATAGACTGCCCATGCACTGTATAGATGCTATTTTTAAAGTGTCGGGAATAGACTCTTGAGGCAGATAGGGAGCTACCGTTCATCCTTTACACAGTGAGAAGTCTGTGCACATATAAAATGAGAAAACAGGCTTAGAGTGTGTGAGCAGCCTGCCCGTGGTCACATCCCAAGAAGCCCATGCATGTTCTGAAACTGGAAGTCACGTGAAACATTTTGAGCACTGATGATCTCCCTTTATCAGTAATTTCAACTAACTGGGTTGTTTAAGTGAGTAGGCATTTATTTGTGGTTTTGTTTTTCTTATGATGGAGAATAGTAGTCGGGTTTCATGGAGCGTAACTTCTGAGTGCCTGGTGGTGTGATGTCGACCTGGTAGTAGGGGATGGAGGGAGATCCATCTAATCAAGTTGATTTTAACAACCAGCAGGACATTCTGTTGGGCATCTTTTTCCTTAAAAGGACATTCTGATTCTTTGAGAGAACCTTCCTGTGTATACATTCTTCATAAGCCAGGTGGATTTTTCGTATTTATAAGGTACACACCATACACAAAAATGCATGTGTTTGTGCATTTTCTCACTGGCTTTTCATCATTGGTGCCAGGCTGTGACAAGCTTTGCAGTACCAGACTATGTGGCTGGCTCTGCCTTTTTCTTCTGTCTGTCCTCAGATTTGGAAATAAAAGGTGTTTGCACTTTTTATACGCCAAATGACTTCCCAAATGAGACAGAACGGTTCCAAGGGCAATGCACGGTAGCTTAAGTTAACTTAAAGAAGGCTTATTCACTTGTCTTTAGAAGTAGCTGACTCCCACCTGCCCAGCTTCCCAGCTTTAGGACTGTGGGGACTCCAGGGATCACAATGAAGTGGGCATATTCCAGAGCGATTTTGAAGAAACAGAGGAAGATGAGGTTCCTGTCATCACGGATGGTACTGAGGAAAAGGGCAAATGGGATTTGGATTCCAGTCCCAATCACGTTGGTCTGCAGACATCATTGGTGGAACCAGGCAGAGGGGCATCTTTGCCATTTCTGGTGAGTTTCATTCCTTGTGTACACGCAGATTTTGTCTGGCATCATTTTCCTTCTGCCTGAAGGACTTCGTTGAACATTTGCCATGGTACAGGTCTGCCCATGATGAATGTCTTTGTTTAAGTCTGAGCAAGTCTTTATTTTTCCTACGTTTTTAAAATACATTTGCACCAGTGCAGAGTTCTAGGCGGGCAGTTTTCTTTCACTTCCTGACATATGATGCTCCTCTGTCTTTTTGCTTCATTGTTTCCAATGGGACATTTGTTATAGTTCTTACCTTTACTTCTCTGTATATATAAGGTATTAATATTTTTTTCTCAGTTTTCAAGATTTTTCCTATCATTGATTTTAAGCAATTTGAATATGGTGAGCCTGGGTGTAGTTTTCTTCTTGTTTCCTGTGCTTGGGGTTTACTGAGTGTTTTGAATCTGTGGCTGTATGGTTTTCAGTAAATGTGGAAACATTTTGATCATTATTTCTTTAAGCATGTTTCTCTGTTTCCCACCGCCCCCCAAACTTGAATTTACAGATAGATTAGGCTACTAGAAGTTGTCCCATAGATTACTGATGTACTTTTCATTTCCTTATCTTTAAAAAAAAAAGTCTGTTTCATATTGGATAGCTTCTATTGGTTTGTCTTTAAGTTCACTAACTTTTTTTTCTTTCGTGATGTCTAATCTGTCATTAATCCCATCAGTGGGTTTTTCATCTGAGACATTGTAGTTTTCAACTCTAGAAGTTCAATTTGGATCTTAAAAAATTTTATTTTTTAATCCATTCCATGTCTCTATGTAACTTAATCTTTCCTCTAGCTTCTTGGACACAGGGATATTTCACAAGTGTTTTATCTGCTGTCTATTCCTTTTATCATCACTGCCATTCCTGGATCTTTTTCTATTGATTGATGCTTTGTTGTAGGTTGTGTTTTTCTGCTTCTTTGCATGCCTGCTTTTTTTCACTGGAAATCTAACATTGTGAATTTCACCTTACAAAGTGCTGGACATTTTTATGTTCATATAAATATTCTTGAGCTTTGTTCTAGGATGCAGAGAAGTTACTCAGAACAGGTGGGCCCTGTGGAGGCTTACTTTTAACCTTTCTTAGTTGGGATCAAAGCAGCCTTTAATCCAGGCATTTTCCCCTAGCGCTGAGATAATACCCATCAGATTACTCTACCTGATGACCTGTGAATTTCTACCTTAACTGGTGAGATCAAGGACTATTCCTGGATCTTGGTGAGCTCCAGATAAACTTTCCTTTGCTTTTACCATTGGGTCTTTCCCTGAACTTGGGGAAGTCTCCTCACATGCATGTACTGATCAAGCCTCAGCCACAATCTCAAGGGTACCCTCCAGAGACAACTAGAGCTCTCCTTCTGGGGCACTGCCTTACAAACTTCATCTGCCCGTGTCTCCGTGGGGCTCCATTCAGGGCGCCTGCAGGCTCTGCCTGGCTCCTCAGATGATGAACTGGGACAGAGAGCTCACCTTGTTTTGCCTTATTATAGGATAATTGTCCTTCATTCCTGTGTCTAAAAATCATTTCTTAACATGCATTTCTTACTTATTTGATGCAGAAGAGTAAATCCTGCACTGCACTTTTATTCTATCTTAGTGAGAAGTAGAGGTTTGTAATCACTTTCAAAGTGAAATCACACTTTGTCCTTCTAACAATCCCACTCAGAGATCAATAGTGTGCTTGGCCACCCTTCCACAGCCAAGAGAGAATAATCATGCAGTGCTTCAGAATACTGTATTCCCCTGCGTTCAGAGAAAAACAGAGACAGCCCAGTAACAACAACAACAAAAATAGCTTGTTTTAATTTAAAGTAGAACAAAATGAGTATTTTTTCCTTTGTGTTTAAGTCAGGTCGATTGTAGATAAATTAAAGGGCTTTGATATCATCAGCAAAGCATTCTTACCAGCTCAGGAACAAATGCAAGTGTTCTTGGAAAAGGTTTGTGGGTGTATTTAGGGCGTCCTTGTTATTTTCCCTCGCTTTGAATGAAAAAAGAAACTTATTTATTTTTATAGTAATGTTTCCTCAAAGTGATTGTGTAGCAACCATAGAACATAACACTCTGTGTTACAAAGTAGAAACAAATAGAGCTTTGTACTTAGTACAGGTCATGATATCCAAACTACAAAAGTCTTTTTAACAGGGTGAGGATCTGAGTGAGAGGTTCCTGTTTCCTGACTTGTTATTTTGAAGTGTGATTGATACTGTGCTCTTCACCAGAGAAAAGTCAGAAACTAAGGAAACTGTTAGCAACAAAAAAACTAAACTAAAAGTCATTTTGGTTGATTTAACTCCAAGGCGTCAGTTTCTTAGAGTGCCAAACCCAAACCCTGGCTGCCATCTTTGCCGCTATAAACGTTCACTCCATTTTAGGGGAGCGTGTTTGCGCCATGTAGGGTGGAACGGGGAGCGTGCGCTGGGTGAGAGCCATAGCAGTCTCTCCGTGATGCTTCTGCACCAGCTGGGGCTGGAGCGCTTTGCCCACTGGCAGCTTCCAGCCGTGTGCCTCGGTTTCCTCTGGCATCGGGGTGGGTGTGAGCTGTGTTGGCCCTTGCAGAGTGGAGAGCAGTCCATGCAGGTGCAGCCAGCTTGGACAGGTGCGTGATGGGAGGACAAGCCCACATCCATCTGGACGAGGAAGTGCTACGAGGTCAGGCTGGGTCAAACCTTGGTCTCCTTGCCACTGATAAACCACCATGCATGGTCCCTGGACTCTTGACGCCTGTGGTGTCTCTGGGCTCCCAGCGTTTTCTCCCCACAATCTCACAAGTGGTTTTTCACTTCCTTCTTGTAAACTTTCAGATCACGTCCCACCTATGCACTGGTCTTGCTACAAACACTTACCAAATAGTAGAGGGGAGTGTGCACTCCTCTAACAAGAGCTGCGTTGGATGGGCCCATCCACAGAAAGCCGGGAGGGATGCCCGGGTGTGCAGTTTCCACATGGGGAAGTCATTGGAAGGCTTCTAGCATGTTCCATGCCATTTGTTTTGTCTCCTCATCCTTACTTCTTGTTCCTTTTTTTGTTTCCTCCTCTCCTTTCTTCTCCCAGCTCTGCCTTATGTCTTTGGGGATCCTTCACTCCCTTGATGGCCTAGAACTGGGCAGAAAGAAAAGTTTGCCTCTGTCCTCCTCTTTCCTCTCACTCACTCCAATCCCTTATCCGCAGAGAGCCTGCTGGAGTCCAGGGAAGTCCGTTTCTGCTGGGGACATCCCAGCCTCCGCCTTCTGGGTCCGGGCAGTGCCCCTGGATACTGACTTCTCCCTCCCTGTTGTGTCCCACCTCGCGCTGAATCGTCCAGGACCTGTTTTGCTATTTTGTCTGGGGACTTAAGGCTGTTCATGGGCTTTAATCAATGCAAGGAAGTAAAATTCCTGCCAAGCTGCCCTTAAGGTCATCTGGGGGAGACCCCGCCATGTAACATGATCCTCCCGCCTCCTTCCAGCCCCAGCTTCATTATATGTAAAGCTAGGCTTCTGCTGACTCTCAGATCAGACCGTCCTGGCTTTGTGTGCCTTTGTAAGGCTGTGGTTACACCTGAGGATCTCGGCTGCCCTCCTCTTAGCTGTCAGACGTAGTTGATGGTGCTTGGGTCTTGGCTGCACCTCACCTTCCTGGCTCTGAAAATGAGTCACTAACCACCTCGATTCCTCGTGTTGGAATCCCTGGCGTGCTATTTTCCGTGGGAGGCTTTTACTTTTAGAACCTGGGCAGCCCTGGGCTCCTCGTCCTGCCCAGGGCGGTGCTGGCTCGTTTTTCAGACCGTGGTACAAACAGGCCTTGTTGATCTTGTGCCTTTTGTAGGCAGGTATGAGGTAAAGCCCTGGTGGATATATAACCTGACTTTAGTTTGGCTACTGCTTTCTTTGACCGGCTTTTACCCGTGTGTGTTTTCAACTTTTGCAAAACAGTCCCCGTGCCCAGAGTCCCAGTGGCACTGCTACACTTGGAAAATAAGCAACTAAACACATGATGCCCATTCCTAGGACATCCTCAGATTTAAAGGAACCATAAGAACCTCGGGCTGGGCTGGAACTGCTGATAAGCAGTGGTGACAGCTGAGCGGTGCAGGTACCTAGGGCTTGGTCCCGGTAGGTGACTCACAGAGCTGTCCTCCCTGTGGGCTCTGCCCTCTCGGGTGACCAGGGACAGGGAACGTTAGGGGATCTTAAGCCAGGCCCTTGGGCTTTCTGACAGCAGATCTTATTAGAAGGTCTGGGGGGAAATGAGGAGCATGAGAATGGTTTTCCTGCTCTAGCCCCGCATCCATCATCTCCCCAACACGTCCCCACTGTGGGTCACTGGGAGTGATCAGGAAGTGATGTGGAAACCCTCAGCAAGGGTTCTAGTTGCTAGGTGATGAGCCTAATGTGTAAGACTAGGTTCCACTATGGACGTTCCGTCATTTTTTTTTTTTTTGTAATGACCTTCTTCCCGTTTGGATGGTTCACCATGCATGTCCCAGATTTTCTGGAAGTGCTTGTAGCTCTCCAGCTTGGGCGACTTGGAACCTGTGACTACCAGGGCAGGCCACTTCTTCATGGGTGACCCAGGCAGCAGCGGTCCAAGGTGGAACTGAAAATGAAGGTTGTGGGAAACAGGACTAGGTGTCTCCAGTCCCTTCCTCACCTGTCATGTGTTTTAGGATCTTCCCGTGCTTAAGTTACAGTATGTTGCTGGAGACGAGAGATTAAATGCAGGAGTGGGGTTGTCTTCCTGCCTTCCCAGCCCGTCTGTGGGGAACAGCACTGTTCTCAGGCACGTAGTACATATATGGAACCATGAGTGAGTTTGAGATTTTCTCAAGAAGAAAAGGAAAATGAATAAAAACGAAGGGTTTAAAGCAGAAATTGAATAATGTATTACTTTGAAGATAGGCTTTACAAAAAGAATATCATTCTTGAATAAAGTAAATTTGCCCTGTTTATTCTTAAAAGCTCACAGCAAATTTTTGATGAAGCAGATGGATTTCTTAAATTAAGGTTTGATACTCCATTTGATTTTTTCCTTCTCTGTGATTTTAAAATAAAATTTATTCCTTAGAGAAAATCAGAGTAAAATGCATGTTCTCCATTCCTCCACCATGCAGTAAGCCGTGTCTGAAGGTTTGGGGAGTGCATGCCTGGGTCATGTCTCACCCCGCCCGACGTATGCTCCTCTCTCCCATCTCATGGGCTCTTCATGTGACATCCTGCAGGGCCCACCCCACCCCACACTCAGTTGGGCTCTTTCTGGTGGTGGCTTCATCCCATCTGCGGCCACTGGGGAGCCCTGACCCACAGTGTAGACTCTTCCATCCTTCAGGAAGCATCTGCAGGGCTCAGGTTTCAGGGACACAAGAGGGACATTCTCACTTAAGCATCATGTCCCCTCTCCCAACCCTGTGGCCCCTCTTCCATTAGACCCTTACTGCCTGTACCTGGCTTCTCCACATGCCCCACCTTCATCTCGTGGCCACGCAGTGAGAGCATCACACCCTCCCAACTACGTCCAGTCTTCCCTCAAAGCCTGGGGAACCTTGCTCTAGTGTTAATGCCTGTCCACCTTCCCCACCCTCTAATCCTAAACTCAAATCCCACCTCACTCAAGGAGCTGCTCCAGGTTCCCTCAAAGAATGTATGGCATTTGGCATAAAGTTGGTATACTGGCACAAAGATAATATAGATCCAGGTCAGCCACCCAATGGGGGAAAAGAGTGGGGTAAAAATACCTGAGTTGGGAATCAGTAGTTACTTATAAAACTGTTCTCAGCCAGGCACTGTGGCTCACGCTTGTAATCCCAGAACTTGGGGAGTCCGAGGCGGGTGGATCACCTGAGGTTGGGAGTTCGAGACCATCCTGACCAACATGGAGAAACCCCATCTCTAGGAAAAATACAAAATTAGCCAGGCGTGGTGGCGCATGCCTGTAATCCCAGCTGCTCCGGAGGCTGAGGAAGCAGAATAGCTTGAACCCAGGAGGCGGAGATTGCAGTGAGCCGAGATTGTGCCATTGCACTCCAGTCTGGGAAACAAGAGCAAAACTCTTATCTCAAAAAACAAAACAAAACTGTTCTCACACCTGCAAAATGAGGTAAACTGGAGCATGTTTCTATGAGAGCTGTTGTGACTTGTGTTGAGGTAATCCTTCCTTGCTCTTCCTCATGTGACCATTAATTTATGGCCAGCTGCTTAATCTAAAATTCCCTGCAGGATAGTAAACCCATGATGAGACCTTGACAAAAGACAAATGCAACAATGAGAACAAGCCTTAGACCCAGAAAATAACCTTGAGGAACAGGGAAGATTCATGGCAATGCTGTTTTCATATTGCAAAATTAAGGACGTTTATTACGTCCAGCATGAAAACAAAGAGTTAAATCTCGAGGTGTGTTCTATCAGCCAGTGATACGTGTGTCACTTTTGAAAAGTAAATATGACAGATTTAACTTTAAATATTCTTTCATGATTGCTTATTGTTTTTTTTTTCCTACTGGTATGTTCTACTGTGGTCTTCCTCAAAGAAATCGTTCAATTGACCTTCACCTCCACTACAAAACAGCTGCAGAATTCATAAGGAAGTTATTTCAGAGCCCCGGTTGTCACCAATACATGTTGGGTTTTTTTTTTCTTTTTCTTTTTTTTGGCCGGGGGGATGGAGTTTCACTCTTGTCACCCAGGCTGGAGTGCGGTGGTGCCATCTCAGCTCACTGCAACCTCTGCCTCCCAGATTCAAGCAATTCTCCTGCCTCAGACTCCCGAGTAGCTGGGATTACAGGTGTGCACCACCATGCCCAGCTAATTTTGTATTTTTCATAGAGGCGGGGTTTCACCATGTTGGCCAGGCTGGTCTCGAACTCTTGACCTCAGGTGATCTGCCCGCCTTGGCCTCCCAAAGTGCTGGGATTACAGGTGTGAGCCACCACACCCAGCCCCATGTGTTTTTCTTTTAAAAATATTTGGTGAATGACAACTTCATTTAAAATTGTTATTTCACAGGGAGTGTTCAGCTGTCGTCACAAGAACTTTCAAAGCCTTCATTCATTGAGCTAGCGAAGCTCACTTTAATATATCTTGAGGCCCCTGTGGCTGGACACAGAGGCAGATGGCCTGAAGCCAGCCCCTAGCCGCAGAAGGGTGGGCAGGAAGGCCCCTGGGCTGGTGGGGGGCCACCCTGCTGGCTGCCCCACCTGCCTGGGGTGGGGTGCTCAGGACAGGGTCGAGCAGCCAGTGGTGCTCCAGGTAGGAGAGTGGATGACATTGGAGCAGATGCTTGAAAAACGTAAGGATGCCACCAGGGGAGAAAAGAGTGAAGGATGTTTTCCTCATCTCACAGCCATCACAGCCATTCCTTAAAAGCCATGAACTTCTCACTCCTTGCGCTTGTGCTCTGTTATTGCTCCTCCAAAGCTGCTCTTTCCAGCCCGGTGGATGCCCCTCCGTTTGATGGAAACACACGTGTGAGTGGAAGCGTAAGCTGAGGTCACAATGGTGTGATCTCCACATACTAGAGAAAAATACATTCCCTTCAGTTTCTGGAGAAAGGGAAGGAGTTATAGTTTGAAGTAAGTCAACATTTATGGTGGAGAGGAAGAGAAGTAAATGTACAGCTGACTTTTGAAAATGCTTAAGGGTGTTAACCTTTAACTCCCTGCACAGCCGAAAACCTGTGTTTGACTTTTGAGTCCCTGAAACTTAACTGCTGATAGCTTACTGTTGACCGGAAGCATTACCAATCACATAAACAGTCGATTAACTCATATTTTGTACGTTAGATGCATTATATACTGTGTTATTACAGTAAAGTAAGCTAGAGAAAAGAACATGTTATTAAGAAAATCTTGGCTGGGTGCGGTGGCTCACACCTGTAATCCCAGCACTTTGGGAGGCTGAGGCGGGCGGATCACGAGGT
The DNA here is from genome assembly GCF_000001405.40 of Homo sapiens. Taxonomy (NCBI): domain Eukaryota; kingdom Metazoa; phylum Chordata; class Mammalia; order Primates; family Hominidae; genus Homo; species Homo sapiens. The sequence goes on along the minus strand of NC_000015.10, from coordinate 25,806,542 downwards.
CAGGAGATCGAGACCATCCTGGCTAACACCGTGAAACCCCGTCTCTACTAAAAATACAAAAAATTAGCTGGGCGTGGTGGCAGGCGCCTATAGTCCCAGGTATTCGGGAGGCTGAGGCAGGAGAATGGCGTGAACCTGGGAGGCAGAGCTTGCAGTGAGCAGAGATCGTGCCACTGCACTCCAGCCTGGGCGACAGAGCAAGACTCCATCTCAAAGAAAAGAAAAGAAAATCTTAAGGCAGAGGAAATACATTTACTATGCATTAAGTGGAAGTGGATCATCATACAGATCTTCATTCTCGTCATCTTGATGTTGAGCGTGCTGAGGAGGAAGTGGAGGGCATCTTGCTGCCTCAGGGTGGCAGAGAGGTGGAGGAGGTGGAAGGGGAGGCAGGAGAGCCAGGCACACTTGGTGTAACTTTTGTTAGAAAAAAACCACATGTATATGGACCTGTGTAATTGTGGCTGTTTCATGTAGTACGTGGAATGAATGAAAAAATCACTTGTTTGATGCATGACCAAAAGGATATTTAATTTTCTGCATTAGAAAATAAAAAGTGCTAAAAATTTGGCAGTTTTCTGTTTCTTCTCAAGGTTGTAAGGGGCTGCTTATAATCATTAAGGTAAATGGCTTGGGAAAACTATTCCAAATAAATGGCAGATGTGCCTGCCATCTTTGATTTCAAAATACATTTTCCTTTAGTCTCTGTTTGGGAATTGTGGGAATTACAGGTTTACTTTTTCTTTTCTTTTTTTAAAGTAAAGGCAAGACCTTGTTTTCACAAAGCCAATTATAAAGTGTTTGGCATTCCCTAGACTTAATTTTGGGGGAAAAAAATAGCACAGCCTTTGTGTTTCACATATGGATTCAGCATTTCTTCATGTTCTTCCCATGTAAGACAGACACACCCCTCCAATCTGAGGGCCCAGGAAGTGCCAGAGAGGAATGAGACCTGCGTTTGTTTGGCTGAAGACTGTGACTTTTATCTGAGACCTACTTAGATTTTAGTGCATTCAGTTCCCCATCAAAATATATAAGTAGCCAATTCATTTCTGTTCTCACTCAGAGATAGCACAAAAATAAGGACGCGTGTAAAGTGTGCTGCAGTGAGTGGGTACATACATTGCTAAGTGCTGCCATTGAAAAAATTCATTGTGGCAAAGGACCTTTTTTCAACAATGAAGGCAGCATCTCTTTTCCTGGATCGAGACCCGTAGGCACAGTGAAGGAACTTGGAATTGTGTGGCTGGTGGCGTGGCTCCAGTCCCTTGGAGGGACCGGCTGCCACAGACCAGCGTGGGCTCCTGGCACACAGTGAGTCACCCGGATCCAGCCAGTCATTCAAAAACAAACTTGAGAAGGATCACTGGGTGCAGCTTCTCTACACGTGGCAGACAGGGGTCCCATAGGCTGCCGGGGCCCCGTGTGTGGATGCTGGACTGGCTTCTCCTGGAAGAATGCCCGTGTGATGGCCCGTCCGCTCACCATGGCTGCCACAGGTCCCATTCTGGCAATGCGCCTTTTATTTCAAAAGAATTTTTCCTTTTCCTCCACACCCGCCTTTCTGTTTTCCAAACGAAGAGCCTCCACCTACCCAGGCTTTATTATAATTTAAGTAAATCTAAAATGCCAATGTTTAAAATTTCTCACATTTCTATCATATTTTATTTTTTACTTCTAAAAGAACTTTCATATCAATTTTTTCAACTATTCAACAAACACTTATTTGAAATATGTTAAATATTCAGCAAAGGCCTACTTTGTGCTGGAAGAATTCTCATTCGATTCTTAAAGACTGTGCTGAGAGGTGACTGGCCTACTGTCGTTACCGCATTTCACAGATGAGACGCCTTGGGTTCAGCTCACAGGAGTGAGATGCTTTTCCAGGCACCTGTGTGGAGTGGGTGGCCGGGTGGACCTGGACCTGGACCTGGCCACCTGTTTAAGGCCTCAGCTCTTTCCACTCTACTCCACTGCCTGTCATTTGTCCTTTCCGTGTTTAGCCATATGTGCTCATTCATGCATGTACACACACGTCACACACACACAGACACACACCACACACATACATACACCACACACACACCATGCACACAGACACACACACCACACATACACACGCAGATGCACACACACCCCTACCCGCATATGCACTCACACACACCATGCTATGTACTCACAAACACAGCGTCACATCATAAACACCTCATATCACACACTAAGCACAATTAGACACACACGAACACTCACACACCACACACTCACATCCATAACCACACACACACCATGCACATAGACACACACATCACACATATAGACACACACACAGATGCACACACATACCAAGCTACATACAAACACAGCCTCACATCACAAACACCTCACATCACACACTAAGCACAATTACACCTCACACACACACCGCACACTCACAGGCATGCACCACACACACACACACACACACACCATGCACGTAGACACACCACACATATGGACACACACACAGATGCACACACACACCATGCTGCATACTGACAAACACAGCCTCACATCACAAACACCTCACATCACACACTAAGCACAATTACACACACACACTCATGTGAATACCTCACACACATGTGTCTTGGGGTGAAGCAATACACAGGCAGACCAGCAGCAGCACGTGCGTGCCAGGAGAGGTGATGGGAGTCTGTGCCTGGGAGGGCAGCAGCGGCTCCCGGTTACACTCAGAGAAGCCGAGGCCCACGGAGGTTTGCGAGTTGTCCATCATGGTAAAGACTGGGTGTCATTCTCAGATTTTCTGAATCCACTGTTCAGTTCCACAGGCCCTGCCGGAGTGCCCACTGTGGGCTGTCCCGGAAGTGCAAGCAGGATGACCACAGGCCTTGGATCCTGGGGAATGTATACGTGTGTAGAACAAGTGTTAGTGATGGATACTTGGGAGTAGGACAGGACTGGCCCACTTGAGGCTGCATCTGGGGATGAAGCTGCCCCTGGTTCATACGGATTCACACAGACAGAGCAACTTGGGCTCCTCATTTCAGTTCTGTCACTTTGCAAAGCTCTTGGTAGAGGGCGAGTTGTCCTAGCCATTCAGTCCTTGTACCTGAGAAGCAGGAGAGAAAATGTCCCAGCACCCAGGGGACATGTGACATGGGCAGTGCCCACCCTGTGCCCCACTGTATCCTTAGCACCTGGTGTGTGCTCAGCAGAACCAACAGATGTTTCCTGAATGAACGCATGAATGCATGAATGGAGGAGCCCAGTGGGCGAAGCATCATTCAGGTATTGGAGGGGACGGTGTGGCGGAAGTGCCCGAGACAGGGAAGGAGGCACCAGCACAGACCAGTGTCACTGGCCAGCTGTCTGCTTATTACCCGTCTCCCTCCTCGCAGGTGCCGAGATTGCTACATCCCGGGGTGAGATGTGGCTGTGTCCTCGTGACCCGGATTTGCCAGGAATTATCTCACCTCACAAAGACTCAGCCCTTGGCCATAAGAGCACCTGGAGGAAACTAGGTTCTAGGCAAAACCCCTAAAACAGCAGCCCTACTGGTGTTGGCCACACCCTCATATGTAAAATGCAGTTTCACCTAAATTCTGTTCATGATTTGTTTTAGGCAGATTAATGACCCCCACAGATGTGTACATCCGAATCCTCGGAACTGATGGATGTTTTAGGTTGTAGGGCAAAGGGGAAGTCAGGAGCTTCTCAGTGACCTCGAGATAGATTCTCCTGGATCATCTGGGTGGGCCCAGTGTAATCACAAGGTCCTTAAGGTGGAAGAAAGTGTCAGATGAGGGAACCAGAGTGCCGGTGGCCCAGTGCGCAAGACTTGCCACCATTGCTGGCTTTCAAGACAGAGAAGGCGGCCGGCCGTGAGCTGAGGCATGCAGGTAGCCTGCAGAAACCAGGAGAGGCAGGGAAGCATACTCTCCGCTGAGACTCCAGGAAGGAGCGTGGCCCTGCCGACACCTTAGCTGAGTGGGCCCTGTGTTGGAATTCTGACCTACAGAACGATAACATCATAAACGTGTGTGGTTTTCAGCCACTAGGTTTGTGGTGACCTGTTACTGCAGCCCCAGGAAGCGAGTTCATGGGCCTAGTGGTCGGAACACAACACGCAAGGTCTGGGTAGCCCCAGCCTACAACAGGGAGGCTCACGGGCCTGAGAGAACCTGCTGGACGTTTATCAACAAAAAGCCTGCAGTGGGAGGTGCTGAGGAACATGGTCCTCAAGGTTTGCAAGGACTGAAGCTGGGTGCCACAGCCTCGGGCTGAGATTCCGACGTTGAGAACAGCTCGGTCTGTGCTGCGGCGCAGGCACACGCACGTGTTTCCACGGTGCACTCTGCCCAATTTCTGTTCTGTTCTAAGAAGAAAAGCGTCCAGACGGAGAGTTCCCAAATAGAGTTTTGGCCCAAAAGCAACATTTTACCGAGTCAACACAGGAAAATTATTTTAAAAGGCTCTTGGGAGAACAAAGATGGCTTTGTATTTGGTGCTGAAACCCAAGTAGGCCACATGCCCTTGTCCTGCAGATCTCGTGTTCTCCGCGTTAACATAAAGGAGTTGATGAGATCCTCGGCTCTGGAACACAGGGAGGTGTGGAGCCTTCTGTAGGGTGCAGGTGGCCAGCTGTTCACCGCCTGGATCTGTTATCCATGTAACGAGTCAGCAACTGGGGAGGTTTAGGGACATGGGGCTTTTGTATGCTGTCAGATACATCCATTGGGGTTCAGAGACTGGCACGGGGGCCTTCCAGCAGGTGGGCTGTGATGCCATTCCTGCCCAGCAGTGCTGAGCAAAGCCAGAGCAGGCCAGGCAAGTCAGAGACACATCAGCGTCACGGGGCTTGAGAAAGCTGGAAAGTGTGTTTTTCCTGAAGCGAAGCTGTCCCACACCGGATTAAACCACTGTAACATGCTTAGCAAATTGAAGTCTCAGCGTAGTGGCCATTGGCTGCCCAAGAGTTGACCAGGAGTGAGCATCGCACCTGCCCCCAGGACTCTCGTCCGCCCTCATTCTCAGTGCTCTGCCTGACGCAGGATGCTAAGCGCTGCATGCACCTTAACATAGTCCCCCTGACTACCACCTGCCACACAGGCATTGCCAGTGTTATCCCCACATTGCAGATGGGGATGCTGAGGCTCAGAGCCGTGATTGGCTGTGAACTCTTAAGTGCTGGTGCAGTGTAACCCTGGGGGTCTGGCTCCCACCCCTCGCTCCTCTTCTCTGCTGGTCCACCTCATGCCCCGAACCCAAGTGCAGTGGAAGGGCCCCTGGACACCTGCATCAGCTCTCCCTGGGCCTCGAGGTGATGCTGGCTGAGTGGCCTTGGGCATTTGGAGCACATGTCCTCAAATTCCAGCATGCACAGGACAGCCTGTGGGTTAATACACATGGGGGCATAGACCCCACAACCAGCCTTGGGATACCCCTTGTGCACCTAACTGCTCTCCTCTGCAGAGGAGAGGCTGTCACCCCAAAGGTCTTTCTCTTTTAGTTTTGTAAAAGGAAAACATATTTTCCCTTCATCTGGAGCAGACTTACCAAACCCCATGACAGTGAGCCAGGAGCAGCGTCAGCATCTAGTACAGCGGGTTCATCAAACACCAGGAAGATGTGACAGAGACAGGCTTGACTTCTATGGGAACTCGGTTCCTGATGTCGTTGTAATATTGGTAATAAAGTTAAACCAAAAAATAATAGATGAAATGAAGTCAGAAAGACATGGTTAAAATAGTTACTGTGAGCACCAGCTTTTGAAATTAGGGTAGGTGGGAAGCCTCAGGGGCCCCCAGAGTGGGGGCTGAACAGACCTTTCCACACAAAGCTAAGCTGAGTTTGCATGAACATCTTCAAGTGTTCGTGTTTCCTCCTGGTGCTTGTACCTCCGTAAACTCACTTTGCCCCATTTGAAATTGCCGTGTCAGAATGTAGCTTCTTCCGGGAAGGTGCACGGTGGAACAGTGCCAGGGAGCAGCAGCGCCCAGCAGGCACGCGTGGAGTGAAGGAGCGTGGTCAGCTCCCAGCTGCAACCGCTGGGTCACAAGGGGAGGGCAGGTGAGAACTCAGGCAGGAGAGGAGAGGCACTTGGGAGGCAGAAATCTGTGCTGTGTCCCCTGGGGAGGCAGGAGCAGGGGACAGGCGGATATCAGAGAAGGAAGGAAATGGTTCTTGGGGTGTTCAGTTGGTGTGGGGTGGGCCAAGGAGAGCAAGGGAAGCGGCTTATCTTGTCCAGGACATAGAAAACTCACTGAAGCCCTACGGGAACCTGCAGCCAAAGAAAACTCAGCAATGCCGATTCTGTCTTTATTTTAAATGTCAATGTTTCTTCCTCAGGGATATTTGTTCACTCCTTTTGTTTTGTAAAAGATATTGCATTAAAATAGCGTTCATCCTGATCCCTGAGCTGTTGCGTGCACCCTTGCGTTTTGCACTTGATGTGAGCTCCTCTCCTGCCTCACCCTGGCCCCCAGGCGAGTTTGGTGTCTAATGACAAGGTTCTTTGTCGCTTTTCCTCCTTCTTTAGAATTCCTGAGACTGAGAAGGAGTTGGAGGTATCCATCAATAATTCCTATTAGTGAAGAATTGTTTCCACTCTGTTGGGTTTTCTGGGTTTGTTGTTGTTGTTGGCCAGGAAGAGATACATTGTATTCCAGAACTTTTACCTAATTTATAAATGTACCAGTTGATAAATACTTCATTATAAATTGATGTGTTTGGACTGGATTCCCTCACAGTGATGCCCTGAAGCTATATGTACTTTGGGTTTGTTGAATTTTACTTCTATTTATTTATTTTGAGACAGGGTCCTGCTCTGTCACTTAGGCTGGGGTGCAGTGACGTGATCACAGCTCACTGCAGCCGCGACCTCCTGGGCTCAAGCGATCCTCCACCTCAGCCTCCCGAGTAGCTGGGACCACAGGCGTGCACTTCCATGCCTGTCTTGAATTTTATTTCTTTGTGGAACATGCCAATGAATGTTATTTAGTTTAACTTTGTTTTTTTGTCTGTTTGTTTTGTTTTTATTCTTAGTGAGGAATTTTGCTGAACACCATTTTGGTTCATCTCTGAGTTTAGGGTGCTTGGGCCGGGCTGCCCACCCCTGAGTTTGTAGTGCCAGCCTTTAGAGGCTGTAAATTCCCAGAAGCTACATTTGAGCACCCAACACATCAGCGCTCAGGAGCAAGAAATGTGAGGCCGGGAGAGACGAGCTCCCAAATCCGACCTGCGTTTGGACATAACGGGGGTTTTTATGAGGAAGGCAGGGATGTGAGAGGGGAGAGCCCAGGATGAAAGCTGCTCACCTTTCTGGGCCAGTCAAACCAGACACCATCAGGGAAGTCTGTGTGACCGAAGGATCATTGTTTTTTGAAAGAAAAACAAGTTCCGTAACCATTCGGATGGCCCCCGAGTTAGGATGTGAAGTCATCGATGACTAGTGATGCCCCTGTACCAAAATAACTGCGGGCAAGCAGGCATGGGAAGAGGAAGGAAAGGCACAGAGAAAGGGAGGGGCCAAACAGGCACCTTATGGTTTGTTTTTTAAAGTCACATAGCCTCCGTTACATGAGGACGGGGGAGTTTGTTTCTTCTATAGGGGACACAGAGTAAACCACTCAAGCCAGTCGGGGGCCTCCGAGTGGGATCCCTGTACCGGGCTGGTGGATGCGGGAGGCGCACGGTGCCCTCCCGAGGAGGAGTGAAGGGACACGGGCACAGCTGTCAGGCAGCTCCAACAGAATCACAGAATCGGTTTTGCCCCACGGTCTGCAGTTTGTTCTCCCTCTCAGTGTCTGAGGATTGCCCAGTTCACTCAGCCGTGGAGACCTGGGCGCTGTTTCACCAGATGGGAGTCCGGCACAGTGCCCGCAGGAAAAGAGCGTGCCTTCTCTGTGGACTTGAATCTTTGCTGCCTTGTGCCGCCCTGGCCATTTGGTTGGACATCCACGTAGAGGCTGCAGTAGGCTGTCTAAGCCCCCAGGAGCTATTGCAGGGTCATTTAATTACACACAACATCTGTCACCCAGATGAATCTGGGCTTCGGCCCCCTTATCTATGACAAATGGACTTGCGTGGGTGTCTGCTGAGGCTTTAGGATTCCCGCCTGAGCCCTCCTGGTGGCTATGGGACTTCAGACTGCCTGGGGCAGGGGGAGGGCTGGACAGGCACTGGTTTCCCCCACGCCTCCCAGCACTGGCTTGGGGAAGGTGCGGCCTGTATGTAGAATTCAGACCTTATAGCATGAAGCGCACACTGCACCAGGTGCCTCCAGAGTGTTGATTCGCCTCCAGGAGACTTGTTTGGAGTTTTGATATTGTTGCTTTGGGGTCCATCTCACCTGCCAGGGCAGGGCTCTCATTGCTGAGACTGCCTATGTCAGTGAAGCTGAGGAGCTCCTTAACTCCAGTGATGGGAGTAGCTGGCTGAATGCAACCCAGGGCCTCCCTCCCTCTTCCAGTTAACTAGGCCGGATTCCAGATTTGTGACCCTGACGAATTTTGCAAGGGTTATATTTTTAAGAAGCTTAAAATGAAGTCTATAACAACACAGAAGTCTTACATTTAACTCTCTCCTTGGACAACTTCTTATTGTGCTCTCTGGGTAACACACTTTCAGTTTAATCCCTGTAGATGTCCCTGGAGGATATGACATAGACGAGGAGCCAGCCCAGGGTGAGATCGGGTAGCATGGCTGTGCTGGCACGTGGAGGGTAAAGGCAGAGCTGAAGGTCTCTCTCCCCACCCTCACCCCCCAGGGCGGCAGTCTCCTGGTGATGTGCCTGCCCCAAAAGAGTGGCAGCCAGAGGAGTCCCAGCTCTGACCTTGGTGACAGAGAAGGATCTGCGTGCTGTGGAGCTGGGCTGCCCTTCTTGGATGGCTGTCCCCCGAGGAGGGGCCCAAGGATCCACTGAGCCCCCTCCAGACCTGCAGCACTGGCACCTGGAGCCCAGAGCGTGTCATGTCTCCGTATGTAGAGAGTCTGTAATTTCTAAGAGAAAACCTAGCACAAAATGGAAAAGTGTGGCAGAAAGTCAGGAAGAATTGAGTTCAAGGGAGCACAGAACCTCTGAAAGGGTGGGGTGGGGGCAGGGGCCAGGGGCCAGGGCAGCCACCATGGCACTGGCCTCAGGGGACTCTCTCTGAGGGGGCTAGCCTGTCCTCAAGCCACTGAGGAGTCCTTATTCACAAAGACATGTACTTTGTGAATTCTTTTCTGAAAAAATTACATTTCCAACTTACTAGAACTTGCAACAGCACAGATGAACCTGGAGAACATTATGTTCAGTGAAATAAGCCAGCCACACAGAGACAAACACTGCATGATCTCCCGTACGCGTGGAACCTAAAAATGTTGAATTCATAGAAGCAGAGTAGAATGGGGGTTACCAGAGGTTGGAAGGGACTTGGGGGGATTTTGGTCAAAGGATACAAAGTTTCCCTTAGACAGGAGGAGTCGTTTTAGGATCTGTTGTACAGCACAGTGACCATAGTTAATAGCAATGTGTATTTCAAAATTGCTAACAAGTAGATTTTAAATGTTCTCATCAGAAAAAAAGATCGGTATGTGAGATGTTAATGGTTTGATTTAACCATACCACAGTGTATACATGTATCAAAACATGACATTGTGCCTCATACTATATACAATTATTATTTGGCAATTAAAATTTAAATTTTTTAAACATCTCCAAAGCTACGGAAGGAGGAAGGCCTCTACAAGGCCAGCTCAAATTACGGCTGTCACCACCTTCTGTCAAGTGTCACATTGTCCTGTGGCCTAGTTGACCCATCCCAGAGGGATATCCGGCAGGTTCCAGGCAGGTAGCACCTGCCCAGGACACATGTGGCTCTGACGATGTCTGCCTCACCTGTGGAGGGTCCATGACTATGGGAGAAGGTCCCCCAGTGTGGGTGGGAAGAAGCCACGTTGTGAGGTGGGCTAGCAGCTCCCCGATGACTCATGAGTACCACGTTTGTGCATGAACGGAGGCTTCTTTTCCAACTCCAGCTGCTCGGGCATTGCTGCATGCATGCACACAGGCCATAATTAGACCATGGCAGTGTGCATTAAAGAGGCCAGTGCCACACTCATATTTATAAGCTCTGAAACAAACTACTTTTTTTTTGAGACAGGGTCTCGCTCTTTTGTTCAGGCTGAAGTGTAGTGGTGCTATTGTGGCTCACTGCAGCCTCAACCTCCTGGGCTGAAGCAATCCTCCTGCCTCAGCCTCCCAAGTAGCTGGGACCACAGGGGTACACCACCACACCTGGCTAATTTTGTTTCTGTTTTTTATAGAGCTCAGGCTAGTCTCGAACTCCTCCCACCGTGGCCTCCCAAAGTGCTGGGATTACAGATGTGAACCACCACGCCTAGCCCTGAAACAAACTATTTTCACATGTTGTCCCTGTTCGTTTTGTGTTGCTATAAAGGAATATTTGAGGCTGGATAATTTACAAAGAAAAGAGATTTATTTGGCTCACGGTTCTGCAGGCTGTACAGGAAGCATGGCACCAGCATCTGCATCTGGTGAGAGCCTCAGCTGCTTCCTCTCATAGGGGAAGGGAGAGGCGAGCAGAATCACAGGGGTGAGGAGGGGGGTGCCAGGCTCTTTTTAACAACCAGCTCTCACAGGAACTAATAGAGCCAGAACTCTCGCACATCCCCTACACCCCCAGGGCAATCATCTATCCATGTGGGATCCACCCCCACGACCCAGACACCTCCCATGAGGCCCCACCTCTAACGCTGGGGATCGGTCTTCAGCAGAGGTCTGGAGGGGACAAACATCCACACTATAGCACATGTCAAAATTTTCCCAGTGTGTATTATTACACAGGACTGCAGAGTGAAGGAATAAAATGATATCTAAAGAAATACTTCCAGACAGATGTCTTAGTGCTAGTACCTGTCTGGCACACTTTGGGAAAGCAAGTACCCCTACTAGTAAGCATAAGTGTCATAACATATGACTAAAACCAAAATCAGAGCTCATTCTGTGGCATTAGGTTGTTATTCCCTTCATCAGAAATCCAAAAATGTTAAAACAGTTCTTGTTCCTATTTACAATAGGAAAGGTATTCAATCTCAAATCATTGGGCAGAGTGTAGGGAAGAGGCTGTCACTCTCTCTTCTCAGCAGGTGGCAGGGAAAGCCCAAGGTCGCCATTCATTAGATGTTAAACATCGGACTGGAGGTGCCAAGTTGGCGCAGGCCCTCCCTCCGTGGGCCTGTGTCTTAGTCACGTGGACGGTGGTGTCCTGTGGGCTGGGCTGTGTGGCTGTGGGCTGTGTGGCTGAGAAGGTGGGGATGCCCTGGCTGATTCAGTCCCTCAGAAGGGGGCGCTGCTCATTGTTGTATGCTTGCGCGGTCACATAAGATACCTGGGATATAGCCAGTTGTAACCTACACAATTTTCCCAAAGAAAAAACAATTGTTTTTCCTAAATAAAGATAGGAGAGAACCACTGTGATTTAGCAATGCCCATTTCTCAGCACTTCCTATCTCCCAAATACTCTAAAATTGGGAGGTATGAGCCAGTTGAGTTTTGGGCCTTCCTTAGAGCTGCTGTTCCGACCTCCAGCTGTGAGTCTTTGGACGTTGACTCAACCCCCTCTTCATCCTGATAATGGGAATGGCACACCTTCCAGGGACACTGCCAAGACTGACTGGTGACAATGACCCTGCAATGGCCTTTGTGGAATCCACGTGTGTGGCCTCCAGAGAAGATGACCATCTGCATGGCCCTTCTCACTGTATTTTACCCAAGGAGGAAAACTCAGTTTGTAGTTAGTTCTGCGTTTCAGCCTTGTTATCCATTCTCGGAATATTACCGGGTAAAGTCAGTTTCGCGAGGGCACTGCTGCTGTTGATGCTTGACTGGGAAAATTGACGTCGGCTTCCAAGCCGGGATTCACAAAGGTGTCTTAGGTCACTGCACACTGTGCCCAGGGAAATCATGTCTCCATGGTATATTTTGATCCATGTGTTAAAGTCCCCTCTATTCCCAGGGCTGGATCTTCCAAGACGGGGCAGTGTTTGTTTGCTTAAGGTACTTTACTGATCATACTCTGTAGCCCATTACAATTTAGGGATATTTGCAGTAAATATGTTATGGAGAAATATTGTGATATTTTTTGGAGATATTTCCAGAGATTTTTTTTTTGCTTCTTATATTTATTTATTTATTAAAGAGGTTGCTTTGTGATTTTTAATTCTGCGTGGTAGGAGAAGCCAGCCTCTGGGCAGGGTGATGTTAGTAAGGGACTGATCGGAGGGTGAGTGCTTTCAGTAAGTTGTTGCAAGAGAAGCCTCAGGGAAAGGCACATCTGAGGGCTTTGACCCAGGCTGCCACCTTCACATGAGTGAGAAAATCAATCTGCCTGTCTGGCTTTTAATCCCCTCATAATGAAAAATGAGAGAGAGGGACCTTATAATCAGTGAAGCCTTTTCATCTTCAGAATTCTGATTTAGAGGAATCAGGGGACTCTGGGGAAATGGTGTCCTGGACAAAACCCTTCTCTCCCTCCCATACACATCCTGAATGAGGTAGCTGCTGTATCCCTGGGCATCTGGGGCAGGACTTGGGTTCCCTGGGTCCCTAGACAGCACTGGTGGGGCATCGGAGAACCCTGGGGTGAGTCCCACAGAGCAGAGCATCTTGGAGGAAACTTGGGCTTGCAGAGGTCTGGGGGCCTCCAGTGGAAAAGAGGTCAACTGTGCATGCAAAGGCGACTGGATGCCCTGGTTCCCCAGGCTGATTTTCCCTTGCTTCTGAGGGAGGATTGGGGGAAGTTATGTGCCCACAACTCTTGGGAGGCCACTTCACCTTTTCTAAGAAAGGGATCTGCCATCACTTTAGAAAGCTGACCCAAGCATGCTATGCTAACCAAAATAGTAACCACTCATCCGCAGGGTCCTGGCTGCCAGGGAGCGGAAGAGGGTTTGGACAAACAGAACTCACACCCAGCGAAGTGGAGCTGCTGGGGAAGACCTGTGGCCACTTACAGAGAACTACTTATAATCACTCAGGGAGCACAATGAGCACTTAGAAGGGGAAGTGGGGAAGGTGGTCTACAAAAATAGGAACAAAAACTGCACAGTACTCAGAAACTTAACAAGAGGCTTAGGAGCTTTATGAAGAAAGTGGCGATATCTTTTTAAAGGGTGTAAGTGTGCATGAGGCACTGCAGCATCTCCCAGGGCCCTGGGTGGGATGGGAAGAGCAGGTATGATTGCAGTGCTCATTCTCCCAAGAGCTGCATGCATTTCTATCTGGAGGCTTCTCTTGGAATTGAATAAAATGGCCTTAACATTTATGATGCCTCCAAATGAGCCAAGACAGTCTTAAAAATAAGATTGAGGCCAGGTGCAGTGGCTCATGCCTGTAATCCCAGCACTTTGGGAGGCCGAGGTGGGTGGATCACCTGAGGTCGGGAGTTCGAGACCAGCCTGACCAACATGGAGAAACCCTGTCTCTACTAAAAATACAAAAATTAGCTGGGCATGGTGGCGCATGCCTGTAGTCCCAGCTACTCGGGAGGCTGAGGCAGGAGAATTGCTTGAACCTGGGAGGTGGAGGTTGCGGTGAGTCAGGATCGCACCACTGCACTCCAGCCTGGGGAACGAGAGCAAAACTCCATCTCAAAAAAAAAAAAAAGATTGAAAAGGAGCAACTTTTTGTAACAGATATTGGAACTGGGGCTGCAGGTGAAGTTGTGCAGGTAAAGATGGTCTCAGCGATGAGAGCCCTGCCCTGGCAGGGGAGATGGAACTCAAAGCAACAAAATTGACATTCCAAACAAGTCTCCTGGAGGTGAATTAACACTCTGGAGGTGCCTGGTGCAGTGCGTGCTTCGTGCTCTAAGATCTGAATTCTAAACGCGGGCCTCACCCTCACCAGGCCAGTGCTTGGGGGGTTGGGGTTGGACATCCACATAGAGGCTGCAGTAGGCCATCTAACCCCCGGGAGCATTTGCAGGGTCATTTAAATACATGCAACATCTGTCACCCACGTGGGTCTGGGGTTGGCCCCCTTTTCTATGACAAATGACCTGCATGGGTGTTTGTTGAGGCTTTGGGGCATCCCGCCTAAGCCCTCCTGGTGGCTATGGGACCTCAGACTGGCTGGGGCAGGGGGAGGGCTGGTGGCCACTGTCTTTGCAGAGAGCAGAGCAGGACCTCCCCAGTGTGCTGGCCCAGGGCCCTGTCTCTGGGCTCCACCCTGAGCAGGTACCTTTGCATGAAGACTCCTCTCAGCGCTGAAGCTAATGGTGGCACTGATCCAACATACTGTACTACCATGCCATGTGGGGTTGACATGAGAAAGGACAAGTAGATTAATGGAACCTAATAAGCCCAAATCAAATGATATTATCTGTAACAGAGTGGGTATGTAGGTTCAGTGGGAAAAGAACTAGTTAGCAATATTGACACAATTGGCTGTCTGGAAGAAGCAGCATTGGATGCTCAGGTCGTAACAGAGGAAAATGAACATCAGTTGGTTTGACCATTTAAATGTTTGTTTTAAAAAAAAAATACTCTGCACTCCTCCCACAAAAAACAAACAAGCAATACTTGGAAACAACATGTATAATACAGGGACATAGGTGACTGTCTTAGCCAGGCCTGGAGAAGTCAGATATATTTACCTATATAAACATCTGAAAGGATTATATAACAAAATTATGCTACAACTAGAAATGTTAAAACCGACAAACCATGGCTCTTAGAGAAAAATATTTCCAAAGCAAAAGACAGAAAAGGGGTTAATATTTTCAATATGAATGCTCTCACAGGTTTCGTGGTCAAGAAGAGAGGAAAGAATACAATAGAAAAAGTGAGGGAGGCCAGGCACGGTGGCTCACACCTGTAATCACAGTGCTTTGGGAGACTGAGGCGGGAGAATTGCTGGAGCCCAGGAGTTTGAGACCACCCTGGGCAACATAGCAAGACTCCGTCTCTACAACCAAGTTAAAAAACTGTTGGGCAGGTGGTGCATGTTAGCTACTCCCAGCTACTCCAGAGGCCAAGGTGGGAAGATTGCTTGAGCCCAGGAGGTCGAGGCTGCAGTGAGCTGTGATTGTGCCACTGCAGTAAGCTAGATTGTGCCACTGCACTCCAGCACGGGCAGCAGAGTGAAACCCTGACTCTAACTAAATAAATCAGAAGAAGAAGAAAAAAAGAAAGATTGAAGGGGAAACATGCAGAGTTAATTCACAGAGGAGCCTGCCAAGTGGTCTGGGTGGCAGGGAGATGCACATTAAAAGAAAAGTAGATGTCCTGCCCTAGCCAAGTGTGGTGGGGCACGCCTGTAATCCCAGCTACTGGGGAGGCTGAGGCAGGAGAATTGCTGAACCCAGAAGCCGGAGGTTGCAGTGAGTCGAGATCGTGCCACTGCACTCCAGCCTGGGCGACAGAGCAAGGGTCTTGAAAAAAAAAAAAAAAAACACTTGCAGGGAGGTTTTAAAAAGACGAAGCAGCTGGTTTTGCAGAAAAAAGGGCCTGGAGACTCTTAGATACTGACGGAGGAGTGTGAATTGTTACAGCCTCTTAGGAAAAAATATTTACAATGCAAAACTTCTCCGTAGGAATAAGGAGCGCACAACTCCGGCCCATTTCCTGGGATTGTCATACCAATGAATGAATTAATGCATAAGAAATTACCTTGAAAACTCTAGAAGTGCCCCGGAGTGTTTTACATCCATTACTAGTGGGCAGTATTATTGAGATGTCTTGAGGTCTACTAAGATACTTTGAGAATGTACCATTATATGCAGAAAAGGCCACAGTAGAAATGATTTGTCAGAAAAAAAGTTTCATGTTAAAACTTACTAAGAGGTTTGTAAGTGATACTGTGTTTAGGCATCGTTTTGCTTTCGCAAACTAGTGTTTCCTGGGGAAAATAGATTTAATCTGGGTGTTCAGTGTTGCATTGTAGTGAGTAATTATGTGATGTGAGCATAGCATGGTGTGTCACTTTCTCTGGGCTGAGAGACTCTGCATCCTTTCTTCATTCTAAAAAGAGGCCAGAGGCCCTGCCCTCTGGGGGTGAGTTCCGCTGGGACAACATTCAGCCCTTTCTGACTTACCACAGAGCGACCAGTATTTTCCATTCAGCTTGACTCATTTGAGCAGTCTGCTCCATGCACACATGTGCTTCCACACATCTGGGACATTTCTTAGAGCTCACATCACCTCGAGGAGACATACAGAATAGAAAGTAGTTCAGAAAATACATTTTGTGCATCTAGTCTACACTACTGTATTTTTGGCAATTTTGGTATCAGAAGATTCACTCCAGAAAAAGCACTCCAACTATCATTTCTCACTGCCTCTCACTTTTAGTATTAGATTCAGAATCCATTAGCATGTCTCACTGAAGGAGCAGATGTTTCAGTTTATGGTGGAAGGAAGACACATTCTGGGCGTTATGCAACATACTTGGCTCACGTTCCCACTGCGGATTTTGCCATTGCTGTTTCAGTGCTGAGTTCTCACCTTCATGATTTTAAAAATACATTGGTTCTGTAAACATTTACTTAATAATCCATTTTCCAGAATCTTTGTCCTGGGTGTTTTAAAGCAGCATTTCTCAACCGGGAGCGATTTTGCACCCCCAGGAGGCATTTGACAATGTTTGGAGCTGTTTTAGGTTGTAACAACTTGTAGGGAGGGAGCCCTACTGGCATCTATAGGAGGAGGCTGGGGATGGTGCTCAGCAAAGTGCAGAGCCCAGAGCTGTCCACCATCAAGGATATCCAGCCCCAAATCTCAACAGCGCTGATGGCGGAGAAACCTTTGAAAGCTATTGTTGCTGGCATTCTGGGCTTTCTACTTCTCTGCCTGATGTATAATGAGTGTATATGAAATCTGCGATAATTTTAGAGTCTTGTTTGGTCTTTTTTAAGTGATGTAAAATTATTTTCTCTCTGTCTCTGTCACACACACACACACACACACACACACTTCTTTATTGGTCCACCATATGAAAAATAAATTCCAAGAAGGGTTTTCTTATTCCCAAGGCATCGGCCTTGGCACTAATGATTATTCCACAAGATTCTTGGATCTCTTGTGGTGATCCTCCCATTTAGGGCTCGCCTCACTGTGTCCTGGTTTCACATTTGCTGTTTGTTTAAAGTGTTACACACTTCTCCTGTTAGTTGGCCAAAGGAGTCCCCCAGGCTGACCTCACTTGGGAGGCCTCAATCTAGTTGGTCTGCATGTTAGGTTCATTAACATGTCTTCTTTTTTCTTAAAAAATGTATTCTGGCCAGGCATGGGGGCTCACTCTTGTAATCCCAGCACTTTGGGAGGCTGAGTCAGGTGGATATTTGAGCCCAGGAGTTCGAGACCAGTCTGGGCAACATGGTGAAACCCCATCTCTACAAAAAATAAAAAACAAATTAGCTGGGTGTGGTGGTGCACACCTGTCGTCCCAGCTACTTGGTAGGCTGAGGAGGGAGGATCCCTTCAGCCCTGGGAGTTGGAGGCTGCAGTGAGCTATCATCACAGCCCTGTACTGCAGCCTGAATGACAGATCAAGACCCTGTCTCAAAAACAAACATCCCCGCAAAATAACACATTACCTGTTTCATCTATAAGGCACAAAGCATCCGGATTTTTCTAGGTTTAGTCGAATGTAACACAGATTTAATTGGAGCTTTCTCTTTGTAGGGATTAATTGTTCTCTTCCAATGAAATAATACAGAATGATACTAAACACATAATCATATTTTATATACCACCGCACCTCAAGCAGTACTGTCTGTGTTCTCCATTTCATGGAAATCCTGTAAGCAATCTTACCATCTTTCTAATAAAAAAATCAAAGTAACAGCTCTTGTTTTAATTCCAAACCACAAATCAAAGACAAGATATAACACGCTGCTCATTTGTACTATTTCTGATTGTGTTAGTCAAAATCAGACACTCACTTCAACAATAATAGTGAGGAAAAACCATGCTCAAAAAGAAAACAGGAGATGTGAAGTCAAAATAGTGGCCACGGCCTCTCACTTAATTGAACAGTCACTGTTGACAGTCTGGTGACAGCCAGAAGAGCGTGAAGCGGGTGGGACGGGAGCAGAGGGCTACGGGGAAATGGGTCAGTGTCTGCTGGGGGAGACTGTAGCGATCCTACAGACCCCCGTTCTGCAGATCAGGAACTCGGGCACTCAGAGTCCAGGCTTCTGGGCTGGCGCCCTGTCTTACTGGGGATGAGTCATCAATGCACTTGAGACTGTGTGTGCACCGTGGCTTTGTGACCCTAAATGAAAGTAGTGGCCAGATGTGAAGCACCCTCGTTAATTATTGATCATTCCAAAGCCAGCTGTTTAGTGCTGCTCCTACATGTTTCCTGCAGGAGGGATTTTGTGAGGAAGGGTGTGGCGGCTTTGTGCAGAAGGAACTTGTCAGGTGGCCAGGCTGGGGCCCCTCAAGTGTCAGGTGTGCCCTGCCCACGTTGGGAGCACCTCTCAAAGCCACCAAATCAGCCTGATTAAAGCCAGGGGAATAAACAGCTACCCTGCCCTAGCGGGAACTCTCTCAGTGGCTTGTTTAGCCCAGAGGGAAGTCCCCAAGGTGATCCTGGGGGAGGGCAGTGTCCTTCTATGGCCACACCTCAGATGGTCCCAACTGCAGGTGGTACCAGTGAGGGAGGAGTTCATCCCTCATCTATGCAGGCCGATGTAGGGGGCACTTCCCAGTTTGTAGCAAAAAAAACACAGTTTGGTGACTCCTGATCTTGGACAAGCCCCCTCCAGTTGTTTGCACATTGGAAGTGGTTTTGGCAAATGGACTGAACTGTGTTACTCCATGTCTGTGTCAAACACTGGCACAAATCTGGAACTGTCTGCCTTTCCTCCCACCTTTTTCTTTTCTTTTTCTTTTTCTTTCTTCTTTTTTTTTTTTTTTTTTTAAGAAGGAGTCCTGCCCTGTCATCCAGGCTGGACTGCAGTGGCGCAATCAGGGCTTACTGCCACCTCAACTTTCCCAGGCTCAAGTCATTCTCCCACCTCAGCTTTCTGAGTAGCTCGGACCAAGGTGTGCCAGCACACCTGGCTCATTCTTGTATTTTTTGGAGAGATGGGGTCTCACTATGTTGCCCAGGCTGGTCTTGAACTCCTGGGTTCAAATGATCCTCCTACTTCAGCCTCCCAAAGTGCTGGGATTACAGATGTGAGTCACCATGCCTGGCCTCCACCGTTTCTCAAGCTTAGTGATATTTTATCTCAGACCACATTAGTCTCTGCACTGCATAATTTTAAAGGGAAAAATGGAAGAACTTTTTTGCTTAGCACTTTATAGTCTTCATGAGATATTCCTCCTTTAGGCTACCAGATCAGATGTGCTTTCAAAACCAAATCTCTCTAAGGCTTCCCAGACCCTGGAGTCACCCAGGTTTGTGTGACTTTTGGGAGGTCAGTCTCTGCGCGTTTGGTTTCCATGTCTGTAAGTGGGAACATACTGTCAGGATCGTGGGAGGGTTCACTGAGAGAGACTGTGAAATGTTCTGTGCAGGCCTGGGTCATAATAGGATATCCAGCACAGCTTTGCTGATTTTTTAATGTTGTTATTACAATTAAGATGATAATGGGCCAGGCACGGTGGCTCACACCTGTAATCCCAGCACTTTGGGAGGCCGAGACGGGCAGATCATGAGGTCAGGAGATTGAGACCATCCTGGCTAACACGGTGAAACCCCGTCTCTACTAAAAATACAAAAAAAAAAAAAAAACTAGCTGGGCATGGTGGTGGGCGCCTGTAGTCCCAGCTACTCGGAAGGCTGAGGCAGGAGAATGGAGTGAACCCAGGAGGCGGAGCTTGCAGTGAGCCGAGATCACGCCACTGCACTCCAGCCTGAGGGATGGAGCGAGACTCCGCCTCAAAAAAAAAAAAAAAAAAAAAAAAAAGATGATAATGATGTCTCAATGCTGAGAGGAATTTAGCGTCTAGAGCTCCTGCTGGTGTGGCCTAAAGACCTGTCCCAAGCTCTTAGTCGTCCATGGCCTTTGTAGGGGAGGTCCACTTCTGAAGAACAGTTCTGTCGTTCAAAAGACTACATGGTCTTGCTACAGCTGGGCATGAAATGTGCTTGAGTGATGCGCAAGAGGACTGTCTGCCTTCATGGATGTGCCACTGGAAGTTACTGTCTCCAAAAATGGAGTAAAACTGCGGTGGTGACGGGCACACATTCGAGATGTCCTTCCAGCCGTGTTCACTCGGCCGTGGGAGGTGAAGGCCGAGGTGTGGAGGCAGACCTGTGGCTGCTGGCTGGGGTGGCAGGCACCCAGGAACCCTGTGTCCTCCGGGCCCTGTGTGGTCAGCCCTGGCCCACCCTGATGCCGTGTGCTGGCGTGGCACCTCTCTGCCCCCAGCCACAACGCCAGCTTCCCCGCCTGGGCACGACCTTGCCTGCATGGCCTGTGCTCAGCCCTCAGCTCTCCTTCTCCCCACACTTCTCCCTGGTGCTCTCAGTGATGACATCCACAGTGGGGGCTGCTGTCACCTCTGTGCTTAAGACCCCCAAATATTTCTGTCTCCATCTGCCTGTCTTCAAAGCTGGAGACACCTCCGGAGACCGGACCCCGCACAGCCCCACCAGCTTCTTGAACTCAAAGTTGGTCACTGTTGGACTCTGTCCCTTCTCCAAGCAGACCCTGCCCCTGGGCGAGGTGGGTGGTGCCCCCATTCCAGCCACCAGGGCCAGAGAACTGGATGCCCATTCAACGATGTCCTCTTCAGCAGCACAGCCAGACTTCCCCAGCCAGCCGTTCTTCCTGTCTCTAGAGGTCCGTGCTGATAAAAGCCTCAAGAAGGGCGTGGTTGAGTGGCTGGTATTAAGAGTGTTGTGCCAGTGGGCTCGATTTCTGTCTTGGGGGTATGTAGAACCTGTGCATGGGGATAAATTGCAGGGTGAGATGCCTCTCCTGCCACTCACTGCTTCTGCCTGCCCTTCAGTTTCTGTCACTACAGCCTGTGAGCTGCTCCTTCCAGCCAGAGTCACGAGAATGGACGTTATTAAGTGTATTCGTCAGCTCAGGCTGCCGTGGCAGTGGACCACAGATGGGGTGACTTCAACAGCAGGAATGTATCACCTCGCAGTTCTGGAGCCTGGAAGTCAGACACCGAGGTGTGGGCAGGATGGGTCCTCCTGAGGCCCCTCCCCTCGCCATGTTCTCCCTGTCCTTACAGCTGTGTGCGCACGCCTCTGCTGCCTTTCTCTTATAAGGACCCCAGCCACATTGCATTTGGGCCTAGCCTTATGGCCTCATTCTAACTTTAATCCTCTTTAGAGCCTCTCTCTCCAAATAGTCTCTCGGGGGACACAGTTCAGGGGACATTAGGAAAGGCTGTTAGGGAAATGCAGCCAGTGGTGACATGGCAGGGTTGATGTGGGCCCAGGCTCCTTGCCGGGTGCTCCAGCTGGAGTGGTTGCAGGATTTGGACCCCTGAGGCATCTCTTGCCTTTTTGGTCTGCTGCAGTAAGGAGGGGCCTGTCCCGCTGTTCCTTCATAAGGGGCTCCTGAATCTGAGTCTTCCAGGGTCTGTCCCTGGTAGGGATTCCCATGGACTGCAGGGCCTTTTCTTTTTCTTTTTTTTTTTTTTGACACGGGGTCTCGCTCCGTCACCCAGGCTGGAGTGCAGTGGCGCGATCTCGGCTCACTGCAGCCTCCACCTCCCGGGTTCAAGCGATTCTCCTGCCTCAGCCTCCTGAATAGCTGGGATTACAGGCACGTGCCACCACACCTGGCTAATTTTTGTATTTTTAGTGAGATGGGGTTTCTTCATGTTGGTCAGGCTGGTCTCAAACTCCTGACCTTGTGATCCGCCCGTCTTGGCCTCCCAAAGTGCTGGGATTACAGGCGTGAGCCACTGCACCTGGCCAGGGCCTTTTCTTAGAAGCCAGCGTCCTTTCTGCAGCCCATGAGGAACCCCTTCCCCCACTCCCACAAACCAGGACAGTGACCTGAGGTCTGCACGTGGCACCCCCATCTCTCCATGTGTGGAGGGTCCTCAGGGGGGAATCTCCTTCAGAGCCCAGATGCCTCCCCTGAAGTTTCTATTTTAAAAGCCTCCTGGATGGGGCAGGCAAGCTATTGTTTTATGATTACAAAGCAGATGGAAACTGACTTTATTTTGGATGAGAGTTATACATGGAATGTAGTTAACATAAACTGAACAGAGACAGTGCCTTGCGGTGTCTCTCCTCCTCCGCCCAGGGTGAGGCCCAGGACTGCCCGGTCTCCTGGGGACCCCATCGCAACAAAGCCTGCCCCGCCGATGCTTGGGCATAGGCTGCCTTCCTCTGAGAGCAAACTGTGACTGAGCATTGGGAAACTTTCTTCCAAAGGGACAGGCCCTTTCAAATGGCTTCGTGTCCTCTGCAGGAGCCCAGCAGACGCTCATGAGAAGGAAGAAGGACAAAAAAGCTTGTAATGACATGAAGTCAAGGCTTGACCTTTGGAAAAGGAAGTAGGCACATGGCTAGATATGTCAGTGTCTCAGTCATCATAGCTTCCTGTCTGTGCTCAGAAGGGGTCCGACTGGCCTTCGTAAGCTGGACGGCCTGGGGATGGGGGCCACTGCCATGCCTCCTCTCAGACCTCGGGCTGGGGCCTGAGGAACGAGCCTCTGCATGGCCAGAGGACCCCATGGTTCCCTGGACTGACCATGCTGGGACCACATGGCCTGCAGGTGACCGAGCTTGTCACAGCAGGAGAAGCAGCTCTGAGGAATGCTTGGGTAAGCTCAGGAAGAACAACTTTGGGAACACTTTCAGGGGCTTGACTCCACAGTCCCCAAAGGGCGCTCTCTAGCGGTGATAGCTTGCCTTGCATTTGTTTTCGAGGTCAGAACCGCATCATCTAATGTATCTTTGTTCCCAACGTAGTGCCCCAGAGCTATGCTTTGTACATAACTGGTTTGGTGGATCTTGAATTAGAGGATTTAAAAAAAGTAGAGGCTTAAAATGGCAGGGGACACTCCTCTCTTCAGCATCTAGGGCAGCCGATGGTTTCCTAGGAGCCTCTGGAACTTTGCCAGGGGGGGGTCCCTCAAATCCACACAGGGGAATTAAATAGAAGAGAGAAAATTGGCGTGTGGCTTCCTAGCTCTGCAAACTCTCCATACTTCTCATCCAATGCTCAGGGAGCTGATAGATGTGGCCCACACAGTCCACCTCCAGATACAAACCAAACTCCTTGCTCTCTTGGAACTCGGGTGAGAGTAGAGTTTTATGGGGGGTGTAGGATGGGAGGATTAGTAAGATGGTTATGGTAAACATGAAATGTGTTTTAGTGCTTTTTACTCTTTTACAGTATCACCCAGAGGACAGATTTTTTGTTTCTTTGTTTTTGAGATAGGGCCTCTGTCACCCAGGCTGGAGTGCAGTGGTGCCATCACGGCTCACTGCAGCCTTGATCTCCTGGGCTTAAGTGAGGCTCTTGCCTCAGCCTGTCAAGTAGCTGGGACTACAGGCTCGTGCCACCATGCCCAACTAATTTTTTTTTTAATTTTTTTTTAGAGATGGGGGTCTCACTATGTTGTCTAGGCTGGTCTGAAACTCCCAGCCTCAAGCAATCCTGCTGCCTCAGCTTCCCAAAGTGCTGGGATTACAGGTGTGAGCCATGGCACCCGGCAACCCAGAGGATTTCTCAATGAGATTTCCTCTCCAAGGTATGTTTCCAAGGTGTAACATACCTTGTTCAGATAAATTTATGTTCCTCCACTTATTTAAAAATGGCCAAAACCGCCTTCAAGGAACTCTTACAAATGACCTTTGTGACATTAGTTAGCCTGTTATTCCAGGAAAAAGAATTAAAGAAGAAATCTAAAAATTATGTTTTAATCTAAATATCTGTTGATAGTGACTCGTAGGTTCTGCAGGCTGACTGTATTGGGTGTTGTTCTAAGCAGGTGGCTTGGAATGTGTCCCTGGGAGGTAAGGGGGCCTTCCAACTGCCAAGTATCTCCCTTACCTGCTGCACTTTAAGTCCCATTTGGCTTAACGTGGCTTAACGTGTTTTAATTATTTTTTATTACGATGAAACATGCAAAATATAATATTTAATATTTTAACCATTTTACATTTTTTAAATTATAAAATGCACATAAAATCTGCCATTTCAACTATTTTTAAGTGTACCATTCAGTGACATTAGTGATACTTACGGTGTGGTACAATCATCACTACTACGTATTTCCAAAACTTTTCCATCACCCCAAACAGCAGCTCTGTGTCTATAAAATGGTAACTCTCCATTCTGCCTCTCTCAGCCACTGATGGTGCCTAATCCACTTTCTGTCTCTGAATTTTCCCCCACTGGGCACCTTATATTAAGTGGAACCGGCAAGAGTTGTCCTTTTGTGAATGGCTCATTTTACTTGGCACAATGTCTTCAGTATTATAGCACTTCTCTTCATGACTGGATAATACTCCATTTTGTTTATTATTCACCTGTTCATGGATACATGGATTATCCTACCTCCTAGCAATTCTGAGTGATGCTGCTGTGAACATTGGCTTGCTATACCTGTTCCAGTCACTGCTTTCAGCTCTTCTGAGTGTAGACCTAGGAATGGTCATTTTAACCATTTTGGAGTGAAAAATTCAAGTGCATTCAGTGTTGTGCAACTGTCACTAATTCCAGAATATTCATATCTTCCTAGAAAGAAGCCTCTTGCCGTTAAGCTGTGACTGGTACTCCCTTTTCCCCCAGCCCTTGGCAGCCACAAATCCACTTTCTGTCTCTATGCATTTGCTTGTTCAATGGAGTCATACAATATGTGGCCTTTATGAATACTCTTTTCTTCTTTTACTTTGAGTGAGCTTCAGTGGTATGAATATTCTTTTTTTTTTCCTTCTTTTTTTTTGAGACGGAATATCACTCTATAGCCCAGGCTGGAGTGCAGTAGTGTGATTTCAGCTCACTACAACCTCTGCCTCCCAGGTTCAAGTGATTCTCCTGCCTCAGCCTCCCAAGTAGCTGGGACTACAGGCACGCACCACCGCACCCGGCTAATTTTTGTATTTTTAGTAGAGACAGAGTTTCACCGTGTTGGTCAGGCTGGTCTCAAACTCCTGACCTCATAATCTGCCCGCCTCGGTCTCTCAAAGTGCTGGGATTACAGGCGTGAGCCACCACACCCGGCCAAATATTCTTTTTAAAACACCTGTTTATTATCAAAATTTTCAGCCTATGCAAATGTAGAAAGAATTGCCATATGAGCCCCACGTGCCCATCACCCAGATCCAGCCACGACCAATGTCTCGTGAGTTTTGTTAATCAAAATCTGTTTTCTAGGGAAGAAAAGAAATACGTGAACCGATTCTGGAAAGAAATCCACGTGGGAGACTTTGTGCGTCTTCGCTGCAACGAAATCTTCCCTGCGGACATTCTGCTGCTCTCCTCCAGTGACCCCGACGGGCTATGCCACATCGAGACCGCCAACCTGGATGGAGAGACCAACCTGAAGCGGCGGCAGGTGGTCCGCGGCTTCTCGGAGCTTGTAAGTGACCCACGTTTCCAGGGCCTTGCAGGCATTACAGCCACACAGTGTCCCCATGACAGCCTTCTGGGGCTCAGAGCACCTGCATTTTCCTGTCTGTCAGACCAGGCTGTTTTTCCTAGTAGACGAGTCTGAGGGTCTGAGAGGACCCCTGACCTACCTGAGCCCATGACCCGCCTGTGACTGTGGGAAGCAGGATTCAGTTTCTCTGACTCTGATTTCTTTTGTGCATGTCTAAGTTTCGCAGAATGTTATTTGTTCCTGTAAAGTTACAAGGAACATTTATGAGCAGCTGATGGTCAACACGTACCTAGCTGTTTCACTGGTTTACTAAATGGCAACGCAGCAGGAGTCATGGCCTGTTCCCACCAGGATGCTCAGGAACATTTTCTCCTCAAGGGTGTTTGGGTTCAGCGCGAGGTCTTCGTAGCTGAATCCTGCCTCTGGTGTGCCCTGGCCACCGTGCAGCAGGGTGAGGGGTGAGAGGCTGGAGGGAAGCACGTGTGACAGCTGCACACACCGACTCCATTGGGCTGCCCAACATCTGTCCCTGCTCCAGGGAGAAAGGGCCCCACCCGCCAGGTCTGTGCCGGGAGTGTGAGGTGCTAATGCCAGGTGAACTGACAGGGGCAGGAGCCCTCAGAGATCAGGAAGACCCTACAAGGAAATGGGCCTGGCCCGAGCCTTCTCCTCCCAAGCCTCCTTCTCCCAGCCCTGCTCTGGCCTAGACAGCAAGTCTGAGTCGGCCTGCCCTGAAGGGTGGGGAAGCCGGCCTCTGGTTCACAGGGAGGATGCCACTGGGCTTTTCCTCCTCTATCAGACAGTGCCCTCCCCCATCGGCCTCGGCACCAGCCCATCGGGCTTCCCTGGGGCAGTGGGCTCTGCTGTCTGTGGACCTCAGCGAGGGCACTGTAGGGAGTGGGGCGGTGAGCGATTGGCTGGGCAGGGTTGTGGGGGGCTCTAGCATCCCTGTCTCCGCTCTAGATGCCCCCGGTCACCGTCACAGGGGGAGATGCCTGACACACTTGCAGCAGGCCAGGTACTCCGCACCTCGCCCGCCCGGCCTGCCTGCGGCAGGCGTCTGCCTGACTGTTCCAACCGGGCTGATTTCCGCCATGATTTCCTCATTTACTCTGTGTGTGTGTGTGTGTGTGTGTGTGTGTGTGTGTGTGTTTTAACCTTCTTTTATGCCAAGTGTATTTTTGTGAGCTGCCTCAAATCTTTTTGGAATAAGGCAAAGCAGACATAAAAATTAAAAATAGTATTTTTTGTTGTTGTTAATGGAGTGCTCTCATTTAGATCAGGAGAGCTGGTGAAAGAGTTAGGGGCCCCTCGAGGCACAGCCTGGCGGCGCCCAGCTTCTCCATGACTGTGCTCCAGGGTTTGGTGATAGGTGTGGGCCCCATCCGATGCCACCCCCTCGCCCCAGGCCCTCGTGCCCACCCCCCACCCCCGGCTCTCTTCAGGAAGTCAGGGGCGTGAGCCCGTCTCACTCTCAGCTTCTCCCCTAGGCCTGGCCCCGTCTCCTCTGCAGGGATGTGAACTAACACTGACATCAGCCAGGGACAGCATCCCCTCTCAGTTCCCGGGGTCTCAGCTAGAGTTAGGGGCAGGCAGAGGGCTGATAGCTCGAATGTCACCTCTGAGAGGAGCAGCCTGTGCACACAGAGGGTGAGTGCCACTTAAACAAATGCAGATGAGTATCTACTGGTGAAACCTCAGACAAGGTGGAAAATACAGCAGAATTTAAGCACTGGAGGGTGGAGCATGCACACTTGGCATGGCAGGTAGGGGAACGCCGCAGATAGATCTCCTTGATCAACTCTCAAGAATAACTTCCTCTACTGGGCATGGTGGCGCATGCCTGTAATCCCAGCACTTTGGGAGGCCGAGGCGGGTGGATCACTTGAGGTCAGTAATTCGAGACCATCCTGGCCAACATGGTGAAACCCCATCTCTACTAAAAATACAAAAATTAGCTGGGCGTGGTGGCGCATGCCTGTAGTCTCAGCTACTCGGGAGGCTGAGGCAGGAGAATCGCTTGAACCCGGGAGGCAGAGGTTGTAGTGAGCCGAGATCACACCACTGCACTCCAGCCTGGGTGACAGAGCGAGACTCCATCTCAAAAAAAATAAAGAAGAACTTCCCCATTTCCTATCTTCTGATCTTCAACTTCTGAACCCAGTCGTATCTACAGTCCTCTCCCGCCCACTTTTTACCCAAACAATAACTGCAGCACTTCATAGCTCGGTGGTGCTTTATATAAATGAGCTGCTTACAAGTTAGATGTTTGAAACTCGAGGACGGCTGCAGACCAACACATCTACGTCACCCTTCTCAGGGCCCCAGGAATGCTGAGGAAGTAGCTTTGAGCCATGATCTGGTCAAAATGGCCAAACTAACAGCCTAAACAATTCTGAGGGTTTTTAAAAAATTGTTTTATTAGCACCAAAATTCTTTACCTGCATGCACATTCTGGTCCCAATTACCTTTTTCCCCCGACTTTCTGGGTTTTTTTTTTTCTCTTTCCCTAAAGGTCCAAAGACATTTTTTTGGTATCCAAATTCCCATTTATGCATTATATTCTGAAATCTATGAACCACCCCACTGAAAGTAAAGGAAGCAAGTCTCTTGACTTTTAAACCCCAGCAATTGAAAAACCACAAATGCCAAGAACATTTAAGTACTCTGTGTTTCAATTAGTTTTTTTGTAATACTGAGTTAGCTTGTCTCAGACAGGTTAAGAACTGGTAATAATCTGTACACTGACTTATGTGAAATACAATATAATATTTTACCAGTTTAATGAATGATCAGTTGGAAGTGGGAGCCCCTTTGCAAATCACTTAAATTAGAAGTGATTTGCAACGCTTAGGTTAAGGAGAAGAGCGGGCTGTGTCATTAATGCAGGAACTTAGGGTATCCAGCGGGGTCCAGTCAGGAGACAGAAACCACACATGATTCAATCAGAGAAAGTCTGATGTGAAGAATTCTTAGTTGGGGATTGGGTTATAAGAAGTAATGATATGTGAATTATATCTCAATAAAGCTGTTATCTTTAAAAAAATAAATAAAAAAGAAATAAAGAGGACCCTGAAGAATATAGGAGCCAGGAACAGTGGCTCACGCCCATAATCCCAGCACTTTGGGAGGCTGAGACAGGAGGATTGTTTGAGGCCAGGAATTCCAGACCAGCCTGGGCAACACAGAGAAACCCCATCTCAAAAAAAAAAAAAGAAAGAAAGAAAAAAAATTGCCAGATATCGTGGTGTGCAGCTGTGGTCCTAGCTGCTCAAGGGATTGAATGGGAAGGATGGTTTGAACCAGAAGTTTGAGGTTGTGGTGAGCTGTGATCATGCCACTGCACTCCAGCCTGGGGGACAGAGACCCTATCTCTGTCTCCAATATATATATATGGGAATAGCTGATGAAGGGACAGCCACTGCCCCTGGCTCTGAGACAGAGTTCTCCCACTCAGGGAAGAGTACCCTCCCAACCCCTGAACCATGGCAGGGGGCACAGCCTTAAATTTGGGGATGGCAGGAAAGGTACTTAGGGGCTGTACTGGTGGAACTTGCTAGAAGCCTTCCCTTGGGGACCGGGGAGGCTATTGCCAGGGAGGTGCCAAGCATAAGAACTTGCTAGATGCCAGGAGCAGTTGCTGGACGCTGCTGGAGCCAGGCCCTCGCTGCAGTGGATGAAGACTGGTGACAGCTCTCTAGACAGCAGCGCCGTGGAGCCCCACCTTTGAGAGGGTGCATGGAGCAGCAGCCTGGGCTTGAGAGGGCCCATGTTGCCTGCAGGAATATGTCCAGGGTACCCCGGACTGAGAGATGGGGAAAGTGTGGAGCAGGCCAAGCCCTGGAGAAACCTGGAGGGAGTGGGCAGTGCGGAACGGGTACACACACACACACACACACACGCACGTATGCACACACACGCATGCACACACACACACACCCCACCTAAAGACCAGCCATGGGACCAATACGTGGAGGACTCAGGCCTATTCACCAGTGATGCCCAGTATGGAGCAGTGAGATGAGTCCAGGGGGCTTTTGTTAGGGGTTTGGGGCCATGAGAGGTCAAGGGAGGTTCCAGAAAGAGGAGCTTGAAACTGACTCTGAAGGCCAGGATGGAGAGGTCTCAGGTGCCAGGCACTACAGGGAATGACGTCCGTCAGATGGTGCCCCAGAGGCGGAATAGGGTTGTATTTAATGAAGAGCATTTGAAAAAGTGCGCAGTGTTGAGGGGCTACAACAAAAACCGGAAGGCGGTGGGCATGGCCCACCCAGACCCCAGAATCTGAAGGCGAGGCCTAGACACCGGGCTGATGGCTCCGGGACCTTAAATCACCCAGCTATTTCACTTCTGGCAAAAGAAACAGAGATCTTGAGACGTAAAGATTTGATGTAAGAGTTGGAGTTGAATGGATGTTATCCAAGAATTGAGAGAGGCCCCCGTGTGGAGCATCACACTGTCAGGCAATGTCTCACATTTGTTCAGCCTCCTGCACGCCAGGCCTACTGTATCTCCCACAACTGTAGTAGAGCAAACATTTTTAAACACAATTTCACAGAATTTTAAGTATAAATCTTGTGAGATAATGATTATCACACCAATTTATAGATGAGAAACAGAAAAAGTGAAGTCAGGAGATTCTCCCAAGGTGCCTCCCCTCCCCCACCCCATCCGTCAGTGTGGATTCGGAGCGGGTTCCTCCACTTTGCGTGGGGTGTCTGCTGTCTCTCACCTGCACATTCGTGCAGCCCTGCCACGAAGGTGCATACGTTCAGATGTTCTGTGGGTAGCAGTTTCTAGTTCATTTGTAACATTTGTCATTTCTGCAGAACTAGGAGATCCCTAGACTGATAATTTTATATAAAACTCAGTGTTTTCAAAGACTCATTTTTGTAAGTTTTAATTCATTCAGCAGATACGTACTGAGCATTTATTATGTTTCTAACGCCATTCTAGGAGGTGCATTGATCAAAACTGGGGAACATCTTTCCTGCCATAGTGCTTACATGATCTATGTGAAAAGTTGGATAGACGGTTGAAGTCTTCGGTGCTAACTGTAGACGAGAAAGCAGAAACAGGGATATGAAATGTCAGATGAGTGTTGGAATTTCAGCCGGGGTGAGGCGGGGACAGGGCTGTCCTGCTTGAGAACAGCTGGAGAGTCCAGACCCAGAGGACACGTCAGTGTCGGGAAGAGCCGTCCCAGAGGTGACTTCTGTGTGGGTTAATTTACTGAGAAAATAGTTTCCAACAGTTTGTCTCTTGGGTGGACCTGTTTGGATGAGTGCCCACAATCCCAGCCACACCCACGTCCTCTGTGCAGCGCTGTGGGGAGTAGTCATTGTCAGGCTTGCAGGAAGATCTGCTGCTGACTCTTCCCAGGCGTGTGCACATGTGTGCACGTGTGTGTGTGCACAGTGGTGCGTGTTCCAAATAAGGAAGAAAGATAAAAGGAGTATGGAAACTTCCTAGGCTGGACAAACACTGCTCTTAAACACGTACCTTCACAGTCAGGTCAGCAGTGATGCCAAGGCGGAGACAGGGTTTCCCCTCTGTTTTGTGAATACACTGTGACCAGTCCCTGGGGGGCCTGGTGTATTCAGGCTCTGACTCAGCACGGTTTTCTTTACAAAGGAGAGTCAGTCCCACCCCAAGTTACTTGACAGAATTCAGAAGCTTAGAAAGTGACTTCAAAAGTCCAAATATGTAGAAGACAAAATATTTTTTTTAAAAAACTGCTACCTACACATGCTTCCAAAATTGTCTCTATCACAGGAAAACTAGAAGTGAAAAAGTATAATTTGCAAGGTAGTTTTTGTACCCAAGTCTCTTTTTCCCTAAGCTTTTCAAGTTGTTAGTCTTTAATGAAATTTAGCTACATTGGCCGTGGAATTGAAGGAGGCAGCATAATCTATCATCTAAGTGGAAAATAAAGACAGCTGCCTGGGTATGGTAATTAGATCGGTCAGTTTTAAGCCTTTACAAAGAGGCTTCCATGTTTTTCTCTTATACATTCAAGGATAGTCAACAAGCTCATAATTTATACTGAGACATTTTTGTTTTTAAATTTAACAATCTCATAATTTTCTTGAAGGACATTAAATCTGTAACAGGAAAGACAGAAATAAATGACTTTGACAATACAATAACTTTATTTAGATTAAATTTTTAATTCTAACAAGTGTGGATATTCATAGAAATTCAGTTCTGTAGGTAATATGATTATTTGAGACATACCATGTTTTTTCATATTAACTGTGTTTATTTCATGGCAATATAAGTTTGGCCCGAAGAAGATTTTTTTTTTAAATTCTGGTGACTTCATAATGGATTCTTTGCCTTTAATTTATAGTCTATTAAATCACCATGTACAGAGAGTGCAGCACCAGCACTCTGATCTTTTTTTTTTTTTTTTCTTTTTGAGACGGAGTTTTGCTCTTGTTGCCCAGGCTGGAGTGCAATGGCACTATCTCGGCTCACTGCAACCTCTCTGCCTCCCGGGTTCAAGTGATTCTCCTGCCTCAGCCTCCCAAGTAGCTGGGATTACAGGCATGTGCCACCACTCCCGGCTAATTTTGTATTTTTAGTAGAGACGGGGTTTCTCCGTCTTGGTCAGGCTGGTCTTGAACTCTGGACCTCAGGTGATCCACTCATCTTGGCCTCCCAAAGTGCTGGCATTACCAGTGTGAGCTACCGCACCCGAACCTCTGATCTAAATGAATAAATTAATGCCATGAAGTTGATAATAATTTGGCTAGTCTGAAATATTTATCCAAAAAGATCTTCTTATATTGTGTGGAAACTTAAAATTTTTTGTGTGGTTGGAAATGATCATTTCTTATTCCAGAAGTAAAAAGACAGCCAAAGCAGTAAGATGTTTTAATTCTGTTCAAGGTAGCGTACAATGTGAAATGCTTTTTTTCTCTTTAACTATATTTTCACTGTTTAAAAAAAAAAACGGGAATTTAATAAAATTTCCAATTTTCCTAAATGTAGTTTAATTGCATCAGCAGTTGCAAAGGGTTTGAAACTTCCTCTGTGTGTATGTGTGTTTCTGGAGCAGGGATTTCCTTACCAGTAGGAAGAGGTGACAATGTGAGATCGACGCAGTTAACACTAGGCATCTCCTCATGAGTGAGTGAATATGTGTGTGTGTGTGTGTGTGTGTGTGTGTGTGTGGATGTTTAGGTGTGTATGTTTGTGTGAGTGTGTATGCAGACAGGTGTGAGTGCAAACATTTTTGCAAGTGAGTGTGCAAGTAAGTGTATGTTCCAAAGAAGAAAGCAAAATGAAGTGATATTGCTTTATTAGGTTGTCACTTTCTATTATCTCTAAATTTAGGAGAGGATAAATGTTCCCTCCTGGGCTAAGATATAGTGTTGCAGAAGTGGATTGCTCTGCAAGAGAGTGCTCCCTAGGGGAATCTGGAGTTTCCAATCTCACTATTGAGGACCTGCTGTGAGCCCATGCATTACGTGAGGGGTGCCCACGCAATCCACTTCTGCTGATTGGACTCTGGAACCTTTGTCCCTTGGTGGAGGCCCTGTGCTGTGTGTCATTTCCCTTCTGCTTGTTTTGTGAGCACAGCTTTCAACAAGAGGGAACTTCCTTGTGTCCACAGAGCACAATGCAAGACCTGTCAGAGCACCTCCGCAGACATTGGAGTTATCTTAATTTTGTGAATTGGTAAGAGCCAGCTTCCCTCGTTCAACCTATGCAATGCTTTCGGTTTGCGAGTGCTCCTCAAGTGGAAGGCTGTATTTTGGTTCTCACTGTGGTATTAGGGCTTCCTTAGAGTTTCGCCCGTCTACAGCAGCAGAGATCCATGAACACATTTGCAGTTTCATATAGTCACATAAACCAGACCTTATAAAGGAATCGACCTTTAAGGAAAGCAAGAACTCGACTTCAGGAAACACTATTGCCTACTGGGATGTGGATGAAACTGGGCTTCCTGACATCTCAGTTGGGTTTAGTGTCGAAATTAATTCAGGGCTTTTTCACCATTGCTAATGAATAATCCGTGTGCCAAGGAAATGACTTCGTGAACCCCAGTGAGACTTTTAACCAAGCTGAGATCAGGCCTGCAAACTTCTTCAATTTGTCAGTTTTCACAAAGCCCTTTTCAGTAGTGTGTCTGTCAGAAGGCCTTATGTTCCCCGCCTCCCAAAACTGTAAAAGGACAAGAAATGTGAGTGTCATTGCTGGCCACGCTGTCTTCCCTGGGGTTCCGGAGAGTGGGGGATTGGGTGCATGCCGGGGTGTTCATAGGTTAGGAATTGTGCCAGATCTTCAGGGTCGTTCCACTCACCTGTCACAACTGACCTTTGCCGCACTGGCACCAGCCCTTGGCGAGAAACAAGCCCTTTCATTTGTGTGGTAAAGAAGGCCAACTTCAAAGCATTATGGATGTAGGTTTGTTTTGGACAAAACTTCAAATAGCTGGTTTGCTCATCCGGCCTTTATCAAGCATTCTGGATTCTTGACCACCAGACAGGAAATTCTGCGAGGACAGACTCTGAGGTTGACATCTCCATCTCGGCCCAGTGAGCCTGCGTGGGCCACGGAAACCCCTCTCGGGGATTTTGAGTGTTGTTTTAAAGCTAAAAGTGGGCAGGGAAAGGTTTTGGGTGCAAAGTCGGGTTCTGAAGCTGAGATCAGACTGCCGCAAGCATCAGAGACGTCAGGGCCTGGTGGGTGGGTGGGGGACGTTCGGAGGAGAGAGCCCTACCTTTTCTGCAAATCTCCTATGGACCAGAGATTCAGCCACAGCCCAGAACCTGGAATTGGGGTGGCTCTGAGTCAGTGTTCAGAAAGCTAGTAACCCTTGATGACTGAAATGAGTGACTGAGGCAGAAGTATCAATCAATTGAGGTTTGTTAAGCCAGCTTTAGGATGTGTCCCGGTAAAATAGGAATCACAGACTGATTTCTGAAGAGGTTTTCAGGCCGGGCGCGATGGCTCACACCTGTCATCCCAGCACTTTGGGAGGCTGAGGCAGGTGGATCACCTGAGATCAGGAGTTCAAGACCAGCCTGGCCCACATGGTGAAACCCCGTCTCTACTAAAATACAAAAATTATCCAGGCGTGGTGGTGGGCGCCTGTAATTCCAGCTCCTTGGGAGGCTGAGGCAGGAGAATAGCTTGAATCCAGGAGGCAGAGGTGGTTGCAGTGAGCCGAGATCATGCCACTGCACTCCAGCCTGGGTAACAGAGTAAGACTCTGTCTCAAAAAAAAAAAAAAGGTGGCTTTCAGGAGGTGTAGTATTCATACATTTCCTTAAAGGAGGAGGAGGCACACAGGAAGAGGGGCAGGTAGGCAGCCAGGGAATGGTCACTTTCCTGTGAGACTTCAGTTGGTGTCCAGTAAATCCACATTTTTACATCAGACAAAGTCAATGTGTGAAGAGAAAAAGCACAGAGTCAATTATGCAGACATCTCTGGGTGGGTGGAGGGAGGAGTCTTGTCTTTGTTCTGTAGCTGGGAAGATAAGCCTCTAGTGGACATTATTAATGTGGAATCCAACAGACTTTAGTTTTAGAAGCTAGACTTAGATCGCAGACCTAATGTTTTTCTTTTTATTTTTTATAGAGATAGGAAGGTCTCACTATGTTGCTCAGGTTTCTCTTGAACTCCTGGGCTCAAGCAGTCCTCCTACATTAGCCTCTCAAAGTGCTGAGATTATAGGCGTGAGCTGCCGTGCCGGGCTCTTTGTGTTATGATTGGCATGTCCTTGTTTATGGGTGGCCAGCAAACAATGTCCTCATGAGTGATCCCGGGGGGCATGTTGTGCTGCACCCCTGTTAACCTCAGTGGGGAAGGCACAAGTCCAAGAGGCCGAAGAAGAGACCCAGAGCCAGC
The DNA here is from genome assembly GCF_000001405.40 of Homo sapiens. Classification (NCBI taxonomy): domain Eukaryota; kingdom Metazoa; phylum Chordata; class Mammalia; order Primates; family Hominidae; genus Homo; species Homo sapiens. The sequence continues at coordinate 25,771,135 of NC_000015.10, read as the reverse complement.
ACTTGCAACACGGGGTTTGATTAGGGGCTTACACAGAGGGGAGAGAGTCTGGTGGTGGCGGGCTGAAAAGGAAAACCACTACCGCTTATAAACAGCATGCACTTTCTACAGCATTTTCACTTAACACCCTCCCCTGAACGACCTCTACCTGGAAGCCTTCATTTAACCCAAAATTCAGGGCCTCAATCCCCTGTGCGACCCGAGTTCCACAGGACAGGTGGGAGCTCAGATGTTTATCATAGACAAAGAACAAATCTCTGGGTTGGCCACGCCCAGATGTCCTAGCTCAGCACACATACTCAGGCACATCTGCCATGCAGAGTCATCCTCAGGGCAGGCTTGAGGTATTGCTGTCAGGTGCATTTGCCCTGCAGGGCAGCCCTGCAGAGATGCTGTAGGCCTCTTGCCTGTCCCTGGGGCGTTGGATGATGAGTAATGCCAGTGAGAGCGGTTCATCTGGAACAGGGTGTTGCCTGGCTCCACCTCTGGGCCTAAGTTTGGGGGTCCTGAGATTTATTATTTTCCTTTGCAACCCTCTGGTGAGAGTGACTACCCCCACTACTCCCTTCTCCTGGCTGGGTAACAGTGCCATCTGACACTGGGCACTTGCCTGTGTGAGGCCCTCATTCATTTAGTTCTCTTGGCAGCTCTGAGAAGGTGCTGTTATTACTCCCATTTAGCAAAGGAGCCACTGAGACTCAGAGGGAGTCAGCCCCTTGGCCTGCTGGGGTCCAAGTGAGTGGTGGGCCAGGTTCTGGGCCAACAGTTGGGGCGCAGGGCCTGGCCGTGAAGCCCCTCAGGGCCATCTCTGCAGAGCAGCGTCACCATTGCTGTCGCTGCTCAGGCTGATTGGGCTGGGCTGGGCCGATCCCCAACTGTGGTCAAGTCTGGAATGGCTGAAAACATGGGTGGGGCCCCTCCCCACCTCGCCCGGGTCGTGTTGTGATGGCTGAAAACATGGGTGGGGCCCCTCCCCACCTCGCCCGGGTCGTGTTTTAAATGCTCACCTCGTAGTTGGCTTGGGCTGCCATAACAAGGTGCCATGAATTGGGCGGCTTAAACTGCAGAAATTTATTTTCTCACAGTTCCGGAGTCTGGAAGTCTGAGATCAAGGTGCCGACAGAGTTGGTTTACTTGAGGCCTCTCTCCTGGGCTTGCAGGTGGTCGTCCCTCTGTGTATGTCTGTGTTCTGATCTCTTCTTTAAGGACACCAGTCCTGTTGGATCAGGGTCCATCTCAGTCACCTCATTTAACCCTTATTACCTCTTTAAAAACTGTCTTCAAATAAGGGCACAGTCTGAGGTATCCAGGGTTAGGATTTGAACGCATGAATCTGGGGAAGGTAGAATTCAACCCCTCACAGTGCAGGTTCGGAGTGAAAGTAACCGCCATTCCTGGATGGTGGCATCACCATGCTGATCACCTCAGATCAATCCATTTCACTGCATCCCAATTCTCTCCACTGTCAGGAAGAGGAAATGCTTTCTCATGATGAACCTACAGCTAGAAACTGCAGTTCCAGAAAGTTAGCTGAAGGCTGAGGCACCCGGGTAGGATGGCCACTTCCCCGGCTGGCTGCAGTGTTCTAGGAAGCTGATGGTTATGGTTAGTATATGCATGTCTTTTTTTTTTTTTTTTTTTTTTTTTTTGAGACAGAGTCTCCCTCTGTCACCCAGGCTGGAGTGCAGTGGTGCCATCTCGGCTCACTGTAACCTCCGCCCCCCCAGGTTCAAGCAATTCTCTGCCTCAGCCTCCCGAGTAGCTGGGATTACAGACGCCCGCCACCACCCCCGGCTAATTTTTTTGTATTTTTAGTAGAGACAGGGTTTCACCATGTTGGCCAGGGTGGTCTTGAACTCCTGACCTCATGATCCATCCGCCTCAGCCTCCCAAAGTGCTGGGATTACAGGTGTAAGCCACCATGCCCAGCCTATATGCATGTAAAAGTAAAAGCTCTGTGGATAACAGTGGATCAAAAGGAATTAGGATTTTACTATGGGGCAGACTTCGAAAATCTGATTAGAGTGTGTTTCAGTATTGGAGCGCGTGTGCATGCATGTGTGTGTGAGAGTCAAGGCACTAATAAGCAATGTCAGGACAGAAATTCTATTAAACATTTCCCTTAGAAATAGTGAGGGAAAACCTTTCAACCCTTAACTAAACTCTCCTTTAAAAGTTCTTAGCATTTCCTTCAAGGAAGACATAATTTCTACGGAAGCAATACGTAGTGTTTTTCCTGTTCCCTGCTTGTTTAACATTATAAAAGTAATCCAGACTTGTTTTACACCAGTAGTGAAAAGAGGGCTCTACCAGGCATGGTGGTTTACACCTGGAATCCCAGCACTTTGGGAGGCCAAGGTGGGAGGGCCACATAAACCCAGGAGTTTGAGACCAACCTGAGCAACAAATTGAGACCCTATTGCTACCAAAAAAAAAAAAAAAAAAAAAAAAATTAGCCCAGCTACTTGGGCAGGTGAGGTGGGAGGATTGCTTGAGCCTGGGAAGTTAAGGTTGCAGTAAGCCTAGATTGTGCCATTGCACCCCAGCCTGAATGACAGAGTGATACCCTGTCTCAAAAGAAAAAAAAAAAAAAAAGAGAGAGAGAGCTCTGCTGAGAGTCAATTAGAAATTGGAAACACAAGGCGGGACCTGGACCTGGACCTGGGTCTGGGGTTGAAGCACTTGGGGTGGACAGGATGGGAGTCCAGGTGCCCAGCCAGGAGCTTTGCCTCTCAGTCCACACTTGCAAGTAGAAGGAATCAGGAAGCACTGCTTTTCTTTTAAACAGACAATGCCATTTTTTCTCAGATTACATCTTTCACAGAAAGTCCACAGTAATGACTGTGAGCCACAGTGACAGGAGCAGTGGCCCAGGAGCCCCTGCCGCTCACCAGCCCACAGCTCTGGAGGCCCAAGCCACTGACCCTCCCTCCATCGCAGCTGCTCGCGTGCTGTGTCCTGTGAAGGGTCCAGCGGTTTCCTCGTCATGCCGGCCCAGCACTTGGGGTTCCCTCTGACCTGGCTGTCCCTCATCCAGTGCAGAGAACCAGCTGCCAAGTCCTGTAGATTCTGCACGTGCAAGTCCAGGAACCAGCCTCACAGGGGTGAGGGGACTTTGGGAGCCAGCCCTGGTGCGCCCGTTGGACCCCCTTGGCCCCATGTTCACCCCAGTGTCTCCCAGGTCAGGGATGCCCAGTGCCTGCCCATGCACCCATCCAGGTTGGCATGTTAGATGCGTCTCAGACAGAGGGCCCGCAAGGGTCCCATACTCCAGTGAGCACACCTACCTCTGTCTACAGCACAGTACTTCAGCGAGGTGACAGCGGCTGGGTCCTTGCTCACTGCAGTGGCTGCAGAGAACATCTGCCAGCACTTAGCACAGGCAGCTAGCACGCATTAGTTTTTAGCCTCTTAGTGTCTCATTGGCCGAGGTGGGATTCCCCTGAGGAGCTTTAGAAGTCCCAAAGGCCTGGGCTCACCCCTGCATTCTGACTCCCCTCATGTGGGGTGGGCCAGGCACTGGGGTGCTCCAGGCTCTTCTGCACTAAGAACCACCACGCTGAGATAAGTACAGTTGCTTCCCTATTTTACAAATAAAGGGATCCAGGTCTGGACAGGTCAATGGGCTCACCCTACTATGCAGCCAGTCAGAGGAGGGGCTGTGCTGCAAACCCAACATTGGGCTCCAGATCCTGTTCTTACAGCACTCCCCAACCCCATGCCTCTCTGCCTGAGCCCTGGTTCATCCAGGTCTCCCAGCAGACTCGCTGTCCGGGATGTGGCGCAGCCTCCATCCATCCTCTGCTTCCTGGTGACAGCAGCCTTGCATGGCACCCCCTTCACCGTCTCAGGGGTGCCACAGCGTGTCCACCCATCTCCTCTCTGCAGGAAGCCCTACGTTCTGCTGCAGCACCTGCCAGAATGATGCACCAAAATTGCAGTTCTAACCTTGGCACTCTCAGGCTGAAAGGCCTGCAGCGGTGAGTGTCACCTGTGAATACCATGGTAAAGTTAGGGAATGGCTCTCTAGACCAGAACAGGCAGAAGGGAATTTGATTGCTGCCCACACATCTGACTGTAATGTGCTACGTAGCGGAGCAGCCCTCTTCAAAGAAATTGCTGATGCCAAGAAACCAGGCAGGGCAAAGTGTGTGTATGTGTATATGTCTGCCTGTGAATGTCCATGTATTAAGTTATATGGGGCCCATTAAAGTTTTTTTTTTTTTTTTTTTAGAAACAGTTCCACTAGTTTAAAGTATGGACAAAACCCCGATTAGAGTATTTTTCGGGAGTTTTTTGGGACTGGTGCCTTCTCAAGCTGCAGCTCTAGTCCCCGTGGCACCTAGCTGTGTTCTAGGATGTTTTGCTGAGGCCCGAGGAGCGCTTGCAGGCGGCACAGACACTGAGCTCAGGGTGCTGGGATGGAAGCGGCTGGGTTGGGGCCTGGAGGCAGTGTTTGAGCGTGTGGTTCCTCAGTGCATGTAAGCACCACCTGGCCCTTTCTTGTCACCGAGAACTGCCAGCAGGAAGATCCAATTACAATAGAGGCTGGTGGAGCTTCCTGCCCTCCTCACTTCTTCTGCTGGCTCAGAGGGAAGCCCTATTTCAGGAGGGGTGTGGGCTGCTGGGCTGGGCCTGGGGAGGGAGATGCTGGTGGAGCATTTGGGGGCTTGAGGATGTTGGGTCTGAGGGCCTGACCACAGCACAGTGAGACACTTGATTATACAGGCAGGCTACAGCATGGCATGGAGAGTGAGCTTTGGGGTCTGCCTCCTACATTTGCTAGCTTGTAATCCAAGAACATCATTTGACCTCTCTGGGCCTCAGTTTCAGTATCTGCTGATATGGTTTGTCCCCACCCAAATCTCAACTTGAATTGTATCTCCCGGAATTCCCACATGTTGTGGGAACCAGGGGGAGGTAACTGAATCATGGAGTCTGGTCTTTCTTGTGCTATTCTCGTGACAGTGAATAAGTCTCACTAGACCTGATGGGTTTATGAGGGGTTTCCACTTTTGTTTCTTCCTAATTTTTGTCTTGCCGCCACCATGTAAGAAGTGCCTTTCACCTTGCACCATGACTCTGAAGCCTCCCCAGCTATGTGGAACTGTAAGTCCAATTAAATCTCTTTTTGTTCCCAGTTTTGGGTATGTCTTTATTAGCAATGTGAAAACGGACTGATACATCTGCAAAATGGGAATGATGTCAGAGGTCCTTCTGGCCTGTCCTTTGCACTGCACCTGGCAGGTGGTGAGTGCTCAGAAGGGTGGCCGCCCTCAGCACTGCCCTGCTGCTGCTGTCATTGAAAGGCAGGCTACTGGAGGAAAGGTGAGACCGGCACCAGGAGTGAAGTTATAGAGAAAAGGGTTTGCGTCTCTGTGAGAAGAACTTGATCATGAATACAATACCTCTGTCTAATCCACAGAGCTGGAAGAATTAAGGTGAGGCTGGAGAGTTTGGGTATTAGATGAGAATTGGCTGTCCAGGGCTGGGAGCTTCCAGCCCGAGCTCTGGGAAGGAGGAAGCTGCGTCTCAATGATCTTTTCCTTGCCCAGGACTTCAGGAGTGACCGCTTACCTGCACATGAGAGCAGGACAGCTGTAGTGCCGCGGTGAGGGATGTGATATCATTAGAGGCTCTACACGGGCAGAATTCTGGAATGTGGGTGGGAACGCTAAGTCTCTGACTTTAACCTGAGCTTTCTTGGTGCCAGAAAACCAGAGCAAGTTGGACACGCTGAATGTTCTGGAGGGCTTCTGAGATATCAAAGACAGGAGCAGGTAGACGTGTTTCTAATGGAAAGTTCTGATGCTGAAGGGGAATTCTTTGTTCACATGTTGTCATTATTGGCAGGTATTCTATAGAGGAGTGGAGAATATTGGATTACTATGCTACTGGCTGTTAAACATTGTCTCTCCACGAAGCCACCAGGCTGTGCCAGGCAGACACAACACCCCCGCCCCGCCCCCCTGTGTTGTGCTGACTTCATCATGAGGGCTCCACAGGGCTGCTGGTGCTCCCCAGAGATCCTTCACCTGAAACATCAGGGCTGTTTAAAGTCTAGGCTTCAAGGAGAAAATCGTCTAGAAGCAAGTCTTGATGCTGTTTAATGTGTGTCCTGCATCCTCACTAGCATTCCACAGACAAACGCTTCAGCCGGGAGGTTTAATAGAATGAAGTGCATTTCCTTACCTTTCCCTGCAGTCACAGGTCCCCAGTGGCACTCATTTCCTGAACCCAGTCATGGAAGCCACAATTACCCTCTGCCATTAGCAGGCCGGAGCTTTTAGCTCATGGCACTCCTAAACCCGAAGGTAGAGCGTCTGCGGTTTCTAGCATCATAGGCTGAGTGATAACCCTTTGTATTTCAGGTGATGGGAAGAAGTGAAGGATAGCTCAGATTGTTGGAAAGGGAATATCTTGGTCTGTTCCTAATACTGTAATGAAATGACCACAGACTGGGTCACGTATAAATAATAGACATTTATTTCTGACAGTTCTGGAAGCTGGGAATACAAGATTGAGGCGCCAGTAGATCTGGCGTCTGGCAAGGGCCCTCTTCCCGGCCTGCAGACAGCCACCTTCACTCTGTGTCCTCACATGGTGGAGAGAGAGAGAGAGGCAGAACTTCGAGTGAGTGTCTCTTCTTAGAAGGGCACTAATCCCACTCGTGAGGCTCCACCCTCATGCCCTAATCACCTCCCAAGGACCCACCTTCAAATACCATCAAATTAAGGACTAGGTTTTAACATATACATGGGGGACTCAAACACATACATTCTAAGGGCTAAGTTTTAACATATACATTTTGGGGGACTCAAACCTGCCATCTGTAGCAGGGAACATCCTGAGTCCTGGAAGCCCGCGCTGCACGGTGCACCTTAGGTTGGAAAGCTCTTTGCCCAGGATTCCTCATTTTCGTAAGTCTTTGTCGGGTCAGTGGAATAACAGCATCAGCCTCACTCGGTGCCTTGAAGAAATGCAGAGTCCCAGGCCCTGCCCAGATCCACTGAGGCAAGGATCTGCATTTTGACAAGATCCTGGGGGATTCATGTGCCCATTGGAGACTGAGAAGCCCTGCATTGCATGGGTGTCACCTGGACATAATGAGGCATATTCTTCTCTAATTGTTGTCCTTGGTTTTGCATGCAAGTGGGATAATCCGCTTCTGTGATCTTGCTTTCCTGACATAGTTGATATTTTCATACTTCACTAATCAAGCACTTAAAAGAAGACACAGAGAGGTTATCTTTTACAAAAAAATGTACTTTTGAAAAGCTCTAAATAAAATAAAATGAAACGGTGTTCTCCTATAGATATAATTTTAGGGATGCTTTATTTCCATTGCTTATTGATTGATCCACAGGGGAGGAGCTTATAACTGGCCAGCTCTCATCTGCAAAGTAGTTAATTATTAACAGCACTTATTTGCACTGATCCTGTGCTTCCTGGAGTGAATCATTTTACAGCAGGTGCTGCAGAATCAGTGTCTTGCTGTGTCCTGGTCTTCATTAATCTGCAGCCTGTGTTCCTCCAGCTTTTCCAAATAATGACAGAGGACAGACATTCACAGAAACAATCTTTAATCCGGGCACCCTGTGGCCCACTCAAGTTGACACATGAAATTAACACTCATGTGCGTGGAAGCCTCTCAGAGGCATCCTTCTGGGAGCCCAGTACTGGAAGGGATGCTGGAGAGCCAACTTCACCAGGAGGAAGTGAGTCTGGATGCAGGGGGAGGAGCCTGGCCATCTGCTGTCGTTTGGGATGAGTCGGACTCACTGGTTGCTGATATTCAAGACCAACAGATGAGCGGATGTTAAATTAGTGATCTAGAATTAAAAGGATGCCCAGTCCCAGTGAAAATAATTTATTTCAAGAATTCCATGGGCAAGCAATTTAGGCACGTAAAATAACACCCTTATTCTCAGCAGGTTAATTTTGCTCGAGAATGAATTGAGTGCAGGTGGAGGAGCAATTATTTTCTTACAAAAATAAGCTTCCCTTTCCCTAAGTTGAAAATAGCCTTGGATAAGTCAGATGACAGTAGTTTCTTAAAGACAGGCAGTTCATTAACTGGTTGTTTTTAGCTGCTCAGTAAGAGTCTTTCAAAAAACCAAAAGTTTGGGAAAATGTGTGTCACTTGAAAAAAACACATTGTTAATTATCGGTTGAAAACTTTAGCTGCCCTTTCGTTTTTTAAACAGCCTTATTGAGGTCTGACTGACATAAAATAAACCACACATATTTAAAATGTATAATTTGGCCAGGCTCATGCCTGTAATCCCAAAGTTTTGGGAGGCCGAGGTGGGAGGATCACTTGAGGCCAGGAGTTGGAGACCAGCCTGGGCAACGTAGCAAAACCTTGTCTCTACAGAAAATTTACAACTTAGCTGGGCATGGTGCCACACGCCAATTCCTAGCTGGTTAGGAGGCTGAGGCTGGAGGATCCCTGGAGCCCAAGAGTTCTAGTTTGCAGTGAGCTATGATTGTGCTGCTACACACTAGCCCAGGCAATAGAGTGAGACCCTGTCTCTAAAATAATAAATAAATAGGCTTGGGCACAGTGACTCATGCCTGTAATTCTAGCACTTTGGGAGGCCAAGACGGGAGGATCACGTGAGCCCAGGAGTTTGAGACCAGCCTTAGCAACACAGTGAGACACAGTCTCTACAAACATTTTTCTTTCGAATTTGCCGGGCGTGGTGGTGCATTCCTGTAGTCCCACCTACTCGGGAGGCTGAGGCAGAAAGATTTCTTGAGGCCAGAAGATCAAGGCTGCAGTGAGCCATGATTGTGCCACTGCGTTCCTGTATTAGTCTACTCTCAGACTGCTAATAAAAACATACCCAAGACTGGGTAATTTATAAAGGAAAGAGGTTTAACTGACTCACAGTTTGGCATGGCCGGGGAGGCCTCTTGAAACTTATAATCATGGCTGAAGGGGAAGTAAACATGTCATTCTTTATATGGTTGACAGGAAGGAGAAGTGCCGAGCAAAAGGGGGAAAAGGCCCTTATAAGACCATCAGATCTCATGAGAACTCACTGTCACGAGAACAGCATGGGGGGAACCGACCCCTGAGTCATTTACCTCCCACCGGATCCCTCCCACAACATGTGGGGACTACGGGAGCCACAATTCAAGATGAGATTTTGGTAGAGACACAGCCAAACCATATCATTCCACCCTACCCAAATCTCACGTCCTCACATTTCAAAACACAGCCATGCCTTTCCAACAGTCCCCCAAAGTCTTAATTCATTCCAGCATTAACCCAAAAGTCCAAGTCCGAAGTCTCATTTGAGACAAAGCAAGTCCCTTCTGCCTATGAGACTATAAAATCAAAAGCAAATTAGTTACCTCCTAGATACAATGGGGGAACAGGCACTGGGTAAATATAGCCATTCCAAATGGGAGAGGTTGGCTAAAACAAAGGGGCTACAGGCCCCATGCAAGTCCAAAATCCATAGGGCAGTCATTAAATCTTAAAGCTCCAAAATGATCTCCTTTGACTCCATGTCTCACATCTAGGTCACACTGATGCCAGAGGTGGGCTGCCATGGCCTTGGATAGCTCCACCCTTGTGGCTTTGCTGGGTACAGCCCCACTCCTGGCTGCTTTCACAGCTGGCGTTGAGTGTCTGTGGCTTTTCCAGGCACTTAGTGCAAGCTGTCCGTGGATCGACCATTCTGGGGTCTGGAGGACGGTGGCCCTCTTCTCACAGCTCCACTAGGTGCTGCCCCTGTGGGGACTCTGTGGTAAGTGTGAGTCAATTAACTCTCTTTCCTTTATAAATTACCCAGTCTCGGGTATGTCTTTATTAGCAGTGTGAGAACAGACTCATACAGTAAATTGGTACTGAGAGTGGCCCCGGACAACCACTGATCTTCTTTCAGTCACTGCAGATTATTTTGAATTTTTAAGAGATAGAAATGGAATAATACAGTGTGTCCTTTTTTCGTCTGACTTTTTTCTCTCAGTATAAATATTTTGAGATTTATCCAAGTTGTAGGTATTCATAGTTTATTTCTTTTTATTGAGAGTAGTATTTGGTTGAGATATATAGTATAGCTCAACTATGTATCTTTTGGATTCATTCATCTGTTGATAGACATTTGGGTTGTTTACAATTTTTGGTTGTGATACATAAATGTGCTATAAAAATTCATATAAAAGTCTTTGCAAAGACTTAGTCTTTCATTCTCTTAGACACATCTCTTAGATAAATCCAGAGGTGGAATGGCTGAAACATATGGTAGGCACATGTTTTATATATGTATGCTTGTATGTATGTATGTATGTTTCAGTCACCAGGCCGGAGTGCAGTGGCACGATCATAGCTCACTGCAGCCTCAAGCTCCTGTGTTCAAGCCATCCTCCTGCCTCAGTCTCCCAAAGTGCTGACATTACATTCATGAGCCACCGTGCCCAGCTCCATGTAATTAATTCCTGCTGTGAACTTGCTTAGCACAAGCCCATCAGTTTTGTGCTATTATAGTTTTGGAAATTCAGTCCAATGCTATGAACTCAAAATTATTAGAAACTATATACTTGTCAGAGTTTTTTTCATTCTTTCCATTCTTTCCATGAACTGCCCTGAAGACATAACACTTGAAGATTGTAAGTGCTTGCAAGTAACTTTCAGAAAGGCATTGGAATAAAGCAATTGCTATGAACACCAAGGCTTAAAATGGCTATGGCAATGCAGTTGACAAGGAAATTTGGTTATTCGTGAACCATAATTATGACTGATAGCATTTATATGAAGACATAGGTTTCTAGGAACTTTATACAATTTTGGAACATCTATTAATAACACATCCATATAACTGTCACTCGAAGGCTAAACATCATTCCATGTTTTGACAGTGCTTCCCATATAATTTAAAATATTCGATAAGCCCATGTTGGCTTAATCTCTTTGTTTTACAGTTCCTTTTAGAAGTTCCAGGGCTTTCTGGAATGTCCTAAAGTTAATTTCGGTCAAAAGTTTTTTGAAAAGTTTGTCAAATATCCAAGGTTTAAATTACATAGCTACTCAGGGAGGCTGAGGCAGGAGAATTGCTTGAACCCAGGAGTTGGAGGTTGCAGTGAGCCGAGATCGCGCCACTGCACTCCAGCCTGGCGACGGAGTGAGACTTCATCTCAAAGAAAAAAAAAAAAATTACATGATCAGATAGGAACACAGATCACTGTGAAATAAAACCAAAGTGACAGAAGATTTCAAAGATACAAAGCACAAGAAATTATCTTGATTAAACATAGAATCAGTTTCCTAGGCCAGCTACCTAAAAGGTAAAGAAAAACTTTTCACTATTTTTTTTTTTTTTTGAGACAGGGTCTCCACCCAGGCTGGAGTACAGTAGTGTGATCTCAGCTCACTGCCACCTCCACCTCCCAGGCTCAAGCGATTCTCCACCTTAGCCTCCTGAATAGGTGGGACTACAGGCATGTGCCACCATGCTCGACTAATTTTCTTAAAAACTTTGTGTAGACATAGGAACTCACCATATTGCCCAGGCTGATCTCGAACTCTTGGTCTCAAGCAATCCGCCCACCTTGGCCTCCAGAAGTGCTGGGATTACAGGCCTGAGCCACCACACCTGGCCCACAGTTTTCTATTAAGGGCAGAGCAATGCTCCAAGAAAACCTTGTTCTAACACAGAGGCTCAAACTCCTCCCTCCCATCAGTGTACTTTTCATACTAATGCTCAGTTTTTTAAAAACTTAAATTTTCTAATTTTAGTCAATCTGATCACACATAAAATTATTTTCATGAGATTAATCTTGCACAAACCTACATCTTGCTTAAACCTTCCATTTTGTCCTATGCCTTCTACCTGAGGATAAAAATTTACTTGCCTTTTCCCTTTATCATTTTGTTATATATATTGTTATATATAAAGTTTTGGTGCCACAAAAGAAATAGCACTCGAATATAAAATGTTCCTTTTAATTCTCAGCAAGGCAAGTTACTTCTATATAGAAGGGTGCGCCCTTACAGATGGAACAATGGCGAGTGCACATTTGGACAAAGGAGGGGAAGGGGTTCTTATCCCTGACGCACGTGGCCCCTGGTGCTGTGTCGGTCCCCCATTGGCTAGGGTTAGATCGCACAGGCTAAACTACTTCCAATGGGCTAATTTAAAGAGACTGACAGGGTAAGTGCTTTGGCGGGAGTCAGGGGAGAGCAGATAGCAGGTGATCAGAATGAGTTAGGGTGGAGCAGGTGATCAGAATGAGTAAGGGTGGAGCAGGTGGTCGGAATGAGGGTGGAGCAGGTGATCGGAATGAGTTAGGGTGGAGCAGGTGGTCGGAATGAGTTAGGGTGGAGCAGGTGGTCGGAATGAGTTAGGGTGGAGCAGGTGATCGGAATGAGTTAGGGTGGAGCAGGTGGTCGGAATGAGGGTGGAGCAGGTGATCGGAATGAGTTAGGGTGGAGCAGGTGGTCGGAATGAGTTAGGGTGGAGCAGGTGGTCGGAATGAGTTAGGGTGGAGCAGGTGGTCGGAATGAGTTAGGGTGGAGCAGGTGATCGGAATGAGTTAGGGTGGAGCAGGTGGTCGGAATGAGTTAGGGTGGAGCAGGTGGTCGGAATGAGTTAGGGTGGAGCAGGTGATAGGAATGAGTTAGGGTGGAGCAGGTGGTCGGAATGAGTTAGGGTGGAGCAGGTGATAGGAATGAGTTAGGGTGGAGCAGGTGATCGGAATGAGTTAGGGTGGAGCAGGTGGTCGGAATGAGTTAGGGTGGAGCAGGTGATTGGAATGAGTTAGGGTGGATCAGGTGGTCGGAATGAGTTAGGGTGGAGCAGGTGGTCGGAATGAGTTAGGGTGGAGCAGGTGGTCGGAATGAGTTAGGGTGGAGCAGGTGGTCGGAATGAGTTAGGGTGGAGCAGGTGGTCGGAATGAGTTAGGGTGGAGCAGGTGGTCGGAATGAGTTAGGGTGGAGCAGGTGGTCGGAATGAGTTAGGGTGGAGCAGGTGATAGGAATGAGTTAGGGTGGAGCAGGTGGTCGGAATGAGTTAGGGTGGAGCAGGTGGTCGGAATGAGTTAGGGTGGAGCAGGTGGTCGGAATGAGTTAGGGTGGAGCAGGTGATCGGAATGAGTTAGGGTGGAGCAGGTGATAGGAATGAGTTAGGGTGGAGCAGGTGATCGGAATGAGTTAGGGTGGAGCAGGTGGTCGGAATGAGTTAGGGTGGAGCAGGTGGTCGGAATGAGTTAGGGTGGAGCAGGTGATAGGAATGAGTTAGGGTGGAGCAGGTGGTCGGAATGAGTTAGGGTGGAGCAGGTGGTCGGAATGAGTTAGGGTGGAGCAGGTGATCAAAAAAGGTTGCTTTACGAGGAAGTTAAGTTTAGAAGTAGAAGGCAAAGAATTGAACATACTGACATTAATTCTTTGAAAAGAAATTTAGAACTCATATCTAACAATTTTGACCACACAAAGTTATCTCTCATGCAAAAGAAAGAAATTACTCTTTTTCAACTTTTTAATTTTTTACCAAAAACAAATCCTCATACTTACACCTTTTTTCTCATCTCTCCTATTTACTGCTCCTTTCTGCCTTTTTTCTATTTCCTCCTTAAATCTATATTTTGAAGAAAACCTCTAAATAACCTTTGAATTAGATAGAATTGCTCTTTTTTAACATAAAATATATCCTTCTATCTTCTCAAGATTTTTCTCACCAAAAACACATCTTACTTTCTTTGTACATTTTGCATACAAAATTGTTTTCCTTTTCTCTAGTAGTTCTAATTAGCTATATTAATTAGAATTTTAACCTTTATTTTTTGTGAAAAGCTAGGAAATATGCAATTTTTATTTGTCACTTACCAATATTTTATGGATTTAAATTTTATAATTACTAGAAACATGTAACTTCCTCACAGAACAATTGTTTTATGTTTACTAACAGACCCAAATATATTTAGCTACTCTCTACCATATAAAAACAAGATGTCAAAGTATATAAACTTTTTACTTATTGTTAATGATGAATGCTTAGTATTTTAACTTATCAAGAAATGACCTAAACATTTAATGAGTATCTATTACTTAATTTCACTTGAAGGTTTTAAGTTACCAAAAAGATTTTTTGAACTATGAAGAATTCATTTATAAATGTTTATGGCCGTTTGAATGTACCTAATTTACTCATTTTAACAGTTATATTTGAGCTGTTTATGAACATTTTATTTGACATTGAGCTAAACTAGCCATCATCTCAAGTTTTCCCTGTGAACCATTTTTACAACATGCAAATGTTAGTCAGCACCTAAGCAAAAACCCTAAAGTTAAATACACAGGTATTTTGCTGATGAGAAGACCCAACTGTTTTCATTAAACCAGCAACATTAAACCAGTTTTGTTTACCAAAGATTTACCCAGGTAATGTGGATCAAAAGTCATTTGAGTTGTTCTGTTTCTTTCAGATAGAATGTTTGATTTAAGCACTCACTTTTCTTTCTTTCTTTCTTTCTTTTTTTTTATTTGAGATGGAGTCTTGCTCTGTGGCCCAGGCTGGAGTGCAGTGGTAGGATCTCGGCTGACTGCAAGCTCCGCCTCCTGGGTTCACGCCATTCTCCTGCCTCAGTCTCCCGAGTAGCTGGGACTACAGGTGCCCGCCACCACACCCAGCTAATTTTTTGTATTTTTAGCAGAGACGGGGTTTCACCGTGTTAGCCGGGATGATCTCAATCTCCTGACCTGGTGATCCGCTCGCCTCGGCCTCCCAAAGTGCTGGGATTATAGGCGTGAGCCACCGCGCCTGGCCAGCACTCACTTTTCTTTAAGCCAATTAATCCGAGCTCTCATATATTTTGGCAGAGAAATATCACATACACAGAACACATACAGACATATAGACAAACAGACACACAAATAGGAGCAGATCTGACAAGATTCTTCATTTGCCAGTGTTCTCTCCTTCCTTTGTCAATCTTCTGCTTACCTGTTCCATTGTCCTAAACAATTGCTAGCTAGGAACCCTAAATTTGCAGTCTCAAAGGGATGGCTCCCAAATGAAACAAGGTAAACAATGAACAGAACTTAGATCTAGATACTATTATTTGCCAAAACAAAGAAGGGGTAAAGGCCCAGTTAAGGCAAGATGGCCAGGAAAAGTACATTAAAGAAAGGTAAGGTTTGTTATGTGAAGGTTGAACCGATGTTTTTCCCAAAGCAAAAGTTTCTAGTGGTTTAAGTACAGAGAAGGAGACACGCTTACAAATGGAGATTTCCTTTATAGATGTAAATTTCTTTTACAAAGAGTTTCAAAATTAGCTAACTAAATTTCAGAAAATTGTATTTTAAAGACAGGTTTAGTTCCAGAGTTGGACTTTTCAGCTTTGTTTCTTCATTAGATTATTGACTTAGGGGGTAGAGGCTACTAATGAATGGGCAAAGCATATTAGGTAGAAGTCTCCTGAAGCTTCCCTCAGAGGCCCATCTGTCCTGGTGGTTAACATGGAGACCATTTTCAGAGGTTGGGCAGACTGTTTTTAAGGGATTTCTTGGAAATCTTTGAGACAGCCCCTTTTCTAGTGTCCTGGTTGTTTGCACAAGTGGCAACGATTTTTTGGAAACTGTTGTTTTCGGAGTCACCTATTAGAAAGTGCTCCAGGGCAGTCCCAAAACTGTTCTGGGTTGTTGGTTGCCATGGAGCTGAAACACTTTGGGAATGGCTTTCAAAAGCTCATTTGTGCTGTTTCAGCATTGCCTGGCCCATAAGTAGTCCACTGAGACTAGTCAGGTTCCTATCATTCTCAAAAAATAGCAGTGTGCCCCTTTCATTCATTTTTGGGCCTCCCCAGGTCCCACCAACCTGTGTATTAGTTGGTGGCAGTCAGGTATCCAGAGGTCATATGTTACAATTAAGACCTTGAATTCTTTAGAAAACTTTCGAAGGTCTTTCCTAGGTTTAGGAAATTTTCGAACTATGGCCCTGAGCTCTATTTCTGTCTAGGGAGTATCAGTCACTTGGGGATTATCTCCTGAATTTGTGGGTAGTTCTTATAAGGAAACTGTTTAACTGCTATTTCAAGGGAAAAAGGCAGTTCAGACAGAGTGTTAGCCTATGAATATTCTGGAGTAGATCATGAATATTCAGACAAAGTGGGATAGGGTATGGGGAATATCTTGCATTTTTAGATTTTCATTAGCTTTTTATAATGAATCTTTATAAAAGGCTATTTGGGAATCCTGTTGTCTCTTTGAGGATCCTGAATGCCAATAAGAATCCCATTCCCTCTGCCTAATTTGTGGAGCCCAGGACTCAAGTGCACTTCTTCAATAAACAGTTTTGTTCATCTGGAACGTTTTACATAATGGCTGCTGTAATTCCGGATTATCTTTAGTAAGATTTTTCCACTTCTGTAAATATTTGCAGGTTACAGGGCCAAATATACATGAAAAAGGCAGGTCTGCTAGAAGGCAAGTATTTAGAGCTTGAGAAATTAGGGATCCAATTTTTATGTCGGATATTGGGTTTCTCAGGGCCGGGATGACTTTACCTCTGAGATTGCCTTGACCAACTCAGCCAATGATTTTCCATTTTCTGTCTGACCCAGGCACCCAAGGCTTCTCTTACGTGTGTGTGTAAGAAAAAAGAACACAAATCCAAATCTGTGAATTCCAAAAGCTGGAGTTCACGCCCTCCTGCAGTAATAACCACTTATGGCAACTGCTGTCAGTTCCCTTTAAAACTGCAGCCCAGTGGCTCTCGCCTGTAATCCCAGAACTTTTGAGGCCAAAGCAGGCAGATCACGAGGTCAAGAAATCGAGACCATCCTGGCCAACACAGTGAAACCTCATCTCTACTAAAAATACAAACAAATTAGCTGGGCATGGTGGCACGCGCCTGTTGTCCCAGCTACTCGGGAGGCTGAGGCAGGAGAATCTCTTGAACCCAGGAGGCAGAGGTTGCAGCAAGCCGAGATCACGCCACTGCATTCCAGCCAGGTGACAGAGCGAGACTCCATCTCAAAAAACAAACAAACAACCAAAAACAAACAAACAAAATAAAAAACCGCAGCACATGAATGCACAGTGGTTCACACCTGTCATCTCATCACTTTGGGAGGCCGATGCAGGAGGATTGCTTGAGGCCAACAGTTTGAGACCAGCCTAGGCAACGTGGCAAGACTCCCATCTCTACAGCAATTTTTTATCTTGTCTCTACAAGAACAAAAAATTAGCTAAGTGTGGTGGTGTGCATTTGTAGTCATAGCTATTTGGGAGGCTAGGGTGGGAGAATCCCTTGAGCCCAGGAGGTCAAGGTTATAGTAAGCTCTGATCACGGCAGTGCACTCCAGCCTGGGTGACAGAGACCCTGTCTTTAAAATATATATATATAACATATATCATATATATAACTATATATGATATATATAACATATATGTGATTATATAGATAGAAACTGCAGCCCTTTATTTATGCTAGCCACAGGTGGGGGACAATGTACACTTCTGTCCAGCCATATTCTTGGGAGCTTGACTCAAATGTTTTATGGAACTAAGCACAAGAAGTCTTGAAAAATGGAGCAAAAATTACAGCCCTTAAGAGTGACTTGTGGGGGGGTGCAGTTAGGGGTGCCTTTTCCTGTGTTCCTCAGGGGGTCTCAGGGAATCAACCTAAGTGTCCATCAACAGATGAATGAATAAAGAAAACGTGGTATACACACACAATGAAATACTATTCAGCTTTAAAAAGAAGGAAATTCTGTCATTTGCAACAACATGGATGGAGTTAGACAACATTATGTTAAGTAAAATAAGCCAGGCACAGAAAGACAAGTATCTCATGTACTCACTTATATGTGGAATGCAAAGCAATCATACTCAGAAGCTGAGAGTGAACTGTGGTTACAGAGGCTGGGGGATGGGGGAGATAGGAAGATAGATGATGGTCAAAGGGAGCAAAATCTCAGACAGGAGGAATAAATACATATTTTTTGAGTTCTGTTGTACAGTGTGCTGAATATAGTTAGTAATGGAATATTATACATTTCAAAATTACCTAGAGGGTAAATTTCAAACGTTCTTACCACAAAATCGTCAGGTACTTGGAGTGATAGATATGTTAACTAGCTTAATTTAGTTATTCTATATTGTATTCACAAATTATACCATTACTTTATACCCCATAAATTTATACAATTATAAATGATTAGTTTACAACAAAAATCGCAAAATAAAATAAACAATTAGAGAAAACAGCATGTAGAATAATAAAATACCTGGAAGAAATTTAAGCAAGGAGGTGAAAGACACATATACTGAAAACTATAAAACGTTGCTGAAAAAAATTTTAAAGGACTTAAATAAATGAAAAGACATCCTATGTTCATGGATAGGCAAATTTCATAGTGTTAGGATGCCATACTACTCAAAGCAGTCTACTGATACAATGCGCTATCTGTCAAAACCCTAATGAATTTTTGCAGAAATAAAAAAGGCAATCCTCAAATTTATGTAGAGTTACAAGGCTCCCCATATAGCCAAAACAATCTTGAAAGAGAAGAATGAAGTTGGAAGATTCACATATCTTGACTCCAAAATGTACTACAAGACTACAGGAATCAAAACAGTGTGGTCTACCTGAGATGTTGTACCCTTTGACCATCATCTCCCCATCTCTCCCAACTCCCAGCCTCTGTAACCACAATTCCACTCTCTGCTTCTGAGTTTGGTTGCTTTAGATTCCACATATAAGTGAGTATATGAAATATTTGTCTCTGTGCCTGGCTTATTTTACTTAGCAAAATGTTGTCTAGTTCCATCCATGTTGTTGCAAATGACAGAATTTCCTTCTTTTTAAAGCTGAATAGTATTTCATTGTGTATCTATACCACATTTTCTTCATTCATCTGTTGATGGACACTTGGGTTGATTCCATTATTGTAAATAATGCTTCAATGAACATGGGAGTGCAGACATCTCTTTGGCAAACTGATTTCAAATCTTTTGCATAAATACCCAGAAGTGAGATGTTGGTTCATATGGTAATTCTATTTTTAGTTTTGGGGGAACCTCCATACAGTTTTCCATAACAGCTGCCCTAATTTATATTTCCATCAACAGCATATGAGTGTTCCCTTTGTTCACATCCTCATCAACATTTGATATCTTTTATCTTTTTGGTAATAACTATTCTGACAGGTAGGATAGCAAATCTCATTGTGGTTCTAATTTGCATTTTCCTAATGACTAGTGATGTTGAGCATTTTTTCATATGTCTTTTGGCCATTTGTATGTCTTCTTCTAAGCAATGTTTATTCAGATCCCTTGCCTATTCTTTAATTTGATTTTTTGTTTTCTTGTTATTGGGTTTTTGAGCTCCTTGTATACTTTGGATATTAATCCATTATTAATCAATAATAGCTTGCAATAATGGATATATGGCTTGCAGATATTTTCTCCCAATTCGCAGGTTGTCTCTGCACACTGTTAATTGTTCTTTTGCTGTGCAGGAGCTTTTAAGTTTGATATTACCAAACTTGTGTATTTTTGTTTTTGTTGCCTGTCCTTTCGGGGTCAAATCAAAAAAATTATTACCCAGACAAATGGGAAATATTTTTTATAATGTGAGTTATGGTAAACTTGTTGACACTTCTTTTAGGACCTAAAATATGGTCTATCTTGCTAAATGCTCTATGTGCTTTTGAGAATAACGTGCATTCTGCTGTTTTTAGGTGGAGTATTTTATAGATGTCAAACAGGTAACACTGGTTGATGATGTTATTCAAGTCTTCTGTGTTCTTGCTAATTTTATGCCATTTTTTCTAGGAATTATTGTAAAGGGCTACTGAACCTCTGAACATAATGCAGATATGTGTATTTCTCTTTGCAGATCTATCAGTTTTGCTTCATTTACTTTGAAGCTTTGTTGTCAGGGGCATTTTGGCCCTTTTATAAATCCCTGGCAATATTCTCTGCTTTGAAACTTACTTTGTCTGATAGCAATATAGCCATTTTAGCTTTCTTTTGACTAGTTACAGCATAACCTTATATAACATATTTGCATCTTGTATTTAAAGTGCATTTTTTTAGACAGCAAGAAATTGAGTCTTTTGCTAATTTTTTTAAAAACGAGTCTGCCTTTTAATTGAAATGTGTAAAGCTTTGCATTTAATGTGATTAATGACATGGTTAGATTTAAGCCTATCATCTTGCTAGTTGTTTTCCCATCTTCTCTTTGTGACCCTTTTCTTCTTTTTCTGCTTCTTTTTTCTCCCATTAGCTATACCTTTTCATTAGAGGTTACTTCAAGGTTTGTTGGATACATCTTTAATTCATCCTGATCTATCCTTTCAGTGATATTATTTCAGTTCACATATAGTAAAGGAACTTTGCAATGGTATCCTTCCATTTCTCTCCTTCCAGACTTTGTACTGTCATCATCATCATCATCATCATCATCATCATCATCATATATATATGTTGTAAACGAATGTTATTTTTATGATACATTTTGCTTATATATTACAGAGATTTATGTAATAAGAAAAAGTCTTACTTACCCATGCTCATAAAAAGAGCACTAAAATCACCTAGAGCTTAAGGATGAACTGGCTGTCAAATAACAAAACAAACAAACAAACAGTTGCCTTTTCCTGTGCTCTTCATTCTTTTGTGTAGATCCAAATTTC
Source organism: Homo sapiens (assembly GCF_000001405.40). Lineage (NCBI taxonomy): Eukaryota > Metazoa > Chordata > Mammalia > Primates > Hominidae > Homo > Homo sapiens. Next base: position 25,750,486 of record NC_000015.10, on the reverse strand, counting down.
CAATTGATAATTTCCTTTTGCCTGAATGGCTTCCTTTATCATTTTTTTCTGGTATGGATCTGTGGGTGAGGAATTTTTTTTCAGCTTTTGTATATGTGCAAACATCTTTATTTTACACCCTCCTTTTTTATTTTGAAAAATATCTTTACTGGGTATAGAATTCTAGGTTGACAGTATTTTACACTTTGGTGCTTTAAAGATGTTGCTCCAGTGTCATCTTGCTTGCATTGTTTGTAATGAAATATCTGCTCTTATCCTTATTTGTGTTCCTTTGTACATAACACAGCTGCTTGCAAGTTTTTTTTTTAATTACTAGTTTTAAGCAAATTGATCATGATATGCTTTGTAATTTTCTTCATAATTTGGGGGTTTGAGATTCTTGGATCTGTAGGTTTATAGTTTTCATTAAGTTTGGAAACTTTTCAGTTATTATTTAATCAAATATTTCTTCATACCCTTCCCCATCTTTGGGGATTCTAAGTAATAGAATATTGGCTTCTTGAAATTGTTTTACAACTTACCAATCCTCTCTTTTGATTCTTTTTTCTCTTAGTATTTCCGTTTGGATAGTTTTGGTTACTATTTTTCAAGTTCACTATATTTTTCTTTTGTAAGTTCTAAGCAGCTGTTGATCTCTTTCAGTTTATTTTTTGTCTCAGATATTGTAGCTTTCATCTCTAGAAGTTCAATTTTGGTCTCTTTTTTACCTTCCATGTCCCTACTTAAGTTTTTGATCATTGGAAAGCCAGCATAATTACTGCTTTAATGTCATTTTCTACAAATTCTAACATCTGTGTCTCTTCTATGTTAGATTAAGCTGACTTACTTATTCTCTTTATTATGGGCCTAGTTTTCTTTCTTCTTTGCATGCCTGATAATCTTTAATAGGATGCCAGATATTGGATTTGACTATAAATATTCTTGAGTTGTGCCCAGGACTGCAGTGAATTTACTCAAAACAATTTGATTTGTTAGGAGGATCTAAAGAAGTGCTCATCTAGAGTTAATTGTTCTCCACTCCTGAGGCAAGACTTTCCTAAGTTCCCTAGCAGTGCTGATGAATGATTAGTTTTTCCAGTGTGGCTGGTGGAAGCAGGCACTGACCCCAGATCTATGTAACACAGAACACAGTTCCCTCTATTTCTCTCTTATTTGCACCATCTTTAATCTCTTAATAATACTTTATAGTTTTCAGTGTTGAGATCTTATACATTTTTTAGATGTATTCCTAGCAAAGTGATTTTGTTAGCTTATTACAAATAGTGTGCTTATGAATTCAATGTGTGTGTGTTTACATGTAGTAAATATAGTATACATGCATATGTATGTATGTTCATACAGTCTATAGAGACATAGTAGGTGATCTTGTATCCAGAAACTTTGCTAAACTCATGTATTAATTCTTTTTTTTTTTTTTTTTTTTTTTGACAGAGTCTCACTCTGTTGCCCAGGCTGAAGTACAGTGGTGCTATCTTGGCTCATTGCAACCTCTGCCTCTCAGTTTCAAGCAATTCTCCCACCTCAGCCTCCTGAGTAGCTGGGATTACAGGCACACACCACCACGCCCGGATAATTTTTTTTTTTTTGTATTTTTAGTAGCTATGGGGTGTCACCATGTTGGCCAGGCTGTTCTTGAACTCCTGACCTCAGATAATCTGCCTATCTTGGCGTCCCAAAGTGCTGGGATTACAGGCATGAGCCACTGTGCCTGGTCACTCATGTATTAATTCTAATAAGTTTCTAAGATTATTTTAGATCTTCTACACAGTCATTTTATTTTTGAATTATGATAGCATTATTTCTACCTTTTTAGTCATTATACTTTTTTTTTTCTTACCTAATTGCAGTGGCAAGGACTCCAGTACAGTTCTAAATGGAAGTGGTGATATCATACATTCTTTCCCTGATACAATGTGTAAAGGGAAAAATTTGAACATTGTACCATTATATGTGATATTTTATTAGGATATTGGTGAATAGCCCTTACAAACTAATGATTCTTTTATTCGTAGCCTGCTAAGAGAAAGTATTATGAATAAATGTTGAATCAAATGCATATTCTGCTTCAGTTGAGTTGATCATATGATTTTTCTCTTTTTGTGTTAATGTATCTAATGACATTGATTTTTCTAATGCCATACCAATCTTGAATTCTTGAGCTATATCCATCTTCCTAATGTATTATCTTTTATATATTTCTGGGATTAGTAAACTAATGTTTTATTAAGAATTTTTGGCCGCTCACACCTGTAATCCCAGCACTTTGGGAGGCCAAGGCTGGCAGATCACGAGGTCAGGAGATCAAGACCATCCTGGCTAACACAGTGAAACCCTGTCTCTACTAAAAATACAAAAAATTAGCCGGGTGTGGTGGCGGGTGCCTGTAGTCCCAGCTACTCGGGAGGCTGAGGCAGGAGAATGGCATGAACCCGGGAGGCAGAGCTTGCAGTGAGCCAAGATCGCCACTGTACTCCAGCCTCGGCGACAGAGCGAGACTCCGTCTCAAAAAAGAAAAAAAAAAAAGAATTTTTGCCTAAATAAGATAGACTTGTACTTTTGTGTTTTTTAATATGTTTATTGTGTTTTAGTATAAAGCCCATGCCAGCTTCATAAAATAAATTAAGAAGTATTTGTTCTCACTACTGGAAGAGTTTATGTAAGTGAATGTTATTTCTTCCTCACATTTTTGGCAAATTTACTGGTGAAGCCATCTGAATCTGAAGTGTTTTTTGCAGAAAGATTCAAACTACCTTTCAATTTGCTTAATGTTAAAGAACTATTGAGAATATGCTGGGTTTTTTTCTACTCTAAATTTTAGAAACTTGTATTTTTCTATTAATCTGTCCTTTTTACTTAAATTTTCAAATTTATTAGCATTCAGTTGTTCACATAACACTTTTAACCTGTTGATGTATGTAGGATTTGTACTGATGTTCCCTTTTTTATTTCTGTTATTATATAATTTATACTTTTTTCCTAGATTTGTCTTTTAATTAGTTATTTTTATTTATTTTTTCTGCTATTGTGTTTAGTATAGTCTTCTTTTTTACAAGTTGTGCCTAGCTCATTAATTTCTCCTTTTAGTATTCCTTAATATAGTCAAGTAGACTATTAATTTCCCCGAAAGCAAGCAATATCCCACAATCTTTGATACGTAGTACAAGTTGAATATTCTTTTTCTTTTTTTTTTTTTTTTTTTGAGATGGAGTTTTGCTCTTGTTGCCCAGGCTGGAGTGTTGGTGCGATCTTGGCTCACTGTAACCTCCGCCTCCCGTGTTCAAGTGTTTCTCTTGACTCAGCCTCCTTGAGTAGCTGGGATTACAGGAGCCCACAACCATGCCCAGCTAATGTTTTGTAGTTATAGTAGAGATGGGGTTTCATCATATTGGCCAGGCTGGCCTCGAACTCCTGACCTCACTTGATCCACCCGCCTTGGCCTCCCAAAGTGTAGGGATTACAGGCGTGAGCCAGCCAAGTTGAATATTCTTTATCTGAAATACTTAAGACAAGAAGTTTTTCAGATTTCTGATTTTTTTTTATTTTTGGGATATTATTTGCATTACACTTACCAGCTGAACATTCCTAATCCGAAAATCTCCAGCGAGCATTTCCTTTGGGTGTCATATGCCAACACACAAAAAGTTTTAGATCTTGAAGCATTTTGGATTTTGGAGTTTCCGAGTAGGGATACTCAACCTATATGTTTAATATCATTTACAAAAATATTTTTCTTAATTTCTCTCGTGACTTCTTTTCTTTGACTAATTGGTCATTTAGAATTGTATTACATAATTTCAAAGCAAATGGGACTTTTAGTAATTTTCTTTTTATGGTGAATTCTGATTTAAGTTAATCCTATATGAATTTAGTTTTTTGAAATTGATTGATACTTGCTTATGGCACAGAATATGGTCAGTACTTGTCAGTGTTGTGTGAGTACTTGAAAAACTGTGTTCTACAGCTCTTGTGTGCAGTGTTTTATACGTGTCCATTAGGTTAGTTTATTAATAGTGATGCTCAAATATATAACTTCCTGGTTTTTTGACTGTTTTATCAAATACTGAGAAAGGAATGTTACCAAGTTTGTGGATTTGTTTTATGTCTCCTTTGTTTCTGTCAATTTTTGTAATATATAATTTGAGTTTATGCTATTAGGATTATATAAATTTAGACATTTTTATTTTTCAAATGAGTTGAACTTTTTAATTCAAATTAATGCTTTTTATATAGAGACATGCTTTTTGATTTAATACTATATTATCTAATATTAATACAGGCACGCTAGCTTTCTTTTTGTTACTCTTTGCCATTTATATCTTTTTCAGCTTTTCACACTTTTCTAGTATCTGCATGCTTTAGGTCTTTCTTCTCGTCAATATAGTCTTGAGTTTTTAAATTCAGTCTGACATAGTTTTTGGGTTTTCATTAAAATATTTTTCTTGATCCACTTTTAAAGTTACTACTGGTATATTTGAGTGTGAAGCATCCATTTATTATTTTTATTTGTCCTGCCTGATGTATTCTTTTTTCTCTCCATTTTTGCCTTCTTTCTGATTCATTGAGTTTACCATGCTTTCTTTGGTTGGTTCGGAAATTATATGCTTCTTACTATAATATGGTGGTTACATGAGAGATTACAACATGCATCTTTGACTATCAGTATTAAACATTAATTGATTTGTATTCTCTTTCTGAATAATTCAAGGGCCCTTTTTAAGCAAAAAACATCTTTTTATTCTCTTCCAACTTACATACTCTTGTGTTTTGTAATTGTATCAGTTTATGAATTGCCAAAGACATTATTATTTAATACAGTCAACATGCTTTTATATTTACTTTCTTATTTACCGTTTTTGTTGCTTTTCATTTCTTCCTGCATCTTAGTCCTTTCATCAGGCCAATTTCCTTCTCTCTCTCTCTTTCTTATAGCAGAGATGGGGTCTTGCTCTGTTGCCCAGGCTCATCTCAAACTGCTGGCCTCAAGCAATCCTCCTGCTTTGGCCTCCCGAAGTGCTTGGATTACAGGCATGAGCCACTGTGCTTGGCCTCCTTCTCTTTTAACACTACTGTTTAGTATTTTCTTTAGTTTTTGTGTGCCAGTAACAAGTTTTATCAATTTCCCTTTTTTTTTTTTGAGACGGATTCTTGCTCTGTTGCCCAGGCTGGAATGCAGTGGTGCAATTTCTGCTTACTGCAGCCTCCGCCTCCTGGGTTCAAGCTGCAACCTCCGCCTCCTGGGTTCAAGTGATTCTCCTGCCTCAGCCTCCCAAGTAGCTGGGATTACAGACACGTGACATCACACCCAGCTAATTTTTGTATTTTTAGTAGAGTTGAGATTTCACCATGTTGGCCAGGCTGGTCTTTCAAGACCATGACGTCGTGATCTGCCTGCCTCAGCCTCCCAAAGTGCTGGGATTACAGGCGTGAGCCACCGCGCCCGGCCCCAATTTCCCTTTAAGAGTTTATTTTCTTTGGTTTTCATCATTTTAGTGTCATGTGCCTAGGTATAATCTCCCTTCACAGACCCTATTTAAAAGTTCTTGCATCTGCGGTTTGTTGCTTTTTAGTCAGATTTACTACATTCTCAGCTATTATGTATTCAATAATTGCTCCTGCATCATTCTCTCTCTCTTTTTCTTCTGGGGCCCTGATTACACACGTTAGACTTCCCTCTATCCTTTATGGTTTCTTCCCTGTCTTCTGTACTTCTCATCCTTTCATCTTCCCATGCTTAATTCAAAACCATTTTTCTCATGTTTCTTGTAGTTTGCTAGTTTTCTCTTTGTGTTTGCCAAATCTGCTAATAAGCCAGGCAGTCAGCTTTTAATTGAAAATTTCATGTGGGCTCTATATTTTCGAAATCTCTAAGGTCACATTTTATAATTTCTAGCTGTTGTAAAATTTCAGGTGCATCTTTAGCTTTATGATCACAGCAAGCATGATTTTAAACTTCCTGTGGATCTGTTCCTATTCTTGTTTTGTTGGTTCTTCCATGATGCTTTACATCCTGTTATGCCTGGTTATCCCTGAGTCTGTGTCTGACATTGTACCTGGAAATTGATTTTTTACAAATAATTTGAGGCCTTGTATTTCATATATATATACACACACTCACACACATACATGCACACACACATACATGTGCACACACAGACACACATATATAAAGAAGACTTTTGCTGGTTTTGTTTAGTATCTAGGGGTTCTAGCAATTTGGAATTATTATACTCCATTTTTCACATTGAGATTTTTCTGGGCCACTCAGTTGACTCTAAGCTGGGTAGCAGCTGCACAAAAGGAGCTCAGCAGTGTTCTGGATGTGTTTGATGCAGTGGCACCGTGTTGTATTAAGTTCCATGTTGAAGCTCTTTCCCGCAGTTCACCTCTGTGATGCCGTTCTTCCTGGTTGCGTTAGAAAGCATAGGTGTTTATCAGGCCCCTCTCTTGGTAGGTTTTATAGTAGACAGAATAGTGGTCCCCCGAAAGATGCCCACATCTTACTCACCTAAACCTGTGGATATGTTATGCTACATAGCAAGCAGAAATGGAGGTTGTAAGTGGAATTAAGGCTGTTAATCAGACCTCACTATCAAAGTGATACAGCGTGAGACAGACTCAATCCCCGCACACTGATGACTTTAAAAATGGAAGGAAGCCATAAGTCAGGGAATGTGACTTAAGAAGCTGGAACAAGCAAAGAGATGCATTCTCTTCTAGAGCCTCCAAAAGGAACACAGCCCTGCCAACTCCTTGACTGTAGCTCAGTGAGACCTGTTTCCAACTTTCGACTTCCAGGACTGCGAGACAACAAATGACTGTTGTTTTAAGCAACCACATTTGTGTTCATTTGTTACAGCAGCTACAGGCAACTAATATAGGCCCCGAGCACCAACATGTGTCTCATGAGCTCCACTCAACCTCTTAACTACATCTTGCAGAAGCTGTAGACCCTCCTCAGGGAAAAGAAACCTCAAAGCCCAGCCTCAACTCTGGATTTTTGTCTTTTTATTTCTTGGCTTGCTTATTCTTCACTTTCTTGTTAAATCCTTCATACCTCCAGGCAGCTGTCTTCAGTTTTCTGTCCAGCATCTCTGTTTGCCAGTAACTAGAGGTTTGGTCCAAATTGCCCAGTCGTCTGGTGCTGGATAACTTTTCTTTTGAATCTGATGACTGAGCAGATCTGGTTGTGCTTTAGAATTTCACATTTCTGTTGCCATTTCAGTCTTGGAATCATTCCCCAGATTAGCGCAAGAGGTTTTTTCTTAGCTGACCTCTTTTTGTATTCTCCATCCCAGTTGGCCTCTAAAATAGTAGTATGGTCTTCCTCTATGTGGCTACCAATGGCCCTGTGGTCCATGGAACTCTGCCTTTAGGGTCCCTTTTATTACAAATACACTGAGGCTCCAGACCCCTCTTACGCTGTGCACAGAGAGAGCACCTTTTCTCCAGCAAGGCTGTCTACTGAGTGAGCGCTAAAGCATGACACGTTCACACCCAAAAGCCGTGCCTCTGCTCACACCATCACCCCCACCTGTAGTGATGGAAGAGGCACTAAGTGGCCTGTGGCTGTGGAAGCAGACAGACTGATGTGGATCTCACTGTGCTAATAGCTCAGCAGAGGGGCTGCAGGCGGGTTTCATGCAGGGACACCCTGTTGGATTAAGTACAAATACGTTCAAGAGGGCAATTTTAACGAGCAGCCCTCATCTAGGTTTGAATTTGGTGTTCTGTGAAACAACTCTCGTTACCTACTGCCTGAATGCACAGCCAGTTCTTAGGGACTCTTAGGTGCATTTGACGGAGGAGAAAGCAAGGCTTTGCTGACAGCCACAGCCCACTGAAACAGCATGGAGCGTTTGGGGCCAGGAGGGAAAGAAAGGGTTTTGATTTTGAGACTTCAAACTCTAACCCCGCACTGTGAGCCTTTGAATTTTGCCACCATCTACCGAGGCTTTTTGACTGTGCGACAGTCAGGAGGCAAGGGGACAAAAGATGAAAGGCAGAAAAGGCAAGGGGAGGCTGGCGCCTGCGTTCTAAACTAGAATTTAACAAGGGAAAAGCTGCCTTTCTGCTCAGAAACTAAGGGAGGACCACTTGATCTCTAACACTGGTGCTTGCGGCAAGAAAATCTCCAGTTAGAAAAAGAAGGCAGAACCCAGACACCCCTTGATCAGTTTCTCTGAGGCGTGAGCCTCCCAGAAGCCACCTGTGGACCTGTGTGAAGCTGACTCTGAAAGAGGACTGCGGAGGCCTGGATGCCAGTTCTCATTGTCCCTGTCAGCTTGTCACCGTGGAGACGAGAACCACGTCAGGCAGGGACGCAGCACTCTCCGTCACATGCTGTGTGACGTGCAGTGGAGTGTCCCGCCATGAGCGGCTGGGCCAACCTACTTATCACTTCCATATTTGGGATACCTTAAATAATACAATCACAGCCGCTATTATAGATTACATTGCTGTCTAAATGGGTTTCATGCTCATTTCTATTCAGTATTTGTCACGGGGCATTAACCCCTAGAGTAACACTGAATCTGTGGAACTTGGAGAAATTATCACTTTGAGTTAAGTTTCCTTGTACGTTCGGTGTTTCTTGCCACCAGACGCTTTCACTTGGGTATTTATTTATTATTTATTTTTTCAATAAATAACTGATTGAGTACCCACTATGTGTCAGGAGACACGTGGTGGACAAAAACAGACTACTTTGCTGTTTCAGTTTAGCAAATTGAAAATGTTCACCTGACAATACAGTCTTGGCAGTGAAAAAGTAAATTCACTCATTCGTTCAGTATTGGGATCGGGCCATCTGCCCTCCTTTGAATTTCCACAGCACTGACCATCAAGTGGTAAATACAAATTAGATTGAAATACAAAATAATAATAATAGTAATAATAAAGAAAGTACAAAACAAAAGAGTTGGGGTAATTATTCCATTAATTTGGGTTAAAATGCTTGACTTAATTTAATGAAGGCATTCTTTACCCATGATCAATAAGTAAGGAGCTAAGGAGCCGGATTAGAGGCTATGTAGAAATCATTTTGTATTGCTGCCAGGGGAAAAGAGCCCGCACTTTAAAAAGAGGAACTATGCATTCTGGAACCACAGAGACGCCTCAGCAGGCCCTCTTGGGAGATGGTGCGGCAGGCAGGGGCTCTAGGTCCCCAAGAGCCCAGCACGGAGTTCTGGGGTGATCCAGAAGCTTGTGGCACCTGAGATCCTTCTGAAATAAGCATTCGTCACCCTCTGACCATGTGTGTGCCAGGCACTGTGATGGTCTCAAGGGCACAGAGTACCTGTGCTCAGGGAACCTGTGGTCTAGTGAAGGAGGAATGGGAGCCAGCTCCAGCCACACCCAGGAAGCACGGGGTTTGATGTCTGCATGGGGACTAAGCAAGTTCGGAGCTGTGGCACCTGCCTACCCTACCAGGGGGCCGTCAGGAAGGCTTCTCCAGAAAAGACAACATCCTGAAATGCTAAATGAAGGGCACTTCGCCTGATGCTGTAGGATGGCAAGACAGAGGAAGCCATGCAGAAAGGTTTGGGCTTCCTCAGGGTTCCCTGCGTGGCAGGAATGGGTGCTGGGAGGGATGGTAGCCGAGGAGGTCAGCGCAGTGACCCTGAGCAGAGCTTTGCTGTTGCACGGGATGAGGATTGCATTCTGTAGGGCAGCAGCTGTCTCCAAGGCTTTGTTAAGGTGGAAAACTTCTGTGATCAGACGGGGATCATTCAGTCCAGGGACAAACAGGCCCATAGCAGGTGGCGAGACCAAAGCCAGGTAGACAGAGGTGTTGTGTTTGTCACTGAGAGCCTTCGAGGACCATGTCCAGGCGTGATGTCAAGGCTGGAAGTGAACCAGGGGGACCTCACCCTCCTTGTGACCTGGGAGTATCATGAAGGGAAATGCAAAGGGCGTTTTCAGAACGGGATCCAGATGCAGAAGACGGGAGTGTGTGTGTTTTCCACGTCTTCTTGCTGGTGCAGGCGGTGGCCCTGCCTGGCTGGCAGGTGCTGGCCCCTGCTCTCTGTGCATTCTCTCACCAGGGTTCTCTCTGCCCACATCATCCAGAGACCCAGACAGGTGGCCTCACTCACAGATTTCCACCTGGAGCGTTAGGCAGGGTCCCTGCTGGCAGCAGACCTGCAGATGACCCAAGTGTGCACCTGTGCTGTGTGCTCACCCAATGGCTGAAGCAATATGAACCTCTTTACTTTAGTTTTTTTATGATAGAAAAAAAATAACAGTATCCTCTTTAATGGACTGTAAATGCCCTTTCCAACATCACTGCTGTTTCAAGATGGAGGACATCTGTATTTGCTTTTGTTGAGTACTTAGTAGCAATTCACTTAATACAAATGTGAAATACAAGGTTGGTAACAGAATCTCCCCTGTGAATCAAACCATTCATTCAAGTAGCAATCTGGGCACTGCTGAATTAGACACACGCCTCCCCCATGTGGTTGAAGAGGGGACACAGCTGTTCTACCAGGAGGAGGTCCCAGGCATCAGGAGGAAACAGAAGCATGCCGCAGGGCTCTGGGCATCCCTGGAGCACCTGCTGCTGCGGTCTCTAGCAGAAACGCAAGTTCAGGGGCAGGGCTGGAGGGCTCTCTGTTGCACCACTGTCCTGCCTCTTTCTTTCCACCTAGTCAGGTCAAATCACTTTGCCCAAAGAAGTTTCAGAAATATCTGTAAGACAACAACAGAAACTGTGAGCACTTTCTTTCTTGCCGGTGAGATATTTATTTGAACATGTTGCTCTGCAGTGGGCGAACCCTTCACGGTGTCTGCTTCCTTTTGTCTGAGATGCTGGGGTGCTGCAGCAGAGATGCAGAGGGCAGTGCTTCAGCTTGAGGCTGGCATGTGTGGGCAGCACTTTTGCAGGTGATGCTGTTTCTGCAATAGTGAGTCTGTCATCCCAAGCACAGGGATTCATTGGAACCATCTCTGCATCCTACAGGATTGTGGACTTATAGGGCAACAGAGACCCCGGAGATCCGAGTCCAAATGCCCTCTCTTCACTTGCCAAAAGTCTCATATTTATTAATCAGAAGAACTAGCACTAAGTCCCCGGGCTCGCTCCTGATTTTTTACTCTGTTTTTGAGTGGGCTCTGGTAAGCCCACATCCACAGGCATTGCTGAAGATGGAAAGAGGGTATCTATGATCAGATTAAGGTATGTTGAGCTGAAGCATGTTTTCAAAATACTAAAACTTAAATTTTGGAAACTTAGAACTTTAAAAAGCAATTAAGGCCGAGTGCAGTGGCTCACGCCTGTAATCCCAGCTACTTGGGAGGTTGAGGCAGGAGAATCGCTTGAACCCAGAAGGTGGAGGTTGCAGTGAGCCAAAATCCCGCCACTGCACTCCAGCCTGGATGACAGGAGCAGAACTCTGTCTCAAAAATAAAAAATAAAAAGCAATTTAAATTTTGGGGGACGTTTCTATAGAATCTGTTACACATTTTCTGGCTTACTTGTACAATCTTTTTCTGTTAATGCCAGATTGTCTCTGCAGGTATTGATGGTTGAGCTGATAGCTCAGAGGCCAAGAAAGCTCCAGTCTGTCACTCCAAGACCACTGTGACCTTGGGCACGATACTTAAAGATCCTAAGTTGAAGGTGGTGCAAAAACTGACTTTCTAGCAGGGTTGCCTGATAATTGTAGGGCACTTAGCACAATGCCTGGCATTTGGCAAGCCTCCCCAAACTTGTAATTATGTTGATGGTGATGACGATCAGAATGGCAGTGCCCTCACGAATTACTGGCGAGGGAGACTTTATGTACTTGTACTGAAAGGTGCCAGATTTCTGGTCTATGTTCAACTTGATGATTATTTCATTTCTTCTCAGTCAATTCTCAGAGTTGGTTTATATCCACTTAAAAATGTTTAAATTGTGTCTCCCATCCAAGTACTGACCCTGCTTAGCTTCCAAGATCAGTCAAGATTGGATGCATTCAGGGTGGCATGGCAGTAAATGAAATTTTTTATCATGGCAAAATATGCATAACACAGAGTTTACTATTGTAATCATTTGTGAGTGTACAGTTCAGTGGCATTAAGTTCATTCGCATTGTTGCGCAACCATCACCACCATCCATCTGTAGAACTGCTTCCTCTTCCCTAGCTGGATATCTGCTTTTTAAGAAGAATGGAGTTAGTGTGCCCAGAGCAGAAGGGTGGATCGGGGGCCTCTACTTTTGTCCATGCTCCAGGGGGCAGGTTGACAAGTCTGACTGATGGATAACTTGGGCATGACCTCAAAGCTGGTTTGGAATGAGTCAGGGGTAGACATGAGTGGATGGAGGGATAAATCAATGTATTTCCTAAATGGGGAGTGTTGTGTGTTGCCTGTTGTTAGAAATAAGCAATGTAAACAGGATTTTCCTCATCCAGAAGGTGTGCTCTGGATATGAAATGCTTTTTAAATGAGAAACTCAAAGATGGTCTCTGTATTCGTTTACTGGGGCCTCATTGATGAAACACCGCAGACTGGGCTGCTTAAGCAACGGAAGTTTATTTTCTCACAGGTCTGGAAGCTGGACATTCGGGAGTAAGGGGTCAGCAGGATGGTTTCTTTTGAGGCCTCTTTTTTTGGCTTCTCCCTGTGTCCTTGCATGATCTCCCCTCTGTGTGTCTTTGCGTCCTGATTTTCCCTTTGTATAAGGCCGCCAGTCATGTGGGATTAGGGTCCACCCTGATGACCTCAGTTTAATTTAGTTACCTCTTTAAAGACTTCCTCTCTAAATAAGGGTACGTTCTGAGCTACGTGGGGTTAGGACTTCAATATATGAGTTCTAGCGGCGGATGAGGGGCTCCAGTTCAGCCCATGCCAGTCTCTAGAGATCCCTCCAGTTCTAAAAATCCTCCAAATCCTCCCCAGTTCCAGAAGGATGCAGAGGAAGCCAGCCGTCCCGTGCCTGGGACCTCCCCTGCGCACACTCCCCAGGGCATGGGATTGTTGGTAGAACATTACAAACACAGCTCTGAAGTCCCAGAGACAGAATGTCCTACTGTTTCTGAGCCATGTCCATGACATTTTTCTTAGAGAGAAAGAATAATAAACAGAGACAAAATATTTTAAGTCCTACCCTCCTCGTCTGCCAAGAATAATCCTGGTGTTCTCTGGAACTCACTGCCTTCATGGCCATCCTGTACTTTGTATCTGCAAATGTCTGCCCTGGAAAAAGCCATCCACTGGTTTCAAGATAATCCACAGGCTTTAAATAAACACAAGACTCCTTGAAACAGAGCCCTGCTCTGGAAATAGAGCGAGAGGCCATTTCAGTCCAAGGAGAAGAGAGACTGATGGCTAATTACACTCCAAGAAGAGCCTTTTAAAATAGCATTTCAATTTCAGTTATTGAATCGAGCTACGATTATCTAGCACACGCCCCTTTTAATGTACGCTTTACACTGGGAAACAGTAGGAACTGAGTTTTGAGTAATTACCTTTATGGCTGTATTCTATGCAGGGAAATGTGTGGTTGCGGCAGAGCCATAGTTAACCTGGGGTGGTGTCAACAGTGTTTATGCCATTTCTATAATTTTTAACCACCTTCACTTTTTGTATGTGTCATTAAAGACAGTTCAGTTTTTTACCATGTTATGACACTTGCTAGATTAAGTAGAATGCCAGGCCTGACCAGAGAGCTGATAAAAAAGAAATCCACTAATTGTGCTCGTTTATACTGAAGGCTTATTCCCTCCATTTCTCTCCCTTCTTCCTCCTTCCCCCCACTCCTAAGCCTTTCTTATGAGCCAGGCTCTGTTTTATCTATCAATGGAAAAATTCTAAAGACATTTTTGTGGTGAGTTGTCAGGGTTTTTTTTTAATTGAGCAGAATACTAAAGAAGTTGTTGGCTCACTCATTGGCTATGTAAATCTTTTTCATCAAAGATCCATGAAGATCATGTAGTGTACGTTGAAAAAATAGAATTTATTATAAGCTCCTGTTTTCCAGGTGGAATTTGCTTCCCTAAGTCTGTAGAAATGGGCAAGTGCCGTGTGTCTTAAAAAACTCATTCATCCCTTTGCTTCATTGATGGCCTCCTTTGCTTTATCGCCTGTTCTCTCATTTTGCAATAGAGCTGCAGTCATTTCTGCTCACTTACTAACCAGTAACCAGTACCGGTCCCCCAATTGTCACTCGTTATAAAATGATTAACTGTTATTTATTATACAGTGGAGAAGGCGTTGCTTTGGCTTTCCAGAGAGATTCATAGGCAGAGTTCTTCCCCCGTGAAATGTGCCTGCCGCGGATGCGAGACAGAAAAGCGAGTGCCTTTTAGAACGGCGCAGCCTGAGCCCGGATTTCTCTAATGTCTACGTGCTGTTATTTTAGGTCTCCGAATTCAATCCTTTGACGTTCACCAGCGTGATCGAATGCGAGAAGCCAAACAACGACCTGAGTAGGTTTCGCGGCTGCATGTGAGTATCGTGTGTCTGCCTGCGCGCATCCTTCTGTTTGATAACTACATAGGCAGGTGTTTACACATTCTCAGTTATAAAGTATGCATTTAATACTCTTTGCCACATGGTGTAGCTGTTTGGGAATGTGGCCCAGCACCTGAGCCTTCTTGGCTGCTTTTGGAAGTAAGAGCCTGTTGTCAGTAGTGGGTAAGAGCCTGTTGTCAGTAGAAGCTTGCCACTACCATCTGTGAGGAGGAGGTACCGCTTTTCCTCCCGCTAGCAGGCCCCGGGTAGGTGATGGGTGTGACAAGAGATGTGTAGCTGACCACACATGGCCCCGTTAACGTGGAAGCAGGAGTAGGCCGGGTGGAGTTTCATGGATATATGCTTCCACTCAGTCACTGAACACGTATTTATTGATACCTGTTACATGCTGGGTGCATTCAAGGCACTGGATGTAATGTGGTAAACTGAATAAACAGAAGTTCCTGCCTTTGTGTTTATTTCATTCTAGTTTGGGGGAAAGAAAGACAATTAAAACAAATAAGCATAACCTAGAGTGTGTCTAGTAGGCCAGCCCCTTCCTGCTCCAAAACAGAAAGACAGGTGGATCAGGGCACAGGCCTGGCCCTGTGTTGGCACTTGCTGAAGCCACGTGATGGGGAGTAGTAGAAACCACCTTCATGTCTGTTTGAAAATTTCCATAATAATCGGAGTGTGTGTGTGTGTGTGGTCAGTGCTGTGGGCAAAAACATGGAAGAGAATAGGCAGTGTCAGAACGGAGTTGCTGAGTGGCCTGCCAGGGCCCTTGGGGATGGTCTTCTGGAGAACAAGGCTGTGACAGGGGCATGACGCACATGACCTTCCTCTGCCCTCAAGCTCTGTTCCAGCTATCATGCCTCAGCCACCTCCCGTGGGCTCAGCCCTCTCGCCTGCAGCACAAGGGGCCACCTCCTGGCACTGTCCTGCTTGGAGGCAGGGATGGACTTTTGACGCCTGCAGCCGCTGAATGGCCCAGGCAGTGGGCTCGCCTGCCCCACCCACTTCCCCCACCCCCCCACCCCCCCCCCGCTCCCACCACGCAGACATACGGAGGCGTGGGAGCGATCTGCTTCTGGAAGTGGCCCCATTTCTAAGAGCTTTCGGTGTAGGTTGAGTCTTCTGTTTTGCCAGCACCTCCAGCATTACTGCCTGTGCCCAGCACACAGTGGCAGGCGGTAGGGCTGGGGATGACCCAACGGAAGTGAACTCTGCACAGCAAAAGCTGAAATGTGTCTGCAGCCAAGTGATGGCCCCGTCACCCACTGGAATTGCCCTTATTATCTGAGAATCAGACACCGATAGCATTAAATCACCCCTTAAATAAGCCAATTAAAGCAGGGTAAAACTCAACAACAAAATGTAAGCATATAACCTCTACGATTTGGGGAGGAAATACTCAGCACAACCCGTGTGCTGTGGCTTTTCTGGTCTTTCTTGACTCCTGGGCCATCTTCCCCAGGCCTCCTTGATCCCTTGCCCCAAGAGTTTGTGTGCAGGGCACCATCCTCAGCACTGCTGGGAATCCCCAGGCACGAGTTGGCTACAGAGAGCAGGTGCTGGGTTGCTAGACATCTTGACCTGAAACAATGATTGTGAAGGGTGGGGCGAGGGCAATCTCTGGAGAATGTTCAGTGGTATCCCTGGAATAATTTTACGGTGCCAACTCCACCAAAAAACATAAATAAATAAGGGGCCGACTTTCTCTTCTGAAGACTGCACTCCTAGCTCATTGTCCTTGGTGTGACAGGGCGGTGCCTGGCAGTGGAGGCACAGCAGGGACAGATACGAAGGCCTGCAGCCTGCTGGATCCACAGAGCCTAGGAAAGGTGACGGCCCTCTGCTGGGGTGGACGAGAGGGGCGGGGTCCGGTGCAGGAGACGGGAGGAGCATTGTATTGCTCAGCCACTGTCTCTAGCAGTGTGGTGAGGACAGGAGTCTGGGTGGTGTCTCCGCCCTGCGCTCAGCCCCAGCACCTCACTGCCTCCCACATGAGGCCCTTGCCTGGCTGTGTACCCCCAGGCCTGGCTGCACTCCCCCCGGGTGCCGGGGAAGATGCCTCTTGAGTGGGTGTCATCTGCCTGCAGCCAGCCAGCCAGGCCCACCGGGGCTTCTCCAGCCTGTGCCGCCAGCAGGCGTTCCTCCTGTGGTGTCCTCACCGGCATGTTGCCCGAGAAAGGGACATGAGAAGAGCAGCTCTCCCAGCATGAAATCCTTTCCTGCTTTGCCCTCAGTCATGTCGTGTTGTCTCCTCGTGTACTCCACCCATCGTCCAACCCTGGTAGCCCCCTTGTGGCCTGGGCACAGGCACCATCTGGGCCAGTGTGCGCCCAGCCAATTCAGGCCTCTCCACACCTGACGCTCTTTAACGATAATTCGCCATCTCCACCAGCCGGGGTGTTCTGGGCTTGCCACAGGGCTGTCAGGGCCTGGATGGCCCCTCTCCCAGCCAGACAGGTCAGGAGGGGCCTCTGGGGGTGGAGCAGCAGTGTGTTAATACTTGCCCCCGTGACTGTGGGGCACGACCAAGGGGAGCAGCCCTGCCCCGGACCATCAGCCTGAAGGGGACTGGGGCAGCCTCGCAGTGAGGAATACTCCCGGGGTAGGAGTGCTCCCTGGGGCTGGAGTGCTCCCTCGGGCAGGAATCCTCCCTCCTGTAGGGCCTGGTAACGCTATCCGTCCCAAGCAAAGAGAAAGGAGGTCTTAACCCCATACCAGTCCTGATGCCCAGGGCAGGGAGCTAAGTTGGGAGGTAGATCTGCTGTCTAGGCTCAGGAAGTGGCTCAGCTGCAGAGCCACCTCCCTGGTTTGCTTCCTCCCACTGGCCTCCTTGCAGCCTCCATGAGGCAGCTGCTGCCCCGTAACCTCCTTCACACCACAGAGCCCAGGAATGCCGGCAGATTTGCTTCTTTTAGGACCTGCCATTCCAAACTTGAAACATTAACTGTTTGCACTTGGAGAACAGAACTGAGTTTGGGTTTGTAGCAAGAAGACCCAAGTCTGAATACAGGCTCTTTCTCTTCCCTGGGAGGTGGCCTTAGGAAAGTTATTCTGCCTTTCTGAGCCCCGGCCTTCTCCTAATCCTGGAGGTATCATCGACTGCCTGTCAACCTCACAGGCTGACATGAGAGTCCAGTGAAGGAATGAAAGTGAAGTACAACATGAATTAGAAGGTGTCGTGGCCGGGCGCGGTGGCTCACACCTGTAATCCCAGCACTTTGGGAGGCCGGGGCGGGCAGATCATGAGGTCAGGAGATCAAGACCATCCTGGCTAACACGGTGAAACCCCGTCTCTACTAAACATACAAAAAACTAGCCAGGTGTCATGGAGGGCGCCTGTAGTCCCAGCTACTCGGGTGGCTGAGGCAGGAGAATGGCGTGAACCCGGGAGGCGGAGCTTGCAGTGAGCCAGAATCACACCACTGCACTCCAGCCTGGGTGACAGAGCGAGACTCCATCTCAAAAAAAAAAAAAAAGAAGGTGTCGCATGTGAAATGCTCACAGTAGGAAAATCTTAGACACAGAAAGTGGATTGGCAGTTGCCAGGGTTTGGGGGTGTGGAATGAGATAGGAATGGGAAGTGACTGCCCGTGGGTCTAGGGTTTATTTTTAGGGTGATGAAAATGTTCTCGTTAGCTGGGTGTGGAGGTGCACTCCTATAGTACCAGCTACCTGGGAGGCTGATGTGGGAGGATCACTTGAGCGGGGGAGGCAGAGATTGCAGTGAACCGTGATTGTGCCATTGTACTCCATCCTGGGAGACAGAGCAAGACCCAGTCTCAAAAAAAAGAAAGAAGAAAATGTTCTCATATTAGCTGGTGGTGGTAGTTTTACAACTCTGATGATACAAATACAAACAGAAAAAAAATTAGCCTGTGCAGTGGCTCATGCCTGTAATCCTTTGGGAGGCCTAGATGGGAGGTTCACTTGAGGTTAGGAGTTTAAGAGCAGCCTGGACAATGTAGTGAGACCTTGTCTCTACAAAAATCACACACACACACAAAAATTAGCCTGGTGTGGGTGTGGTGGTGCACACCTGTAGTCACAGAAACTCAGGAGGTTGAGGTGGGAGGATGGCTTGAGCTCAGGAGGTCCAGGCTGCAGTGAGCTATGATCACACCACTGCACTCCAGCCTGGACAACAGAGCGAGACCCTATCTGAAACAAAACAAAATACAGAACTCTATGAACTTTAAATGAGTGAACATTATAGTATGTGAAATATATCTCCAGCTGGCAGAAAAATAGTGCTAGGAGCCTCATTATTCAAGTGCCCTTTAAGGCTGCATTCTTTGGAAGGATCCTCATATAGTTAAGCCCTAGCGAAATCTTCAGAGTTAGGATCTGGAAGTAACATCGTTCCCCACCTTCTCCAGCTGTTCCCAGCACTCACTCCTTAGCCCCAACCCTGAGATGTCATCTCCCAGAGAGGCCTCCTGGGAATGGAGGCCTGGCTCAGCCTGACCCTGCTGATTGTGCTCAGCCAACTTTATGGCATGTGGTCACCTCTGAAGCCACAAATCAATCAAACATTTGCACTTTCCCCTAAAGAATAAAGCAAAGAGGTTGGCTGGTTAGTTGGTCATCCAATGTAAAATTCCATTTCACATTGTAAAGCAGGTTCCCTAGTTCTCTTTTCCGATCTGTCAATGTTTGCTTTATATACTTGGGTGCTTTGATATTGGATGCATACATATTTATAATTGTTATGTCTTCCTGCATAATTGACCCTTCTTTGTCTTGTAGGATAGTTTTTGACTTAGTCTATTTTGTCGGATACAAGTATAGCCAACCCTGTTCTCCTTTGGTGACCATTCTTACCCCACAGAGCAGGCTTCTGACCTGGAGAGCCTCCTACAACCGCATAGGGCCGGCACGAGCACCAGCTGCATTTTGGAGTAGGCTCTTCGCCCTGGTGGGTGACACCCTTCAGAGACGGTGGTTAGTAAAGACAGCAGGGCTGTCACTAACAACAGAGCTGTCAGGGTCCCTGCCCCCTCCTGCCTGGTGTCTGGTTGGAGCCTTGTGTGGGCTGTATCCAAAATGTCTTTACTGCCAGTGACCAAGCATTAAATAAACTGCATCAACTAGACTCATTAAAACTGGAATGTTTTAATTTCGCCTTGCCACCTTTAGTTGACATATTTATATCTTAAAAATATTGAACATCAGCACAAAACAGTCTGGTAATTTCCACACTTACTTTTGTTAGATATGAACATCTGATGATTTTATACAGAAATATTTATTTATTTTTATTTATTATTTATACAAAAATATGAACATCTGATTATTTTAAAGCAAATTCTGCCCAGGATTTGCCAATGGAAGGAATTATCTGTCATTCCTTCCTCCCAACTTATGTCAGTCAGGACCCACTTAGGAAGCCGACTGAACACCCTGATTCATATAGATGAGGAAGGATACTTGGTAAGGGTGCATCTTTGCTAAGGTGTTTCTGCAGGAGTGGGTGGGTGTAGGGGACGCATCGGGGACAGAGCAGATGCTAGATTAGTGGCCGCTGAGCAGTCACTGCCATGAGGCCCCATGGGGAAGAGTGGCCCTGGGGGACTCATGACCAGGGAGATGCCTGGGGAGACTCATAGCCCTGGTCAGGGGACACTGCCAGCCAGTGCTGCCTCTCTAGGAGGGAGCAGGGAATAAACTCCCTGTCCTTCCTTCCTTCCTTCCTTTCTTTCTTTCTTCTTTTTTTTTTTTTTTTTTTTTTTTTTTGAGACAGAGTCTCACTCTGTTGCCCAGGCTGTAGTGCAGTGGCGCGATCTTGGCTCACTGCAACCTCCACCTCCTGGGTTCAAGTGATTCTCCTGCCTCAGCCTCCCTGAGTAGCTGGGATTACAGGTGTGTACCACCATGCCTGGCTATTTTTTTTTTTTTTTTGTATTTTTAGTAGAGACGGGGTTTCGCCATGTTAGCCAGGCTGGTCTCTAACTTCTGGCCTCAAGCAATCCTCCCGCCTCGGCCTCCCAAAGTGCTGGGATTACAGGTGTGAGCCACCGCGCCCAGCCTACTCCCTGTCTTTTCTTGCTCTCAGCCACTCCTCCAGTGTCCTTCCTGTCATCCCCCACTGGAGGGACCCAGCTCAAAGCCAAGGGCCGGGCAGCCTTCAACGTTTGCCAGGCTCTGAGGTAGGCACTGGGGTGTGCAATGGATAGGACATGAGCAGCTCCTGTTTGGAAGCAGAGACATGGAAGCAGATGGAATACTGCCGGCTGGCCTGGGTGGGGGGCCTGGGAGTGTGGCATGGAGGACTGCCCTGAAGGCGGCAGAAGCTGAGCCCAGGCCGGAAGGCCGGGCTACCTCAGGCAGAGGCTAGCACAGAGTGGACAGAACATGCTGTGTGGGGGTGGCTGGGGCAGAAAACCACAGAAGCCACCCCTTCTGTGGGCCAAGCAGGGGCTGCAGGGTCGGCTGGTTCCCACGTCAAGCTGGAGCAATGAGGAGTCCTGCAGGGGACACTCACAGGCGCACACTCGAAGATTGCTCCGGTGCCTGTGTGAGGAACCCACATGAGGAACCCAGGCCAGTGGAGCTGAGGCCAGCAAGCGTGTGTTGCCGGCTCCAGCAGAGAAATGCAGACGCCTGAATCAGAGCAGTGCTGCATGGAGATATACAGAAGAGGGCATGGATTAAAGACACAGCCAGGGAGATGAGGTTGAATGGATGTAAAAATGGGGGAGGAGTCAAGGACACCTGGTGACGGGGTTTCACCATATTGATCAGGCTGGTCTCGAACTCCTGACCTCAAGTGATCCGCCTGCCTTGGCCTCCCAAAGTGCTGGGATTACAGGCGTGAGCCACCACGCCTGTCCAAAGGACCTCATTTTAACTTAAGGATCTCTTTAAAGACTCTGTCTCCAAATACAGCCATATTCTGCAGTCCTGGGAGTTAGGGCTTCACCAGCTGAATTCTGAGGGGACACGGTTCAGCCCATGACAACGGAGCTGACGGCTCACGTTCTTGTGTGTGTCTTTGTGGAGTTGAGCCTCGTACCTGTGTGCTTCTGGGCCTGTGTCGCCCTCGGCCGGGCCTCTCTCTCTCAGAAGCCCAAGGCAGCCTCTAGCCCAGGTACCAGGCACCTGATGGTGATGTCGTTCTCCAGCCTCCCCTTTGTGTTGTGGGCTGTTCACGCAGGAGTACGTTCCCAACCCCTCGCATTCGCTCTTCCTTCTGGCATGGACCTGTATAGGTCGATGCACCTGTGTAAGGTGCCAAGTTGCCGTCTGGCTTGGACTCATCAGAAATCACAGTAGTTGCTCAAAAGTCAGTGTCACAGTGAAGAACATTTAATGTAGAACATTTTTCTTGTTTCTATAAAGTTTATCGTTTGTCCTTAATAAGCATAACCTGAACTCGGAGACGATTTGTTATTTTCTACTGTCCCAGTGCAATGGTGTCTTTGTCTGGCTTTCGCTGGAGAAGTCCACGGGAGACACGTGATAGGGGGTGTCCTCACTCCACAAGCGCAGAGCAGGGTTTTGTACCTAAGGATATCTCATACCTGCCAGGCTTTTGATGCTGTGGCTGGCAAAGTGGTTTGCCGTCTCGAATCTCTCTTTAAAGGAAAACCTTACTCCGTCTTGGCATTGCCAAGGGAGCAGTAGACACGGCGTTGGCTGAACGGCCCTTGAGTGGCCCCACTGTGTCTGCTCTGGCGAAGAACCCTTGCTGTTGGTAAATAACTGACTTGTGGAAAATATATCCTCCCAGCTTGCATTTCAGCCTTGCCTTTACTGTTTAGCTTCTCTTCTTCACTAGGACATAGGTTTATTTCCCTGGTCAGAAGGCCAATAGCTGGCAGGAGGGAAACCCCTGCAGGGGTCCCTGGTGAGACGCTAAGAGCCATACAGGAAGCATGTGGGCTTGAGAGTGTGGGGAATGCGTGCGGAGAGGGGGTGTGGGTGTGAAAAGGTAGCCTCTCGGAAGGCACTCCCTTGGTGGCCCTGCCTGGCGTGGGTTAGGCTGGGCCCCTGCTGTTGTTCTGGAAACCTGGAACCACAGCAGGCCTGGGCTACAGTTCCGGTTATGAGGCCTCCCCCTGTGACCTGTGCTCTGGCCCCTGGGGCCATATCTGTCCCAGGGCGGTCCTAGCCCAAGACTGCCCAGCCAGCCTGGGTCATCAGTGGGCCCGGAGGACAAGTTTGAAAACCAGTAGCTTAAGCTTAGACTATCCCTCTGGATCTAAATAGCAGTAAAACAGAATTTATAGAATTGTTTCATGGAATTTACCACATTTCAGACCACATATATTAATACTTCTAATAACTTTATAACTTCTTGTAAGAGAAAAGGATGTTAAAAATGAAACCAATATCGTCCCCTTTTGTAGAAAGATGTTTGTATTTTTATGACAACTTGAGACTGATTAGGAGTAACATTTCCTGTGTTGAGCAGGAGATGTACAGAGACCACGTAGCAAGGCCTTCCTTGGCCGGTTGGGAGTTTGCCCTTCCTAGTGGTGATCAGTCCCGGAGTGAAAACAAGTCTATCTGCAAAACAAATAAACACCAGGCTCTAGAGCTGCTTCTGGATGCCTAGTGACTGGTGAACAGCAGTTCTGTCTCAGCTCTTGCAGAGACCCACAGGGCGAGCCACCCACTCTCGGGGGCCCCCTGTACCCTTCCCAGTCCAGATCCCAGCGGCCCCAAGCTTTCATTGTGTCAGGGCCTTCCTTCCTCAAGGCATTGCGGCTCCAGACATGAGGCACAGGCCTGCAACCACGTGACATGTGCCAACTGTCCCTCTACAGCATACATGACAACGGGAAAAAGGCCGGGCTGTATAAAGAAAACCTGCTGCTGAGGGGCTGCACCCTTAGGAACACGGACGCAGTCGTCGGCATTGTCATCTACGCAGGTAGGCTCGGGCACCTGGCACCACCTGCCGCCAGACAGCGCTGTGTTCTCCAGCACTTCCCCTCACTGTTTTCTTTTCTTTTTTCTTTTTCATTTTTTTTTTTTGAGACGAGTCTCGCACTGTCGCCCAGGCTGGAGTGCAGTGGCGCGATCTCGGCTCACTGCAAGCTCCGCCTTCCGGGTTCACGCCATTCTCCTGCCTCAGCCTCCCGAGTAGCTGGGACTACAGGCGCCCGCCACGCCCGGCTCCTTTTTTTTTTTTTGTATTTTTTTAGTAGATACGGGATTTCACCGTATTAGCCAGGATAGTCTCAATCTCCTGATCTCGTGATCCGCCCGCCTTGGCCTCCCAAAGTGCTGGGATTACAGGCATGAGTCACCGTGCCCGGCCTCCCTCACCGTTTTCTAAGAGTAGCATGGCTGGATGTGGTGACTCACGCCTGTAATCCCAGCACTTTGGGAGGCTGAGACGGGCAGATCATGAGGTCAGGAGCTTGAGACCAGCTTGGCCAACGTAGTGAAACCCCATCTCTACTAAAAACACACAAAAAATTAGCTGGGCGTGGTGGTGCACACCTGTAGTCCCAGCTACTAGGGAGGCCGAGGCAGGAGAATCTCTTGAACCTGAGAGACGGAGGTTGCAGTGAGCCGAGTTTATACCACTGCACTCCAGCCTGGGCAACAGAGTAAGACTCCATCTCAAAAAAAAAAAAGAAAAAAAGCATAACATATCCCCATTGTAGAACATTTGGAAACTAGGAAAATGGAAAGGAGCAAAAGCAAAAATTCTTTGAATAGTACCTCAACCCAAAGCCTTCTTTCTTGGCACGGTAGTGTATTTCTTTCCATTTCGTTCTCCACAGTCATTATATATGTATAAGATTAATTTCATTTTATTTTATTTATTTTCAGACCTGTTCAACAGGAAGTAAGATTAATTTTAAACCCTGCTTTTTTGACCAAGCTTCTCACCTAAGCACCACTGAATGGCAGCATGGAATTCCCTCCACGCCATCCATGCAGCTGGTCCCTTAGCTCCAGTCTCTGACTTGCCATGTCTCTTTGTCCTCCCCGACAGGACATGAAACCAAGGCTCTGCTGAACAACAGTGGGCCCCGCTACAAGCGCAGCAAGCTGGAGAGGCAGATGAACTGCGACGTGCTCTGGTGTGTCCTGCTCCTTGTTTGCATGTCTCTGTTTTCAGCAGTCGGTAAGTCTCCTAGATGGATCGGAAATGAGTGGGGGCCAGGCGCAGTGGCTCGTGCCCGTAATCCTAGCACTTTGGGAGGCCGAGGCGGGCAGATCACTTGAGGTCAGGAGTTGGTGACCAGCTGGCCAACATGGTGAAATCCCATCTCTACTAAAAATACAAAAAAAATGTGCCTGTAGTCCCAGCTACTCGGGAGACTGAGGCAGGAGAATGGCTTGAACCCGGGAGGGGGAGGTTGCAGCGAGCTGAGATCGCACCACTGCACTCCAGCCTGGGTGAGAGAGTGAGATTCTGTTTCCAAAAAAAAAAAAAGAAAGAAAGAAATGAGTGGGCTCCAGGTGAGCTTGGTGGGCTGCCCCCAGACATGCAAACCTAGCACTCAAAAATTAAAACCCCAGTTTTTCACTGACTTGAACTCAAG
Source organism: Homo sapiens (assembly GCF_000001405.40). NCBI lineage: Eukaryota > Metazoa > Chordata > Mammalia > Primates > Hominidae > Homo > Homo sapiens. The sequence goes on along the minus strand of NC_000015.10, from coordinate 25,725,529 downwards.
GGCAGCCTGCATCAGCACAGGCCACATGGAAACGCCTGGGTGAATGGGCATGACAGAGTATAGCTGTCCTTCGGTATCCATGGGGGGTTGGTTCCAGGACTCCCCCTCTATAACAAAATCTTCAGATGCTCAAGTCCCTGACATGAAGTGGAATAGTATTGGCATATAACCTACCTATACCCTCCTCTATACTTTAAATCAGCAGTCCCCAACCTTTTTGGCACCAAGGACTGGTTTTATGAAGACATTTTTTCCACGGATGTAGGGGTAGCAGAGGATATGGTTTAGGGATGAAACTTTCACCTCAGATCATCAGGCACCAGTTAGATTCTCATCAGGAGCGTGCAACCTAGATCCCTCCCATGCACAATTCACAATAGGGTTCGTGCTCCTGTGAGAATTGAATGCTGCCGCTGATCTGACGGGAGACGGGGCTCAGGTGGGAATGCTCACTCACCTGCCACTCACCTCCAGCTGTGCTGCCCAGTTCCTAACAGGCCATGGACCAGTACCAGTCTGCAGCCTGGGGATTAGGGACCCCTGCTTTAAATCACCTCTAGGTTACTTATAATGCCTAATACGATGTAAATGTCATGTAAATAATGGTTATACTGTGTTGTTTAGGGAATACACACAGATATAATTTTTTTCTCCTAATATTTTTGGTCCATGGTTGGTTGAATCCACGGATATGGAACCCACAGATACTGAGAGCTGACTGTAATGTTATTTTCTGAACTGACGATTTCTTAGTGGAAGAATGCTTTCATCACAGCGGTGGTGGTAATTCCAGGGGAAGAAGTATCAGTAACCTGGTGCTAAACTAAGGCTAATAGCAGGAGAAGCACAGATGTTACTAATGGGAACTTCATGAAAAGAGAAACAAAAAATGGCTTTGGATCCTAAGAAGGGACTAGCAGTTAGGTTCCATGTAGGGCTACACCAAGTGGGTGTGATGTGGTCTCAGCCCAGCGGCATAAGTTACAGATGTACAGGACATGAAAAAGGCTTCTGTGACCAGACAGGTGTGGGTCCAGTGGATTAGGCAATGTGCACTACTGTTGGCTTCCCAGAGCCTCCCATATGTGAATTGTGAATCTCAGGAAAGGACAATAATGGCAGTGTCTGAGCCTACTGACTGTTTTTTTGCTGCGCATTTCATGAGACAGGTATTTCGTGAGATGCGTGTTAAGAAATTCTGTCTTGGCGCCTCACACTGTCAGCTGCCAACACGCGGGTAGCTCTGTGTTGGGACAAGTGGTGCCACTTAGCACCAACAATGGGAAACTCTCAGTGTAAGGAAGAGACCAGGTCCCACCTCCTTCCTGAAGTTGGATCGAAGGTGCTGAGAACATTGTGTTTTCGCTTTCTGACATGGCAAAGCTGAGTAAGAAAACCAAATGTGCTTGCATCAGGTAACAAATATTAAAGTTTTGCTTTAATATACGCTAGCAATATTCTTATTTTTCCATTGGATGAATGACATTTCTCTTTGAACATTACTACAGGACATGGACTGTGGATATGGCGGTATCAAGAGAAGAAGTCATTATTTTATGTCCCCAAGTCTGATGGAAGCTCCTTATCCCCAGTCACAGCTGCAGTTTACTCATTTTTAACAATGATAATAGTTCTGCAGGTAACAATACTAAGTATCGTACAATAATTGCTTTACTTTTATGAAGAGAACTTAAAATCATCATACTCTGTTCAGAATTTCCTATAAATTCTGCATCTAGGAAGATGGCAAATATATCTACCTGGAGTTCTGCCTTTTATTTTTCAGCCTAAATCACCAATGGGATCTTTCCTTGGGTGATTTTTAAGTTAAAATTCTCCTTTTCTGTTCTTAAGGTTCTTGTGCTTTGAGGGTTTGGTTTGGGTCACTGTTTTCATTTTGTTGTTTTTCCTTTCAGTTACTTTTAAAAAAAATAGATTTTATTTTGGGATAATTTTAAGGTTTACAGAAAAGTTGCAAAGTCATTGCAACTTTTCTGTAAATCTTAAAATTACTCCAAAATAAAATTTAGTTTTCTAAATAAATTTTACAGAGAGTTTCCATGCATCCCTCACCCACTTTCCCCTAATGTGAACATATTACATTGTCATGGGACATTGTGAAAACTAAGAAGCCAACTTTAGTCCTTCACTTTGTTTTTTTTTTCTCTTTTTCTTTTTTTTTTTAGACAGAGTCTTGTTTTGTCGCCAGGCTGGAGTGCAGTGACACGATCTTGGCTCACTGCAACCTCCACTTCCTGGGTTCAAGCAATTATCTTGCCTCAGCCTCCCGAGTAGCTGGGATTACAGGTGCATGCCACACACCTTGCTAATTTTTGTATTTTTGGTAGAGATGGGGTTTCACCATGTTGGCCAGGCTGGTCTTGAACTCCTGACCTCAAGTGATCCACCCACCTCGGTCTCCCAAAGTGCTAGGATGACAGGCATGAGCCACTGCACCCGGCCTAGTCCTTTGCTTTGAACAAAACTATAGCCTTCTTTCAGATCCCACTAGTCCTTCCATAAATGTGCTTTTTCTCCTCCAGGATTTAGTTGAGGTTATCCACATTGCATTTATCTGCACTTGCTATTGTTACTATTATTATTAATTCGCATGCCTCCCTGACACCTCCCAGTCAATGCCTGGCTATCTATGCCCAGAAAGGTCTGTGAAAGAGTGGGGAGGGTCCCAGAGTCCAGAGGACGAGGGGGCAGTGGGGTCACTACCAACCTTCCTGGGAACTGAGTGACCAGAGGACATTGGCTCAGCCTTTGCCTAGGAGGGAACCTTTGCTGTCTCGTATATGTGCTTCATACAACAGGAAACAGTCTTATTTAACTGTCTAAATTAGTTTTCTAAATAAATGCAAATTTTGTTCTAGCCTCGAGTTAGGACTGTAGCTGGTGTTTGATTAACGTACTTCAGTTCCCAGGAGAACCCAGTTAGTCTGTGCGTGATATTCTGAGTCTGTAAACATTAGTCCAATACTGTTACTCTACAAAAACAAATGAGTAAGCAAACATTAATATCGAGGAGAATTGTTCTTAAATTATGGAGGCATCACTGAATGTTTTTCTCAAAGCCTCTTTCCCTTTCCTCTGCATTGTACAAGAAGAGCACAGAATCACAAGGCCAGCATCTGAAAAAAGACTGTCTGTTGTGTTTGCACTGCCCCCTGAACTTGGGGTTGTATCCCTGGGAAATGGGAGCCCAGGGAAAGCCTGGGGGTCGAATGCCACCATGGAGTGTGGTGTGAGGTGACCTTGCTTATGAGGACTGACTGTGCCATGATTTTTTTTCTCTTTTCTCTCTTTCCTGTCCTAGCTTCTCTCAAGCACAACTTGCTTGCTTCTATCCAAGCCATGGGTACCATACTTCCAGACACCATAGTGGATCCCCGCCCTGCAGCTGCTCCATAAGCTGTCCTAGTTTATTCTCTTTGCCAATACTCTAATACTTTTCCAATACTGACTCTAAACCAACCTATTTAAGCTCTCTTAAAGGTACAGTATAGTCCCTACTTTCTTGCGGTTGTAGTCATTTGTTATTTAAATAGATTTGAGTAATTCCCCAGCTCCCTGGTCCTCACGGTCATTCATCCTGTGTGCCTTGTCTCTTCCAGGTTTTGATCCCAATTTCCTTATACGTTTCCATTGAAATTGTTAAAGCATGCCAAGTGTACTTCATTAACCAGGACATGCAGTTGTATGACGAAGAAACAGACTCGCAGCTGCAGTGCCGAGCTCTGAACATCACGGAAGACTTAGGACAGATACAGTACATTTTCTCAGATAAAACTGGCACTTTGACAGAGAATAAGATGGTTTTCCGAAGATGCACTGTGTCTGGTGTAGAATATTCTCATGATGCAAATGGTGAGTCTGGGGGTGCGGGGCTCCCAACCCAGGCTGAACCAGAAAGCTGCCCTATCCAGAATTGTTTGGAGACACACACACACACACACACACACACACACACACACACACACGCTTCAGGGATTACTGATTTTCAAGGGAGTATAAAGACGTGGCTGTCACAGCAGCTCAGGTGCCTGAAGCCCGGTGCTATTTATAGAACAGGCACTGGCACGGCCGCCCGCCCTGTTCCTGCAGTGTCTGGGGTGCCAGGCATCCGCCTAAGCAATCAGGCAAGCCACCCGCAAGGAGCTCACTCCCAAGGCATCCGGTCCCCTTGCTCTGCCACACCAAGGGACAGAGAGATGTCTCTGTTGTCATCCATCCATTTTCTAGTCATAAAATCCTCAGAAGGGCACTGGCTAATTCATGTTTCGTTCTCTTCCCTGGAACAGTGTTCCTGGGAACTAGAAAGATGAATCGCCTCACTCCCAATTATTGAAGCGGTCCCCACTCCCACCTCTCCCTTCCTTATCTGTGGCTGCCTCCTTCCAACCTGGTGTCTCTGGGGAGACACCAGCTTCTGAATCCCAGGGTGTGACTGCAGCCAGCGCCCCACCCCAGTCAGGAGAGGGCATGGACCAGGGTCCCCGCCACCACTGTGCCTGGGGCTGCAGCGCCCTGGGAGTGGGCACCCTGCACTGCAGCCTGGGGTCCATTTCCTGCCTGTGACAGAAACAGAGTCCATGCTACAGAAACAGCAAATTAAAACCGGACAGAGGGAACGCAAGCGGGCATGACTAGGAAGCTGCTCTTTAGAAGGATTTGGTGGGAAGCATCTGTTGTTTACTTGACACTTTTGTGAGATTTATAAAACCAAGGATTATCATGATAGCCACAGTCTTCCTCAACACAAAATGAAAGCAGTCATAGTAAACAGAAGGCAGAGGAAATTACCCACTTTGTTTAAAGTTTTATTTGCCACCCAAAATAGATAATCATGACAGTACTCCATCCACTCACCCATCCTCCCTCCCACCAGCCTCCTTCGGCCTCCCTCTCCTCTCTTTTTCCCTTCTCCTACCCTCCTCTCCTCTCCCTCCTTCCTCCCCTTCCCCTCCCATAGTTGCTAAACCTGGTACAGCACAGTGCATTGTGCTCTTCTCAAAAACAGAACTCAGCAGAGTCCTGAGGGGATCAGAGACCCGGGCAGTCGGTTCTACAGCAGCCCTTAAAGCCGAGACCCAGTTTCAGATAGACACGAGGAATAGGTTTTGAGATCTGTTGCACAGCCAGGTGACCAGAGGCAATAAAAATGTATTACACATTTCAAAACGACTCAGAGAGTAAATTTTAACTGTCTCATCATAAAAACATGATAGGCAAGCAAAGTGACAGATTTGTTAATTAGCATGATTTAATCATGCCACATTGTACACATACATCAGAACATCACATTGCACCCCATGAATGTATACAGTACTGATTTATCCATTAATAATAATAATACATTTAAAAGATAATAATAAAGTTGGAAGCTTAGGCTCCCAGGGGCAGGATCCCAACTAAGATTACAGAAAGATTCTGACAGTTGCCAAATGCTACCATAAAACCAGAGGGTTTCCTTGCCTCAAGACACAGGGAGCTTCCTGGTGATGAATGAAACCACATACATCTCAGCAGCGTGTTTTAGAGAAGTGCCTGGATCAGCTAGCTATTGACAGGCACCCAGGCAAGGAGCGTCATCAGCCAGTTATCTTATGATCTGACCTCTCCAGATGTCACTCATAAAGGAGTTCAGATGGACTCTGAGCCCCAAGCCCTGCTCACGTACCAGAACCGGCTGTGGAAGCCTTGGGTGTGCCCCCTCTGACAGCTTGGCAAGATGACCTGGAGCTAGCTGGCTGTGCATGCCCAGGAGGGGGCATTACCTGCTCCTGGGCCTCATCTTTCCTGGGGACATGGAAGGCATCCCAGGGGCCACTGCCGATCAGAAACTGCTTCAGAACACCAACATACCAGCCGTGGCCCCCACAGCCTCTGAGGGAAGGAGGGGGCCCTGAAGGATGGCTCCATGGAGCTCCGGATGTGCGGGACCACTGCTGGGGGAGGGTGGGATGGGCCAGTCCACTTTCTTGGCAGCTGAAGCCCAGCCCCTCACCTCATGCTGGACAGAGTCATGTGTCCAGGTTCTGTGCGTCCTTGCTTCCGGTGCACTGGGCTGATGCCACCCGAGAGCTGGGGAGGCATTTGCGGGGCATCTGCTCCTGGAATTAGGATCTCCCTGAGTTGGAATCCTGGCATTGGCAAGTACTCAGCCTTGTGATGGTGGGCAGGTGACTTCCCCTTTTTTATCCCCATTTTTCTCATCTCTCACAGAGGGTCTATTAAGAGATGCGCAGTGGTCCACGCGGCTGGCCGGCTCCATAAGTATCTCCTTCTCCGGCCTCTTGACAGGCCCCTGCTGCTTTGACTCAGCACCATGCCTGTGCTTGAAGTTCTGATTAAACGGTTGTTCTGATAAGTAATCCTCATGAATGGTCTCCATTTTGCTCATCCACGGTGAAACAAGCTGTCCTCCCTGGGCAAAACCCAGAAAACTGGTTCAGAGCCATGGGTTAGCAAGAAGCCACAGCGCAGGCACCTCTAAAGGGGATTTGCCCAGCGTTCACCAGGTCATGGGGAATTTGCTCAGCAGGGCAACATCACAGTCAAGATCATCTTGGATGGAGTTTCAAAGCTGAGTCCAAACCCTAGCTGTAGGGGTCCAAGCTGTGCAATCTGGGAGTGTGAGCCCCCCTGTGCCATAGCATTTCATCCAGACAGGAGCAGATGGTGGCCACCGTCCATGTGGGCAAGGAGCTCAGCACCAGGTGAGCACCGTCATCCCAGCATGACTGGAAGGCCTGCCACCCTCTGTCCTGCCTCCCTCTCCCGGCCACCTGCCACCCTACCCCATGTACACCTAGGCTCTACCTGAAGAGACCGGCTGGACGTCAACCCGTTCCCCTTCCCCTAAGTTGTGCGACCTTAGAAAGCTCCTTACGTTCTCTGAGATGAAAGTCAGTCTCTGTGAAACAGAGTTGAGAATATCAACCTCCCCAGGTTGCAGCTGACTGAGGATGTTCTCCGTGCCTTGCTATTAGAGAGCAAGGGTGGTGAATCCTGTGGGGCTGCCCTGCCGGAAGCCTCGCGGAACCTAAAACACACTGAATGGTTTCTTTCTGCTCCGCCCAGCCTTCCCCCATGATGCCTCACCCTGCGCCCTCTCCCCGCAGCGCAGCGTCTGGCCAGGTACCAAGAGGCAGACTCGGAGGAGGAGGAGGTGGTGCCCAGAGGGGGCTCGGTGTCCCAGCGCGGCAGCATCGGCAGCCACCAGAGTGTCCGGGTGGTGCACAGAACCCAGAGCACCAAGTCCCACCGGCGCACGGGCAGCCGGGCCGAGGCCAAGAGGGCCAGCATGCTGTCCAAGCACACGGCCTTCAGCAGCCCCATGGTGAGTGTACAGGGCCTCCTGCTAGGGTGCTGCCACGTCTCTTCCCCATTTTCACCATCCCCCGCTCATGGAAGGTGTCTATATTTAATCCTACAAATACACTGTCGCTGGGCGGCTTGGCTCTACTCAGCAGAAGCTTTTCTGGCCAACACTTTCTCTCCACTGTCGTCTTTTCCAAGACACTGACATGGCCCCTTTGCATGGCTTCTAAGGCTGGTTGATTGCTGGCAAGTCACCCAGAAAGGGTGACAAAGAGGAAGCCCGTGCTGCCAAATGAAGCAAATAAAACCTCAGGACAAGATGACAACCGCTAAAAAGCAAAGCCAACCCCTCCCAAGGGAGTTTTAATTAGACGAGCCCAAATCCATAAAATACTTTCTGCCTGGCCTTGTCAGCCGCCCAGACATTAATGGACCACCATCATCCAGCACGGAGAGGCGAGAAGTGAGCAATAACCTCTGAAAGAGCCTTTCACTTCTGAAATGTTTTACCAATGCAGCAGAGGGGATGAATCCCCCTTGCTTACTCTGTGGTGGCCTCATTCTCTCATGTGCTTCTAAACCCACAGAGAAGCTGCCATCTAAATAGGGCTGATTTCGAGTTTTGGACGCTGATTGGTGGGTTTCTACAGGGCCCCTGGGAGTGGGGGCTCTCACGCTTGGCAGGAGGGAGGCTGCACTGGAACAAGGTTTCCTGACAGCATTTTTCAGTATGAGTCAAGAGTATTTAAAGTATTCAAACTTTCTCGTCTAGCAATTTAGCGATTCAGCCAAGGATTGCTACATATGGAAGTTTATCAATGTGTAATTTACATCAGCAAAACTGAAAGAAATTTAAATATCCAGTGATAAAGGGATGGTCAAATAAATGATGACATATCCATTTTCAAGTTGTTAAAATGTGTTTTTAAATAATTCTTAAAAGCCTGGAAAAGTTCAGACAATTAATAATGTTTTGGAGAAAATGGAAACCACCAATATGTATATAAAATATTTTGATTATGTGAAATTTAAATGTAGAGCGAAAAGACTAGAGGGCAATGCTGAAGCATGGTTTTCACAAAGTGGATAGAAGCTCTGTATATTTTGTGCAATTAAAATTGTAAGTAATTTACAATTATAAAATGACATATATGTATATGAGAGATGAAGTTCTGTTTACAGCTTATAATAAAATCAAAGTACCTTAAATAGTCACGCCCCAAGATCCTCGGCAGGCTACTGGGTGGGACTCACTGCCAGCCTCCCTTTCTCCCAGGAGAAGGATATCACGCCCGACCCAAAGCTGCTGGAGAAGGTGAGTGAGTGTGACAAGAGCCTAGCCGTGGCGAGGCATCAGGAGCACCTGCTGGCCCACCTCTCGCCTGAGCTGTCTGACGTCTTTGATTTCTTCATCGCACTCACCATCTGCAACACAGTCGTCGTCACGTCCCCGGATCAGCCACGAACAAAGGCAAGTTCTGGAGGGTCCCTGAGCTTGACCTTGACCTTCTGCGCTGCGGGCCATGGTTGTCAGTCCTCCTGAGGGCAGGCGCCCTTCCCTTTCCTGCAGCAAGCGCTCTTGGCACATCGTGACCTAAGGGGGATGCGGTGGGGTGCTTCATACTGGGCAAAACAGTGCTTGTGGTTCTGCAGCGTTGGCCCCAGGCTATAGTGGGCAGGGGCTATGATTGGGGCCAAGTGGGAGGGGGCAGCCCACCAGAGATGACTTCTGAGCCTGGGAGGGGAGGGACACAGGGCAGCCAGATAGGCCAGCCTCAGGTAGGCAGGTGGGTGTGTGGAGGCCCTGCCTGCCTGGGTCCTTCCTTCGCTGCCTGGCCTGGGGCAGGGCCAGAGGGAGGCTACCCAGGACAACCTCCCCGAGCCTCAGGGTCCCAGATCCACACAGGAGAGAGGACAAGACAGGCCGGGGGCCCAGCTTCTGGGACGAGGAGCTTGCACATGGACCCTGACTCTACCAGCCATGCAGCTGGAGACACATTGGCCTCCTCCCTGTGCCTGGGGTGCCCGCCTGGGCCGTGGGGCCATGGGGAGGATTTATGGGGCATCGAAGATTGTTCTTCAATGAAAAGCGGTCGAGAATCGATCAGAGGCTACTTAGGACACTGGAAATATAGCAATGCTCAAATTGGTTTTGGTTCAGTCTGACATTAAGGTTTTCTCCTGAGAGAGGAAAGGTTGCACGTGTGAAAGCTCCTCTATCACCCAGTGCACCCCAGAAAGCCCTACAGTGGGCTAGGCAGTGTAGGGGGCACGGAAGCGTGATATGCATATGGAACCAGGCAGTTTTGAATGTTGAATGGGGTAGGTGTGTGTCATAGACCTCCCAGCCCCCGACTCTCCCAGGATCCCTTCCCAGCCTCCTGGGTCTGCCCTTCCAGCAGGTCCCTCCGCAGGCGATGTGGGGTGAACAAGGTGGCCTGTATTTTCTCTGCTGCAGCAGCATGTCTGGCAGTACCTGGACCCAGTGACTCCCAAGTGGACAGGCCTGCCACTCAGAGACCAGCAGGCTTGAGGCTTAGGCCGGCAGCCCTGGGCTGGAGCTGCTTCCCGAAGCTGCAGTTCATCTCCTGGCTGCCTCAGCATCTCCCATCTGGCCTCTGGGCTCTGCCCCCAGCATTAAAAACCCTTCTGGTGTATATCCCTGCAGGAAGTGCCCCTTTTCTGGGCTAGACCCTGACTGACAGATGTTAAATGAAGGGTGAGAGATGGCAGCGTCATTGAGGCTTGTGCTGAAGGTTACACGGCTTGAGTTCCACCTAGGGAACAGCCTATCAATCACCCACACTCAGGCTGCAGGTGAAGATGTCTCTGGGTGCATTTCTATTCCCACATATTGGTTGGTGAGCGCCACCTTCGAGGACATTTGGAGCCAGCAGGGATTGCTGTGCAGGTGCCTATGTCTCCCAGCTGGCTATGTAGCGTATTTAAAGTCATAACAAGACCAAAGGAAAAGCACCTGTATCAAAATCTGGCTCTATGCACCTTGCTTTACCAAACACCTGATTTTTCTGGAGGCTGTTACTGTAATTCACAACTTAGGATGCAATGGTAAAATTGCAGTTTTAAGAATTGCTAATTCAGTATTTTGGTTGTTTTGACATTTGCTCTTTCAATAAAGAGCAAGAAAAAAGCGTGGCTCTGTTGCCCTATCATTGAGCTTTTTGAAACTTTAACAATTGTGTGTGTGTGTGTGTGTGTGTGTGTGTGTGTGTGTATATGTGTCATTCATTTTGTTTCTTACTGTGGTGGTTAAAATATTGTTTCAATGTTTGGGATCCTCAATTTGTCAGTGTATTTAATGCGCTTAGAAGGATTATTTGGGGACTGGAAATGTGATTTGTATATTAAATTTTTATAGACATAATTCAAAGGAAGTATAAACTGATGGTTTGTTAAGTGACTTTTTAATTGGAAAAAAAATGCCCAGTTTTGTGCCAGGCAATGGTGAGCCTGCTCCCCTGAGCTGTTTTTTTGCAAAGCAAGGGGACACTGTAGTGCAGGGACAGCCCCAAAAGAAGCCTGCAGATGCCACCAGCTGCAACTCCCCTGCATACATCCAGGCCTCACTGATGGGCCCTCGGCAATCACGTTCTGAAAGAATCTTGCATAACCTTTGTTTAAGAGAAGTGGAAGAGGCCAGCGGACGATCTCAAGGAAGGAGTACTGTCTCTGCTTGCAATTTCTTTTTTTATTATTATTATTATACTTTAAGAAGTTTTATGATACATGTGCACAACATGTTTATTGCGACACTATTCTGCTTGCAATTTCAATGCATGCCTGAAATCTGGGAAATGGGAAATCTGTGCTCTGAGACCCCAGTGGGGAAGCGAGGTCATTGTTCCTCCAAGTGCCTGGAGCATCCTGTGGGAACCAGGGTGGGGCCTCTGGGGGACATAGCAGTTCCCTCACCTGCCTTCTGACCATTTCTCTTGCAGGTGAGGGTGAGGTTTGAGCTGAAGTCCCCGGTGAAGACGATAGAAGACTTCCTGCGGAGGTTCACACCCAGCTGCCTGACCTCAGGCTGCAGCAGCATCGGGAGCCTGGCCGCCAACAAGTCCAGCCACAAGTTGGGCTCCAGCTTCCCGTCCACCCCGTCCAGCGACGGCATGCTTCTCAGGCTGGAGGAGAGGCTGGGCCAGCCCACCTCGGCCATCGCCAGCAACGGCTACAGCAGCCAGGCGGACAACTGGGCCTCGGAGCTTGCTCAGGAGCAGGAGTCAGAGCGCGAGCTGCGGTACGAGGCGGAGAGCCCGGATGAGGCCGCACTGGTGTATGCGGCCAGAGCCTACAACTGCGTGCTTGTGGAGCGGCTGCACGACCAAGTGTCAGTGGAGCTGCCCCACCTGGGCAGGCTCACCTTCGAGCTCCTGCACACACTGGGTTTCGATTCCGTCCGCAAGAGGATGTCAGTGGTGATCCGGCACCCGCTTACCGATGAGATCAACGTCTACACCAAGGGGGCCGACTCAGTGGTCATGGATCTCCTGCAGCCCTGCTCTTCAGGTACTCCCACCCCTGCCCAGCTGCACCCCAGCTCGGGGGAGGAGGTCCTGAGAAATATCCCCACCCAATTCCTTCTCTTGAGTAAAGTGATTTTCATTAATCCTTTTCCAACAGAAATGCCCATTGGAGAATTGCATGGTTTCTTCAGATCAGTGTTTGCCTGTTTGAAGGGTTTGGACTAGGAAGTATTCAGGGGACTTCCATGCCTGCACACCCCCACCTCCAAGAACTGGGGGGTCAGAGGATACTTGAAGAGTGTCACGTTTTAAATTTGAACAATGAAGGTTGAGAATCTAGACTAGTAGCTCTAGAAAGTTCTTCCTGCCCTGTGGACCTGGTGCAGCAGAGAGATCCAGGCCACAGTTTATGGGGCTGCCTTGGGCCACAGTGGGGGCCCAGGAAGTAAGGGATGCTGGCCTCCCCCACTGCCCTCTGTTCTGGCACTTGGGAGGGGAAGGGCCGAGCCCCCCTCATAAAGGGAACCTGGCCACCCACCTCTCCCTCTGTGCTCAGAGGACGGAGGAGTGCAGCCTCACCTCCAGGGAACTGAACTGGGTGGAGGTGAGGATGCTGCAGGAGCCTAGGGGCCCTGCTGAGGCTCTACTGCCTGCCACGGGCTTCCTATTTGCTGCACCTTGGAAGTACCTCTGGGCAGCAGCTGCTGGGAAATGCTATAAGCCGGTTGCTCCCTTCTGGAGCTCCGAGTTGGAGCTAGGGAGTACTTTACCTCCCACTGGCCTTTCTTGCCAGCATCTCAGTGCCTCAGGAGAGGACCCCTGGCACAGAAGCCCAGGACCACTCATGATGGAGAATTGGATGGGAGGAAGAGCTTCATACAGGAAATCCATGTCCCCATCACAGAGCTGTGACCTCCAAAAGGCAGCTGAGCTAAATCTGCAAATGTGTCTCTGAGAGGAGTTTGGATGACCTTCCATGATGATGACCACCGCGGGGCGAGATCTTCCCTTTCTCCCACTGCAGTGGCTCTGCCTTGGAGTCAGCAAAGAATCCAATTCATGGACACAGTTTGAGTTCTAGGAAGCTTCTTCTGAAAATCGATTCTTGTTTACATCCACACAAAAGAAAAACATAAATAGGGCAATTATCTGAGTGATTTCATTCTACAGCAAAAAAAAATCTCTCTTATTCCACAGCCTTGGGTTCAAGACAACATAAGGGGTCCTGGGCTTCAGATTTCACAGCATGACGGGTGATGTCTAAGGGGAAGGCATGGAGTGGCCCTGGCATGTGGGGGCTGCCCAGCGCTGGCAGGCGAGGCCTGTCCAGTCCTGTAGAGCAGGGAGCCCTGTGAGCTGTGCAAGGAAGGCCGCAGCACTTGCCGGGCTTGTCTTTGCTGGCAACATATTTTTTTACATGAGTAAAAACCTCAAAAGCAGAACACACACAAAAAGAACTGCTGTCACTAAGTCTCACTAATACCATCAGCCATTATTTCATAAAAGAAGGACCACATTTCACACTCCACCCCGTCCCCCCCAAAAAATTACCAAGGATAACCCAGAAAACTGGATGCCTTTCAATTGAATGAATTTAGCGTCACGACCTGCTCACTCTCCTACTCCTGCTTTTCTGGTACCTTCCCAGAGTGGATAGAGCATTATCAAGAGGCAGGGCCCCCCTGCCTGTTCACTAGCAGGTGCCGAGGGCCATGGCAAAAGGAACAGTGGTGGCCTGGCCTCCAGAGGCCCCTGAGTGAGCCAGGGATTTCCTCGTTTGTCTGCAAGTTGGGAAGGCACCTGATGCCGGTTACAAGACAATCCACAATGCTCTCCTCCGACTCAAAATCAAACTCACAGTCGGGGTAGGGGAGCCCCTGCCCAGGCCGGGGAGCCTCTCAGACCTGGCATCGTCAGCGTGGCTTTGCTCTGGGTCTCAGGAAGGGAGCTTCCCATAACCAGGTAACTGCAGATAAGAAAAAGAACCTCAAATCCATGGCATCATGGAAGGGCCAGGTAATGACATTGTCTCAACTCTCACCTTATCAAAACCATGACATTGATAGGAAAAGTTAATCAAGGGCTTGTGTTGATCTCCGCCTTCCTCTGGGAATTTCCAAGCAGTGCATGAAGTCAGCTTTGGATAGGGAAGATCTACGTGTCAACACTGGGCAGGTTAAGGTTCAGGAAGTTCAGAGACCCCAGCAGTTTCCCAAGAGAACGACTACAGGAGGGCCCTGGAGTCCCCTCGAAGTTACCCACCTGTGACCGCCTGCCCTTATGCACAGATCATTCGCCTTTTACTTGGGGAGCGGTGGAGGGGTGTGGATAGGTGCAGACTCATTGCAGAGGGCTCACTGTGCCTGGGAATCGCTCTGCCTGTGTAAATCAACTTACTACCTGTGTGTAGGTGACAAACTGAGGAGGGCACAGAGGTGTCCCACTCCAGACTTAATCTGATGCCCTCTTCAGAGGGCTCGAAACACTTTCACCAGAAGAGGCCCGAGTTGGCTGAGCAGATAGTGGATGTGACTGTATGATATCAGCAGGATGGGGCCATGGCTCACCTGCCCTGGCAGGTGTGGTGTCAGGCAACAAGCAGGGACTCCACCCCAACCCATTCTCACAGATCTCTGTTCAAATCCCAGGTCTACACTTACGGCTGGGATGACCCTGGACGAGTCACTCACTCTGTGCCTCAGTTTCCCATCTACAAAGGAAATCACAGTGCCTGCCTCTCACGGGAAGTCCCCACATGAGCCCCTAGCTCAGTGCCTGCTGTTACATTGATGTCCAGCGTCCACTCGGTACCTTTCCCAAGTCTCTGGCTCCTTCTTGTTAAGATCCACTTGCTTATGCTTTGGTGGCGTTGCTACTTGGAGTGGTCTTTAAGGTGTAAACCTCAGGCCACTCTGCCTTCTCCCAGAGCAAGGACAGAGAGATGGCCGTAGCCCACTGCCTAGCGTGGGCCTCACACATTGATACCATGCAGTAATCAGTATATGTTTTTTGCATGATGAGTACATGCATGTACAAGCAGGGACTGCACGTTAGTTTGCCATTTTAATAAGATAACTCCTTATTGGGGAAATATCGCTTGTAAAGCTTAGAAGAAATGGAAATATCACTTGGAGCAATTTTAAAGCACGTGGTAAAATCATGAAGAGAGGCTACCCTCATCCCTCTGAGGGCCTCTCTGTGGGTCTGCAAGCACCACTCGCCAGCTGTCTCCTGGTGGGAACATCAGGTGCAGCCCACTGTCAGGTGCAGCTGTCTCGGCCCTGCTGTGTCTGGGGTCAGTGGGCACTGGAGTCATCTTCGCAGACTGCACCTGGAGCTGTGCCCCTTAGCCTCCTGCTCCTGCCCCGACCCAGATGCAGCCTCAGCGTCCTGCAGCACAGAGCTCTCGACTGTCCCTGCCCAGCAGGGGGCGCCGGGCAGCACTGGTCCCACTCCCTCAGGTGGTGTCACTCCTCACCCGAGGAGCTGAGTTCCAGGCACAGAATTCCTCCTGTCACCATAGGGAGACAAGACACACAGGACTTGGGTGGCTGTGGAACATCAGAAAGAAGGGGCTAATATTGCATGACCGTTGCCTAAAATGCAGTGTGAAAATTGCCATGCCTTCAGCTCGAAATCAGCCACCCCCAGCATCACTTCAGCAAGTGGAGAAGAGCAGGGCTGACTGAATGCCTCTAGGGATCCACACTCTGTTCCCCAGTACATTCTCCTTCGGAGGTTCCCCCAGCTCCTCGGTGATGGTCTCCTTGGAGCTTGAGTTCTTCCCATCCTCTCCTACCCCCCATCAGAGTGTAGACCGATTCCAGCCTCCACAAGGGCCCCACCCTCCAAAGCCCAGCCTCGGTATTCCGCAGTGACTGCCCAGTGGTAGGTGCGGCAGGACATGTAAGGGAAAAGTCACCCAAGAACGAGGGGCAGATCTCGCCAGAAGGGGCACAGGTGTGTGTCCATGTCTGCAGGAGAGGACAACGGGCTCAGCCACTTCTGCCTGGCAGGGCCAGGTGCTCCCTGTCACTAGGCTCTGTGCAGATGGCCCTGCAAAGAAACACCCCATTGTCCACCTGAGAAGCAGACACCTGTGGGGCCGTCTCCTCGTCTGGGGCACCCAGGGTCCCGAGTGGCCCATCCTCCCTCCCTGGGCTCGGTTCATTTTGTTTTGGAGAGTGGTTAATCTCAGTGTCACACCCGGTACCACCGCACGTCCCAGTGCACGCCACATGTCACCTCTCAGGACAATGGGACAGCTTTATCAAGAGTATTTCAATTCCAAAACCCCTCAGTTAGGCACGGCTTTGCTCGAGGAACAATCTGATTCTGGGAAAAGGTTATCTGCATCTTCTAAGAGTGTTACCACGATACCAGGAATACAAAGATGAGTTTGAGCATCATCCTTTCGGGAAATGTAAATACCTAAAGCAAAGGATTCTAGGGCAACTGTTTTTCTTCCCCATTATCAACTCCATAAAGAGTCTTTTCTGACTTCTTTTTCAATTGTCCCCTCCTGGCCTTTTAATAACATAGATATGCTGTGTATCTGTTTATGTTCTATATGTGTACTTAGACTTTGTTTAGAAAAGAGTAAGATTTTTCCACCTCCAAGAACCAGTGATCACTCCCTTGAG
Source organism: Homo sapiens (assembly GCF_000001405.40). Taxonomy (NCBI): domain Eukaryota; kingdom Metazoa; phylum Chordata; class Mammalia; order Primates; family Hominidae; genus Homo; species Homo sapiens. Next base: position 25,709,073 of record NC_000015.10, on the reverse strand, counting down.
GGCTCTGTCACCCCTGTGGAGAATGCAGCACGGTCAGGCATGTAAAAGGGTCTCTTACCGGGTCCTCTTTCAGGTGGTGGACTTAGATTAGTAGATAATCCTTCCTGGGCCACGGGCCTCATGACTGGTCAGTAGTGTTGCCAGATTTCACAAACTGTATATATAGAATGTCCAGTTAAACTTGAATTTCAGACAAACAAATCCTTTTTTAAGTAAAAGTATGTCCTATGCCATATTTAGACATCGTTTGTTGTATCTGGCAATGCTACTTGTAAGGATCCTACTCTTCTGAGGATAGAAAGTGCACTTCCCATTAAGTAAGAATTTTCATTAACAGGAAGAACGTGAGCCTCCATTTAATAGGCTGGGCAAAAGGATGCCAAATGACTTTTGATGTAGTTTTTATTTTCATGAGCTTATTTCAACAAAGGATGTTAAAAACAGCCAAACATCAGCAGGGCGCAGTGGCTCACATCTGTAATCCCAGTACTTTCGGAGGCCGAGGCGGGTGGATGATTTGAGTCCAGGAGTTCGTGACCAGCCTGGGCAACGTGGCAAAACCCTGTCTCTATAAAAAAATAAAATAAAACAGTCAAACATATTGATGAGACTCTTTTTTAAAACATAACAGCTCATTTTTGCTTTGAATTCTATATGAAAATTTGTGCTCTATTCGCAAGTAACGAACAGACGTGGGGTAAATCTCGGAGTGTCTGAAGACCATTCCACAGGCGCCAGTTCTTACCCATGTTTCTGCTTATTCTCCAACCTAGTTGACGCCAGAGGGAGGCATCAAAAAAAGATTCGGAGCAAAACTCAGAATTACCTCAACGTGTATGCGGCGGAAGGCCTGCGCACCTTGTGCATCGCCAAGAGAGTGAGTGGGGGTGTCTCCGCGAGGGTGCACGTGCAGGTGGCCGCCCCACAGTGAGCAGCGCCCGGTGCAGCACTCAACAATGTATCTCCCATAGGTTCTGAGTAAAGAAGAGTATGCCTGCTGGTTGCAAAGCCACCTAGAAGCCGAATCCTCCCTGGAAAACAGCGAGGAGCTCCTCTTCCAGTCTGCCATTCGCCTGGAGACCAACCTGCACTTGTTAGGTAATTAACTTGAGAGTCGCATGCCTAAGGGCAGTGTGGAGTTTGCAGGGACGGCCCTGGAGGGGTGAGTGCTCTTGTCAGCGGCTGCTCCGCAGGCTGGCCTTGGTTAGGGAGCCACCTGGCAGGACGCTGGCACAGCCGAGGCGGGAGGGTGCTTGCCTGAATCTTCTCCTAGTCTCATTTCTGTGAGGTGCACGTGCTGCCCCCCAGGCACCCCAAGACAGCAGCTGCCACGCTTCCCCTTAACCTGGTTTCCCACCAAAAATAGAGCCAAGGAGTGAGATTTCTGACAGTTGGGAGTTGAAAGGATTTTCCCCTCGGGAAACAGGGAAACTTTTGGGACCCAGAAACTGCTGCATTTTGCATCTTAGGAATGTTTCACAGATTCGAGGTGAATGAAAAGAAAATGGGCTCATTTTTACTGAAATATGTCCACATTTCCAGCTGTGTTCATCTTGGTACTTAATAAATGCTAACTAGTATTAGTGATAAATGAAGGTATTTATTATGTTAATGCTTACTTTAATACTTAAAATATTTATTTTCCTATTTATTAAAGCATTCATTAAATAGCCAAGTCATTGTATACATGCTCTGTGTGTCCTTGAAGAGCTGGTGTTGAGGATGGTCCACCCCCACCTCCATCTCGGGTGCTGTGAGTCAGGTGGTACTTCTCGAGCACAAAGCCCTGGGCAGGTCATCTTCACTTAACACAAAAAGGCGGTGTTCACTTGCCCTCTTTTTCTGGGCAGAGGAGTTGGGATAGCTATATATTTACATCTACATTTCTAGTATAATACATAGTTAAGGTTTGCATTTAATAGCATAATGTACACTAGGCATAACATATATCTGCACACATTTTATATATTGTTTGCCCACAGAATCTTATAGGAGGCCACACATTACTTGGAAAGCCCCGGGATCCAGGGGCCCAGTGGCACCATGAGTGGCAGCCCTGGATGTGAATTAAATGGAACACCTGAGAAATGGCTGTGCCTGTTTTAGGCCCTGAAGTTTTGGCTTACTAAAGCAGGGCTGCTGTCGTCTGGACTGATTGGGCTTCCCCGGAAGACAGTATTGTGCAGGCCTGTGGGGTAGGAGGCATCTGCTGGTTGTCCCAGACGTGCCCGCCCAGCCTCATTGACCAGGCTTGTTTTTAACCCTTCACTGTGGGGCACCTTCCCCAGGGAGCAGCTTTTCCCCTGGACAGCACTAACTTCTCAAATGGAGTGAAATTGGCCCTCCGGTGCCATTTCACAGTGCTTGCTGGTTCCGCCCCCTGGAGTAATGCAGACAGAATCTCCTCCCTTTTCCACATGATGAAACCTTGACTATTTGGGGACATGGCTGTGAGTCCCAGGCTGCCCCTTCTCCATCTTCCCTGCTCTCAGAGCCCAGGAGCCCTGACTCAGTTGTCCAGCCCTGCTCTGCCACTGCAAGCTGGTCATGCGGGCTGGTCATGCAGGCTGATCGGACAGCCTGGGGCAAGTGGCTCAATCCTTTTTGCATCCAAGTTCCGCTCTGTGGTAATCCCAGTGTTTTGGGCTCTTGTGAGGGTGAAAGGAAGGGATGACGGGGGGCACTGAGCGTGGCGCAGGCACAGGGCCTGGCACTGAGCGGTTGTGTGGTGAGTCTCCTGGTTGGTGCTTCCACACCGTTTCCACCCAGCTGGCCTCTCCTCTGCAGGCTTTCTCTGGTGATCGTGCATCGGTCACCTCTCTTGGCCCGGATGCTGCAGCTCTGTTAACATATCCTAAGTTGTTAACGGCCCCTGCGGCACCCGAGGCTCATGGTTAACTTGAGTTCCAGTCATCTTCTTAGGCCTTTTTCACAGGGATTCCTTGCTTGGATTCTATAATTTTTACTTGGGCAACTGTGTGAAGATCTAAAATCAGAGTTGTCTACCGATCCCCTGTTCCACTTCCTCTGATTGGAGTCGGGATCCCGGTCATCAGCGTTTCTCCAAACTGATTCCACCACATCCCGCTGTCATCCTCAGGTGGATTCCTTCCCTCCAGGTGCACGTGAGGATGGCTCTGAGATGTGTCAGCGATGGAACTCCTGGGTTGCCCACATGGGTGCCAGCCGTGCACTGGAGCCTGCTCACGCCTCCTGGCAGAGCTCATGGATACATTTTGAAGAATTTTGCAGTAGCCCACATAAATGTTCAGGAATCTCACGTCGCCTTTTGATGCTATGTTAGTAGATTGAAGTCAGCCAAGGTGGGAGTATTTATACCACAGAAATGAGCAAATGCAGTAAATCGACCTTCCTCCCACAGACCGGTTGTTAACCACTTACCATCTCCTGCTACCTGATATGTTTATGTTTCAAATGACGAGGCCTGAGCTGGAGAGTATGGGAGCCACCCACCACCTTAGCGTTCACATGGCTCAAACGCGGGCACTGTGTTCCAGCTCCTCAGCTTCATTAAGAAAAGTGAAGCCAGCCACTTATATTTTTACTATTCCAAAGCCAAATCTTTTCATGAAGGTGATTTTTTTTGTTTTTTTTTTTTGTTTTTTTTTTTTTGCTTTGAGACAGAGTCTCACTCTGTCACCTGGGCTGGAGTGCAATGGTGCGATCACAGCACATTGTGAGCTCAAATTTCTGGGCTCTAGTGATCCTCCCGCCTCAGCCTCCTGAGTAGCTGGGACCACAGGCGTGTGCCACCAGGCCCAGATAAATTTTTACTTTTTTTTGGTAGAGACAGGGTCTCACTCAGGCTTGTCTCAAACTCCTGGTTTAACGTGATCCTCCTGCCTCAGTCTGTCTAAGTGCTGGGATTACAGGCGTGTGCCCCTGCACCAGGCCCAGGTGCTTATCTTAAATAGCATCAGAGAACCATACATAACTATCTTCAGCAGAAAGGATCTCCGTTCTCTCCATGCTCTTGAAATTTTCTTTTCCTTAATGCTCTGGGCAGGAACCTAAATTCAAAGGATACTCTTGCTCATTTTCCCCGGCGTCCTTGCTAGTTTCTCTAAATGTCTAAAACTTCCTCGTTGGTGAAATCCTTTCCCCTCCCATTCAAAGCTGTGTGGCACCAAGCACAGTGACGCTGGGCTCTGCACACCACCAACTCCTGAGTTATGATACTCAGAAATGCCAGGCCTTCCAGAGGGTCAGGTCGTAAAGACAGTGGCATTTACTCAGAGTCACATAAATTATATCACAAACAAGTACCTTGGAAAGCTGAAGAAAGCCGCTGTGCCCCAAATCATCTTGAAAGGCTGCTGCCTGCAGGTACTCTTTCCTCTGCCATGTTTCATGCCGAGGTGGGGGTCCCTCCCATAACTCCTTTTTCAGTTCAATGCTATTCTGCACCTGACTCAGGCTCACACCTTATAAAGGTGAGTGTTGGTGGGGTGACCCAGTGGGAGGCCCATGAGTTTGACCAAATAGCTCCTGAACTAAGGAGGTTCTGTTTTCAAGGTGTTAACTTTTCCCTGTGAAACAGCAGACACCCTCCGTACTGGAGTTTCCGGCAAGGCCTTCCCTGCTTTCTTTCTTGGCAGACATTTGACTGAGGGACTTTAGCTCAGCAGCTCGGATACAAAGGTGGGAGGCACAAGGTCCTTGAGGCAGGAAGTTGCCATTTAGAGAAGAGTGGGCAACTGCTTGGGTTATGTTTCAAGCACTGTAGTGGAAGCGTTATCCTGGCAAATTGTCAGTAATCCATCAAGGTTAGCCATTATTAGTCTTACTCTATAATCATTATTACTATCATTAAGTATGAATGAATTACTATGAACACACAGAGGAAGGCAAGACCATCCCTGTCTTCCCCAGACATCAAGGAACCTGTCATAGTACAAGTGACACTCAGGATGAGCCAGGGACACGGGCCACACACAGTCTGCCCCCCTACTAGAGCCCAAGGGCCAGGGTAGAGGAGCAAAGCTAAGGTCAGATGCCCTCCCGGTGCCCGGGTGGCTGGGGATGTGCTCACGGGGAGCACAGAGCGTGACCTGGCTTTCTTCCTGAGCAGGTCTTAAGCTCCACACGCTGTGTGGTCTTCCCAGGGTACTCAGGTTATAAGGTTCAGAGCAGTGTGCAGCATGGGTGCAATGTTCCCTCCTCCTTTCTGGGCCCTCCCCAAGTTCCCACATCACCTTCCAGTACATCCCCGACATGGGAGCTAGGCCCAGGCTACCTGAGCTGGAAGACAGCAGATCAGCCACTTGCCCCTGAGGGGGTCTTCTGGGGTGCTGGTGATGTTCTGCCCCCTAAGTTCAGGGCTGGTGACACTGGTATGTGACTTGTGAAAGTGTATCAAAGGAATATTTAAGAAATGTACACTTGTGTGTTTACTGTACCTCAGTTCTACCTTCCCCTCCCCATGCCTGCCATCCCATCATTCTAGAAGAAGGGGTAAGGGTGGCTTAGTTCGTTTGTTCTGCTGTCACACAATACCACAGACTGGGGACTTAAGCCACAGACATTTACTTCTTAGAGTTTTGAAGGCTAAAAGTCCAAGATCAAGGCTCTAACAGCTCACAATGTCTGGTGTGGGATCTCCTCCTGGTTTGCAGATGGCTGCCTCCTTGCAGTGTTCTCACACAATGGGGAGATTGAGAAATCACCTTTCCAATGCCTATTTATTTATTTATTTCTTGAGACAGAGTCTCGCTCTGTCACCCAGGCTGGAGTGCAGTGGCATGATCTCAGCTCACTGCAACCTCCACCTCCTGGGTTCAAGCAATTCTGCCTCAACCTCCCGAGCAGCTGGGATTACAGGCACCCACTACCACGCCCAGGTAATTTTTGTATTTTTAGTAGAAACAGGGTTTCACCACATTGACCAGGTTGGTCTGGAACTCCTGACCTCAAGTGACCCGCCCGCCACGGCCTCCCGAAGTGCTGGGATTACAGGCGTGAGCCACCGCGCCCGACCCCAGTGCCTCTTTTTATAAGGACACTGATCCCATCGAGGGAGCCCCATCCTCATGACCTCATCTGAACTTAATTACCTCCTGCAGGCCCCACATCCTAATACTACCACACTGGGGATTAGTGCTCCCTCCTATGGATCTGGGGGACACAAACGCTCAGTCCATAGCAGCATCCCAGCACAGGGCACAGCATGGTGTAGCGCAGTAAAGGAGCCTCAGTCAGGGCTCGAACCTAGGGACCAGGGCTGCAGCTCACTTCCAGAGTGGGGAAGACAGAAACCATCTCACCAAGATGTAAACAGATCTTAAAAAAAAAAAAAAAAATCTGAGGCAGGCCTAAGCACATTTCCGCAGTCAATAGTAGATTTTTCCCAACATACTGAGACCAAAAAGGCAAAACCTGCCTCTCAACTTCTTTATGTTTGTGGAAAAAGCATATTTAGGATAATCTTGGTTTCAAGAAATAATGGCCTTACCTGTGAAGTCTGTTTCTATAGTGACTAGTAATAAGCATTGTTGAGACTGGACATTCTGAATTTCATTCACCAGAAGCTTTCTATGGGATGGGCAATTTTTAAGACTATATTTTTATCCCTCCGAATATCGTCATTCCCAACACCTTCCCATACGCTTTGCCTTCAGGTTATCTGTAAAGTTACAAGTTAGAAAGAAGTTGAGGTACTTTGGTGTAAGTACACATAATTATGCTCAGTGACTCACAGTTATTCCTACGCACTCGACTGAGTCACATCGACAGAGCTGTCAAAAGCGTCCACCACTGTCCTGAAATGGTTCCACAGGGGACTTCCTGTCACTACATGGCAGACAACTGGCAGCCCAGCCCCTGGCAAGGCCCAGGCAACAGGGGCTGTACCAGTGCCTGCCTTCGGTGTATCTGGTGCATGACATTTGCACCCCAGAAGGATTGGGGGGCACGTGAGAAGCGGGTTCGCTCACACTGCTGTGCATTTGACCAGGTGCCACTGGGATTGAAGACCGCCTGCAGGACGGAGTCCCTGAAACTATTTCTAAATTGCGTCAAGCGGGCCTGCAGATTTGGGTTCTCACTGGTGACAAACAAGAAACAGCTGTCAACATTGCATATGCCTGCAAACTGCTGGACCACGACGAGGAGGTCATCACCCTGAATGCCACCTCCCAGGTAGGTGGGTTTCAAGTGGCTCCGCTTCCTTCCCCTGGGGTGGTCCATGTTTATCGTGGCCCCCTTGGCAGACACTCACATTCCTGGCAGCTGCTGTTAGAAGGACCTCACCCTCCGCATTCGGGTTTAGGATGTGCATGTTATTGCCTTGGAAGAGGTAAAGTTTGCTGGAATTTCTTAGTACCAAAGGAATGCATGTCTGGGCTTTATTGATACAAAGTTCAGCCTGGTTTCTCCTGACATACTGTCCAAGTCATCAAAGAACTTTCTCGTGAGGTCCCCTGTGCTTCCACAGTGGAGCCAGGGCAGTGGTCCATTTAGCACTGACCACCTCAGGATCATTGCAGGCACTGAGGACTTCTTTATCCAGTTGGATTTGTCTGTTTAAATCCCCAAGTCTGTGGCGAGTAGCTACTTCATATACTGCCCTGGTCTGGGCTCTGAGTCCTCGCAGAAGTTCCCACTCAAAACTTCTTGCGCCGGCTTTCAGGCTTCTTGAATGGAGCAGGGAACTGTCTTGCTGTGGCTGATCTGCTCCTCCCCAGTGTGGCCAAAGCCACCACAGCCTCTCTGGGGCTCACACTCAGACTCCCCACCCCAGCCCCTCTTAGGTCCACACCTGCACCATCAGCTATCAGGACCTTGGGACTTTGTCGCTTGGGAGTCCCCCTTTCTGAGATGGCCTTGGTGGGAGCATTCCTGCTCTGTGAGTTATTGCAGCAGCCCCCACTCATCTCCTGGCCTCTAGGACCTCTCACTCCATCTGTAAGCGTAGGAAAGGCTGCCTTTCAAGCCCCGT